>NC_000011.10:108384545-108687576 GCF_000001405.40 Homo sapiens
TTGGGAAGCCAAGATGGGCAGATCACGAGTCCAGCCTGGGCAACATGGCGAAATCCCATCTTGACAAAAATACAAAAATTAGCTGGGCATGGTGGTGTGTGCCTATGGTCCCAGCTACCCAGGAGGCTGAAGTGGGAGAATTGCTTGAGCCTGGGAGGCAGAGGCTGCAGGGAACTGAGGTCCAGGCCACTGCACTCCAGCCTGGGCAACAGAGTGAGACCCTGTCTCAAAACAAAAACAAAAACAAACAAACAAACAAACAACTCCACAATCCTAACCTCTTTGCTTTACTGCTTCTCCTATCTGCTAGTAGGACAGAACTCATACACCATCATTAGGCTTTGGCTATGTTAAAATTATTGGCGTTTCTGGGGTCTGATGACACTCTTCTTCAACATGCTGGCTTTTACTTTTAGCATTTCAGTACTGCTAACTACTGGCAGAACAATAGTGGCCTAGAACCTAAAAACTATTTTCAACATTTTGAGGCATTTATTTTGCCAAGTGAAGTCTGCTCATGAAAAATTGTTACTAAAACTATAAGTAACTTTTTTTCTTCACTCTGTCACCCAGGCTGGAGTTTAGTGGTGCAATCTTGGCTCACTGCAACCTCCGCCTCCCTGTTCAAACGATTCTCTTGCCACAGCCTCCGAGTATCTGAGATTACAGACATCTGCCACCATGCACAGCTAATTTTTGTATTTTTAGTAGAGTCAGGGTTTCACCATGTTGGCCAGGCTGGTCTCGAACTCCTGACCTCAGGTGATCCATCTGCCTCAGCCTCCCAAAGTGCTGGGATTACAGGTGTGTGCCACTGTGCCTGACCAGTAACTTTTAAAAAAGGATTCATATTTTGGCTAGGCGTGGTGGCTCTCGCCTGTAATCCCAGCACTTTGGGAGGCCGAGGTAGTTGGATCACAAGGTCAGCAGATCAAGACCATCCCGGCTAACACAGTGAAACCCTGTCTCTACTAAAAATACAAAAAATTAGCGGGGTGTGGTGGCGGGTGCCTGTAGTTCCAGCTACTTGGGAGGCTCAGGCAGGAGAATGGTGTGAACCTGGGAGGCGGAGCTTGCAGTGAGCCAACATCGCACCACTGCACTCCAGCCTGGGCGACAGAGCAAGACTCCGTCTCAAAAAAAAAAAAAGATTCATATTTTTAAAATCACTTTATTCAAACTTAAATAATATAGGACATTTCCTTCTATTCCCAAATAACAATCTTACATACAAAGGTAAAAATGACTTGACAAATGCATCTAAATTTATATACTATGCAGATTACTGAAATGTTAAATGCCTAGAAATACGTGTGTGGAATGTATTTTTTGTTCATGAGAATTTCCTATAAAGTACTGCTAAAAATCACCTACCTTTGAAGTTAGCCGAAGAGTTGCTTGTAGCAATTTCCTTCCAGCTGGCAATGTACCTAAGCACATTATATGAGGATTCATTAAATTTAATCGATTCATTAGTACATACTTAGACTACTTCTAAAATTCCACTTTTCAGAAATCTTAGATTAATGATGGCATGTTCACTAGCCTCCATGTGTAACTCTCAAGACTTTCTCACCTTCTAGTAGCTCACATCCAGCTAAGAACCTTCAGGACAAGGAGTTGAAGGAGGTATAAAAATGGTGCCCACCATCTGCCATACTTAGTGTCCTTTCACCTCCCTCTAGCATGCCCCCTCATTTTATCCTGTTAATTCCAGAAAGATCATGTCCTCAGCTGAGTGTTTACTAAGAAGTTAGTTAATAACATCCAAATTTAAAGCATGGGCAGAAAACTCTCCTGGAGACAACAACAAAAACTTTCTCCTTTGTTCTGGATTACCAGATTCACTGTCTCTGATACGTGAAGGGAAATTTAAAGCATCTAGTTTCTGAGCTCATTAGAGCAGCAGCGCTGTCTTTGCAGTGTCCAGAACACGTTAAGAGATACATTTAGGTATGGCAAATGCAGCTGTCACCTCAGCTCCTGAACAGAGACTGAAATAGAGAGACGAGGGTTGCCTGAGAAGAGGTAGAATAGGGAAGGACAAGGTACAACCTTCTGTGAGGATGATGGAAAAGCACCAAGAGGCAGGTTTCCTAAGATTTATTTCACCTTAGGCTCCATATCCCACTTTCCTAAGGTGCCTTTACAACTGCACCCACTTTAATCAAAAAATCAGGTCAGGATTTGGTTACAGTAGGTGCTAAAAGGGAGCTAGCACAGAGAGGTGGAGAATTAGAACTGTCACGTAATTGGCTGGGCGCAGTGGCTCACACCTGTAATACCAGCACTCTGGAAGGCCGAGGTGGGCGGATCACAAGGTCAGGAGATCGAGACGACCCTGGCTAACACGGTGAAACCCCATCTCTACTAAAAATACAAAAAATTAGCCAGGTGTGGTGATGCATGCCTGTAGTTTCAGCTACTCGGGAGGCTGAGGCAGGAGAACGGCCTAAAACCTGGGAGGTGGAGCTTGCAGTGAACTGAGATGGTGCCACTGAACTCCAGCTTGGGTGACAGAGCGAGATCTCAAAAAAGAAAAAAAAAAAGAATTATCATGTAATTCAGAAAACACTGTGATTTTCTTTTCTTTTCTTTCTTTCTTTTTTTTTTTTTTTTTTTTTTTGAGACAAAATCTCGCTCTTGTGCCCTAGGCTGGAGTGTGATGGCACGATCTCGGCTCACTGCAACCTTGGCCTCCTGGGTTCAAGAGATTCTCCTGCCTCAGCCTCCCAAGTAGCTGGGATTACAGGTGCCTGCCACCACGCCCGGCTAATTTTTGTACTTTTAGTACAGACAGGGTTTCACCATGTTGGCCAGGCTGGTCTCGAACTCCTGACCTCAGGTGATCCACCCACCTCGGCCTCCCAAAGTGACACTGTGATTTTCTAATTATTTGTTCCATTTGAATTATTTTTACTTCTGTCAACCCTGTGCTCCTGAAGTTTTTTGCAGTAGGAGGGTATATACTTCCAACAGTATTTAATACTTATTTTTATGGAGACAAGGTCTCGCTCTGTCTCCCAGGCTGCAGTGCACTGGTGCCATCATGGGTCACTGCAGCCTCAAACTAATGGGCTCAAGTGATCCTCCTGCCTCAGCCTCCTGAATAGATGGGACCACAGATGCATGTCACCACACCTGGCTAACTTTTTAATTTTTTGTAGAGATGGGGTCTCGGTATTTTGCCCAGGCTGGTCTTGAACTCTTGGGCTCAAGTGATCCACCTACCTTGGCCTCCCAAAGTGCTGGGATTATAGGCGTGAGCCACTGCACTTGGCCTATCCAACAGTATTTAATTACAATCAGACGTTGTGTCTGAATTTGGCTCCTTCTTACTACTGCTACCCCTTGGTGCTCTGCGAACTTTCTTCAATGGCCTTCAATAGGATACTGCTGGGTGACTTAAATGAAAGGATGCAGGACAAGAGCAGGTGGTGTAACTCCTTCCACAATCTCTCAGTAGGCAATTCAGTTTGGTTTGACCTTAAATTTTAGCAGACTTTGTGCTTTCAGTGGTTGCTCAGGAGCACTATAAAGAGTCATCCTGCTTGCTTGGATTTATACACAGAAAAGACTTTCATTCCACCTTCAAGAAACCAAGATAAAAGACCTTGATCGATAGTGTGCTGAGCCCTGACAATCTGGGGCACAAACACTTACCATAGCTAGGCCCCATCACTGTCCCTGCTTTATCCAAGATTAGCACATGACTTTTATTCCATTATTTTAAAAAGAACTTCTCATAAAGAACATACCAGCAGTAATTGATAAGAAATCTAAGTTTTACAGACATAGAAGCAAGTCTGATGAAAGCACTACCATGCTGTTTATATCACAGAGCTCATCTTTCTCACGAAGAAATTTGTAGAAATTTTTAGATAATAGTTATCAAGTGTGTGTGCAGTCTACAATGAATCCATTTGTTAAATTACAAATTTAACACTTTAAGAGCTCAGAAAAAGTCCCTAGCCAGAGAGGTCACAAAACTACATATCTTAGAAATCAAAGGAGCAGCTTCAGATATAGAAACTATCCATAACAGACATAGGCACAGAGCTCTCCCCAACAGAGTATCAGGAAATTATTTAATATTTTCTAGCTGGTGATTGCTTAATAGGTATGTCAAAATTCACTTGCTGTTTGAAAAACGTGATGATCCTGGAAGAGGAACATCTGAATATCCATTAGGATGAATGCCAGCAAAAGCCACGGTAGCTGTCCTGTGGCATTGTGCATAACTCCGTGATGGTGATGTGGGGATTGTTCTGGGTTCTAAACAGCTGCAGCAACATAGCTCTGGATACAGGAATTTGCAACAGTACTCATTAGTGTGTTTGAGTCCACTAGTGAAACTGGCTCTATCCATTCTTCCAAATGATAATAACAATGTTCGGTTAATAGTTGCAGTACGCATCTGAAGATGGACATGGTTTCATCTCAGGAGAGCATCGGTCTGTCATAACGGACTAGAACAAAAGCCTTTGGGGAGAAACTGGTTGTTATCACTAAATATCAGTGTTCAAGGCATTTATGCCATTCTAACTGTCCAACTGTAGAAAAATGTCCATAGACGTTGAAGGATACTTTCCAAGGAATTAGGGGTGACCAATTCTCTAGAGGGGACAAATGTCAGACTTTTAAATTTTCATCAAACAAGGTGTCACCAAGCCAGTTACAAATATCTAGAGGTCTACAAAGGTCAAACGGGGAAGTAGACTGTGGAGACCATAAATGTGCTGGAAAGAAGGGGCTTATGCCTAATGTCTGCAGTTAGCTAGGGGAAGGCCTTTGCAAAGTTTGGTCTTACTGAGATAATCAGTGCTTGTGGCCAAGTAGTGCTACTGAAATATACCCAGATAATCACACTTGAAATTTCATCTGAAATTTTTGTTGTTCAAGGCTCAATGTAAAACCTTGCTAAGAGTCCATGTTGGTACAAAATTATGAGTATCCTCAACTCAGAAGATAAACTGATAGAAATTATACATAACTTGGAAGCAAGGTATTTGCATTTTTTTAATGGAAATTTTCAGTTGCTCTTATCATCTGAAAGCTAGGTATATCCATCCCACTCCTATATGCTATGAAGAAATTGCTTCAAGTCTTACTGGTTTATCCTGGGTTTTTTTGTTTTGCTCTGTTTTGTTTTGAGACAGAGTCTCGCTCTGTCACCCAGGCTTGAGTGCAGTGGCGCGATCTCAGCTCACTGCAAGCTCTGCCTCCCAATGGCATGAATCGTGGGTTCATGCCATTCTCCTGCCTCGGCCTCCCAAGTAGCTAGGACTACAGGCACCCACCACCACGCCCGGCTAATTTTTTATATTTTTAGTAGAGATGGGGTTTCACTGTGTTAAGCAAGATGGTCTCGATCTCCTGACCTCAAGATCCGCCCTCCTCAGCCTCCCAAAGCGCTGGGATTACAGGCATGAGCCACCTCGCCTGGCTGGTTTTTTTTTTATTTATTTTATTTTTTATTTATTTATATTTATTTTTGAGACGGAGTCTCGCTCTGTTGCCCAGGCTGGAGTGCAGTGGCGCGATGTCAGCTCACTGCAACCTCCACCTCCTGGGTTCACGCCATTCTCCTGTCTCAGCCTCCCTAGTAGCTGGGACTACAGGTGCCTGCCAATTTTTGGTGGGTTAATTTTTGTATTTTTAGTGGAGACGGGGTTTCACCGTGTTAGCCAGGATAGTCTCGATCTCCCGACCTCATGATCCACCTGCCTCAGCCTCCCAAAGTGCTGGGATTACAGGCGTAAGCCACCACACCCAGCCTGTTTTTTGTTTTTTAAAGGGAAGCCATTAAGACTTCACCTACTATCACTTAGCGGATGATGGCGGGGAAAGTCTTATGTGGACCGAGATGCCTATTTTTTCTTCCCTTTGAACTCAATGGTTTTATTCTTTTTATATTCCAGTAATGACAGAATATAGAATATCTGGTATCAATTTTTTGTACTTGTTTGCCGGCCCTTAGCTTGAATCGGCCAATGGTACAAGGGAAAGGCAGAGCAGGATTTCAAAAGCTCACCTGAGAAAATTCTCTATCCAGTCCTGGGAAACTCATTCAAAATGGACCTCTCCTACCTCTCTTTCCCTTTCTTCCCTCTCTTTTCCACTCAGCAATTTTTACTCTTAGGAAGAAAAGTAAAAGCAAGGCATTGCAGCTCCTTTGTTTGGCTGTCATTTCTTGCATCATTATTACCATCTGCATTTGTTCAGTGTCCCAGGAACTACAGACATGCTGTCTATAGGGAATCTCAAGACTGAGGTCTGCACAAAATATTGGGGTTATTGAATCATAGCAATTTCTTCTTATTTAAAAATATTTTAAAGCATCTACTATGGACACTTAGTCCTTTATTTTTTATCTTTTCCTTATTATTTTCTGATCTATCCTTCTCATCAGTATCTTCTTTTTTCTTTTATTCTTGTTTTGATTTTCCTTTGTCTTGATCATTCTTCCCCCTTTTTCTTCATTTATCTTTCCTTGCATCATTATTCTCTCCCCTGCTTCCTCTGGCTTCTTTTTTTCATGTTCTATTGTTCAATGACCATTAACTTGATTTTTCCTACCCCATTTTCTTATCTCACTTTTACTGATTTCTTCTGTTTTCTTACATTTCTTTACTTACACTATCTTCATTTAAATTTTTCTGCCTCTTCATGCAGTATCCACATTCTTTATTGTAGTTGAGTAAATATTGAACATTTTAAGCAGCTTTATTGAGGTATATAATTCATATGCCATACAATTCCCCCATTTAAAGTATAGTATCCAGTGGCTTTTAGTATAATATTAGCAGAGTTGTGGCTCCACCACCATAATGAATTTTCTTTTCTTTTTTTTGAGACGGAGTTTCACTCGTTGCCCAGGCTGGAGTGCAATGGCACGATCTCAGCTCACTGCAACCTCCACTTCCCAGATTCAAGTGATTCTCCTGCCTCAGCCTCCTGATAGCTGGGATTACAGGTGCCCGCCACCAGGCCTGACTAATTTTTGTATTTTTAGTAGAGACAGGGTTTCACCATGTTGATCAGGCTGGTCTTGAACTCGGGACCTCAAACAGTCCACCCGCCTTGACCTCCCAAAGAGCTGGGATTACAGGCGTGAGCCACCACGCCTGGCCCACAATGAATTTTCAATTATTTTCATTGCCTCAGAAAGAGACCCTGCACCCCATAGCCACCACCACCCCCTCCCCCCAGTTAATTCTCCACCCCCAGGAAACCACTAATCTATTTTCTGTCTCTATAGGTTTGCCTATTCTGGGTATTTCCTATAAATAAAATAACACATGATCCTTTGTGATTGGCTTCTTTCACTTAGCAGATTCATCAATGTTATGGCATAGATCAGAACTTAATTTCTTTCTTTTTTTTTAAATAGAGGCGCTGTCTCACTATGTTTCCCAGGCTGGTCTCAAATTCCTAGGCTCAAGCAATCCTCCCATCTCTGCCTCCAAAAATGCTGGGATTACAGGCGTGAGCCACTACACTTGGCTTTTTGTGTGTGTGTGTGTGTGTCTCGCTCTGTCACCCAGACTGGAGTACAGTGGTGTGATCATGGCTCACTACAGCATCTACGTCCTGGCTCAAGAGAACCTCTTACCTCAGCCTCCTGAGTAGCTGGGACTACAGTTATGCACCAGCAGGCCTGGGATAATTATTGATTTTTTGTAGAGATGGGGTCTCGCTATGTTGCCCAGACTAGTCTCAAAATCCTGGGCTCAAGTAATCTGCTTGGTCTCCCAAAGTGCTGGGATTACAGGCATGAGCCACCATGCCCAGCCCACTAATTTTTATTGTGGAATAATATTCTATTGGATAGATCTATCATATTTCATTTAGCCATTCGTCAGCTCATGGACATTTGGGGTGTCTTCTGCTTTTTTGCTATTATGATAATGCTGCTATGAACATTTATGCACAGGTTTTTGTGTAGACATGTATTTCCCCTTCTCTTGGGTATATATCTAGGAGTGGAGCTGCTGGATCACATGTCAGCTCTATGTTTAACCACTTGAGGAACTGCCAGATTGTTTTCCAAAGTGGCTGCACCATTGCACATTCCCACTAGCAGTGTATGAGTTCCAATTTCTCCACATTCTTGCAAACACTTGTTATTATCTGTCTTTTTAATTATAGCTATCCTAGTAGGTGTGAAGTGGTATCTCATTATGGTTTTGATTGCATTTCCTTAATGGGGCTACATTAAATATTCTAAAATTTCCCCCACACAAGAAATCTTAAAAATGTTTTCTAAGGGCCATAGTACATCACTGAAAACTTATAACATTTTAGTGTCTCATACAGAAAGGTTAGGGAATATAGATGAAAGAAAACCTTTGTATTATTAATTTCATGCTCTTAGCCTTTTTTCTAAATCCCAAAGTAAGAAGCAAAGCAGACTAAAGCATAAGAATAAAGTCTAAGAATAAAGAGTCCTAAGTCTAATTTTCTGTTTACTATTTTTGGATCATTCATTTTCTTACCCCTCATGTCTTCTTCTGTTCTTTCTAGACAAATAATAGATACTCGGGTTTTTTTTTTCTTTGAAGATTGTTTGTGGCCCCAAGATTCAACAAGGAAATAGGAAATGTTAGAAAAAAACTATGATGACTGCCCTTGTTCCCCAAGAATAGCAACATGTACTTACTCATCAAAGTTCAGTGTATTTGTCCAGTTCAGCACTTCATCCACTTCCCATTCCATCACAGAATCTATCCCCCCATCTTCAAAAGCTCTAATCAGCCCCTTTGTTGCAGTGTGAATTAGTCCTAGAGTTTCATGATGTGTTGACTTAGCCTCCAGACTTCCTGAGTAGTACCTAAATAGGCAAAAGGGAAAGAGAAGTAAATCTTTTGAAATAGGAGATTACAAGTAGATACAGGCAATATATATTGTTGCTATTTACATATTAAAACTATTTGCATATTGAATAAAGTTTTCATTCCTATATAACTCAGATGCATCTAAACCAAGATCTATGTGATGGAATCTTCTGGGGGGAAAAGCAACTTAACCACACTAACTTAAAATCACCCCTCAATAAGTTGCATTTTTATGATACGAAGAAAAACTAAGTTATTAAATTGTTGAATCTTAGAATTATAGAGTGGAAAGGGTCTTAGAAACCAAATAACTAACCTACTCATTTTTATAGGTGAGGAAATAAATCTTTGAGGAGTTAAGTAAATTTTACAAAATCAAGAGGCTAATAGCAGATAAAGAGGGAAGGAAAGTGAAAAAAGGAAAGAGAGGAAGAGGTAAAGGGAAAACAGATACCTTTTCTTTGTGCCAGGTACTTTTCATACAGTCTTATTTAATTCTTTTTAAAAAGACACAGCCAGGCCCAGCGCGGTGGCTCACGCCTATAATCACAGAACTTGGGAGGCCAACATGGGTGGATCACGAAGTCAGGAGTTCGAGACCAGCCTGGCCAACATGGTGAAACCCTGTCTCTACTAAAAATACAAAAATTAGCTGGGCATGGTGGCGGGCCCCTGTAATCCCAGCTACTTGGGAAGCTGAGGCAGGAGAATCGCTAGAACCTGGGAGGTGGAGGTTGCAGCGAGCCGAGATCATGAAACTGCACTCCAGCCTGGGCGACAGAGCAAGACTCCATCTCAAAAAAAAAAAAAAAAAAAAGACACAGCCATTTGTGGCAGCTATTTTTATTCCCCTTTTAGAGATAAAGAAACTGAGACCTGGAGAAGTTAAAATATCATTCAAAGCTGGGCACAGTGGCTCAAGCCTGTAATCCCAACACTTTTGGAGACTGAGTCAGGAAGATCATTTGAGGCCAGGAGTTTGAGGCCAGCCTGGGCAACAGAGAGATCCTCATCTCAATTAATAATTTTAAAAATTTTTAAAGAAATTGTTCAAGATCATGTAGCAGTAAATACTTATGAGAGCCAGTATTCAGACCCTTAGTTTTAAATTCAGCCTCCTTCTGCAGCACTGCCTGTCTTAATCTGAGCACATAAAATAATACATTCACTGATAATGAGCTGAGTAACTAGAGAGAAGTTAGTAGTCCTTACCAAGATCATCAAAACTTTTTTTGGTATTTATTTTAAGATCTACATTGGTAGCCATTTTAAAGGGTCACCTATTATGAAGTTGTATTCATTTATTAATTCAACACTCATTGATTAGGAAACAGCATAGTGGTGATATGGAGCAAGACTCTGGTATCGAATTATCTGGATGTGAATCTTGGTTCTGTGTTACATAATCTGCTAAATAACCTAGCCTTTCTGGGCCTCACTGACCTCTTCCTTAAAATGGTAATCAGGGCCAGGTGTGGTAGCTCATGCCTATAATCCCAGCACTTTGGGAGGGTAAGGCAGGAGGATCACTTGAAGCCAGAAGTTTAAGAACATACTGGACAACACAGTGAGACCCCATCTCTACAAACAATAAAAAACATAGCCAAGCACAGTGGCACACGCCTGTAGTCCCAGCTACTGGGGAGGCGGAGGTGGGAGAATTGTTTGAGCCCAGAAGTTCAAGGCTGCGGTCAGCTATGATAGCACTACTGCACTCCAGCCTGGGTAACAGAGTGAGACCTTAACTCTTAAAAAAAAAAAAAAATCATAACACTACTTCCTCCTAGCATTCTTGAGAGGTTTAGAAGCATAAATCCATGTGGGATGGGCATGGATGGTGGCTCATGCCTGCAATCCCAGCACTTTGGGAGACTGAGGTGGGAGACTCCCTTGAATCCAGGAGTTCAAGACCAGCCTGGGTAAAATAGGGACAACCTGTCTCTACAATTTTTTTTTTTTTTTGAGATGGAGTTGCTCTGTCTCCCAGGCTGGAGTGCAGTGATGTGATCTCGGCTCACTGCAACCTCCACCTCCCGGGTTCAAGCAATTCTCCTGCCCCAGCCTCCCAAGTAGCTGGGACTACAGCCCACCACGCCCAGCTAATTTTTGTATTTTTAGTAGAGATGAGGTTTCACCATATTGGCCAGGCTGGTCTCAAACTCCTGACCTCGTGATCTGCCCGCCTCAGCCTCCCAAAGTGTTGTGATTACAGGCGTGAGCCACTGCGCCCAGCCCAAATTTTTTTTTTTTTTTTTTGAGATGGAATCTCACTCTATTGCCCAGGCTGGAGTGCAGTGGCGCCATCTCGGCTCACTGCAAGCTCCGCCTCCCGGGTTCACGCCAGTCTCCTGTCTCAGCCTCCCGAGTAGCTGGGACTACAGGCGCCTGCCACCACGCCTGGCTAATTTTTTGTATTTTTTAGTAGAGACGGGATTTCACCGTGTGAGCCCGGATGGTCTCGATCTCCTGACCTCGTGATCTGCCTGCCTCGGCCTCACAAAGTGCTGGGATTACAGGTGTGAGCCACCGCGCCCAGCCAAAATTTTTTAAAATAATAATAATAAAAAAAGAAGTGTAAATCTATGTAAAGCATTTAGAACAATGACTGGTACACAGTAAGCATTCATAGGCTGACACTGTTATCGGGTGGCAGGGCTATAACAGTGAGAAGATACATCCTTGCCCTCATGAAATTTTGACTTCATCAGATTTTAAACGGATAATGATCCATGAGAGCAAATGCTCCGTTACCCAGGCTGGAGTGCAGTGGCACGATCTTGGCTCACTGTAACCTCTGCCTCCTGGGTTCAAGCAGTTCTCCTGCCTCAGCCTTTCAACTAGCTGGGATCACAGGAGCACACCACCAGGCTTAGCTAATTTTTGTATTTTTAGTAGAGATGGGGTTTCACCATGTTGGCCAGGCTGGTCTCAAACTCCTGACCTCAAGTGATCTGCCCGCCTCCACCTCCCAAAGTGCTGGGATTACAGGTATGAGCCAGTGTGCCTGACCTCTTATTTTTCTTTTTTCAACAGTGATATATGATAATTCAGATATCTTTTTTCTCTTATTAAGGAAGTATAAAATGCACTTTGTTTTCAAGAGAGTCATAGTAATTGTTCAAATAATTTAATTCTCAGGTTTTGAACTCTTTTAAAATGTTACTATTGGCCGGTTGCGGTGGCTTATGCCTGTAATCCCAACACTTTGGGAGGCCAAGGCGGGCGGATCACGAGGTCAGGAGATTGAGACCATCCTGGCTAACACAGTGAAATTCTGTCTCTACTAAAAATACAAAAAAAAATTAGCTGGGCGTGGTGGCAGGTGCTTGTAGTCCCAGCTACTAGGGAGGCTGAGGCGGGAGAATGGCATGAACCTGGGAGACGGAGCTTGCAGTGAGCTGAGATGGCGCCACTGCACTCCAGCCTGGGCAACAGAGCAAGACTCCGTCTTAAAATAAATAAATAAATAAATAAATAAATAAATAAATAAATAAAATAAAATAGTTACTATTATAATTAAATGGTATAAATATTGATAAAATAACAGGTTTGCAAGTAGAAAGTGTTTCAAATATAGTGATCAGAAATAAAAGATCACTTTATAAACATAATTTGTTTTATAAACAAACTAATGATCTTTTAAAAAGACCTAAAATTGGCTAGGGTGGTGGCTCACGCCTGTAATCCCAGAACTTTGAGAGGCAAAGGTGGGCAGGTCATGTGAGGTCAGGAGTTTGAGGCTGGCCTGGCCAACATGGTGAAACCCAGGCCCTACTAAAAATACAAAAATTAGCTGGGCATGGTGGCATGTAGCTATAGTCCCAGGCACTCAGGAGGCTAAGGCAGGAGAATGCTTGAACCCAGAGGCAGAGGTTGCAGTGAGCTGACATGGTGCCAATGTACTCCAGCCTGGGCAGCAGAGCAAGACTCTTTCTCAAAAAAAAAAAAAAAAAGACATAAAATTTGTCTTCGTAGGTAATTTTGCAATATATTTTTAGTTGTATTCACCTTAACATGATCTTATATTCTTTCTAAACTAGGAAATTTAGAGGGAAAGAATATTATAAGAAATGTTTGTCTAAATGTCACAACAGAGAGAGAAGTTAAAACAACAAAGACCTAGGAAGAATCAAAGCTTAAGTTGCAAAGGAGGTTGAGGAAAGCTAAGATCTATAGGACACAGGAAGGGACTAGATTTAAAAGCCAGAATTCTTTTAGTAAGATAGGGGTAAAAAATAAAAATTTTGTTGATTTTGTTCATTACTGATTCTCAGCAACAGTCAGAATGAAGAGTGTTTAAATGCCATAAATGAACAAAGCACACAAAGTAAAATTTCTCATTCACCCCCTGCAACTCTATGAAAAGGAAATGTAACACCCAGTCATAAGAAAGCATTCATTCATTTATTTATTCTATAAGCAACATATATTCATTAAACATGAACTAAGTCTGAGATCCTGTGCTAATAAATAGAACAGAGTCTCTGCTCTGTAGGGACTCAAAGTTTAGTGGAGGTGGCAGACAAATACACAGTTAATTGCAAAAATGTGACCACTGAGTATATAAAAGATCCATGGGGCACATCAAAAGGAAGTACCTAATTGTGTCTAGGTATGTAAGGGAAGGTTTCAGAAGGAGCTATTTGGGCCAAGTATCAAAAGATGAAGATGTTGTTGCCATGCAGCTGAGCACCCTAGGGAGAGGAAATATCATGGGAGGTGTAGGTAACGGGGAGCCCTTAACATATTTTAAGTAAAGAAATTATTTCTGTCTTAGAAACATCAGTTTAGTGTTTATACAGAGAAGACGAAGGGACTAGAGACCAGGAAACTAATTAGAAGGTAGATGAAAAATGATGAGACATCACAGTGGAGAATGAAAGAAAAGATCAGATTTGGGAGATATTTTGGAAGTGGAATTAATAGGACTTGATGACAGATTACATGTAGGCACTAAAAGAGTGATAAATCTAGGATAAGCCCTCTGTTTCTGGCTTGGATGACTGGCTAAATGCAGTGTCATAAGCTGAGACCAGAAGAAATACTGAGAAGAAACAACTTTTGTGATGCGGAAGATTAGAAATTCAGTTTTGGAACTGTTGAGTTTGATATAGAAATGCCCACATAATTAGAAATACAGAGCTCAGTTATGGATGACGATTGTGTTGAGGGTAAATAAACACAGGAAAGAAGAAGTAAAACGCATATTATTCTTCATGTGCATTGGCTTATCACCAGATGCTGTTTCCCAGCTAGTAATGTGACGGTGCTTCAGCAAGTCATGCCACCATTCTGTCAAAGCCAGCTGTTTCTAGGTGATGGCACATATGGTAGGTGAATTTTGTTGTTCTCAGCCTGTAACCACACTTCCTTTGCTGTTAATAGGTCCCCTATTAGAGGCAATGTTGTATGAAATAAAATGATGACGATGGATAACGCATTCTGTTATGAGAGGTGTTGTTGCCAGAAGTAATGCAGGCAGAGAAATAAAATTAATATCCAGAATATTTGTCTATCACTGTGAGGACAAATGGATGCCTCCTCTATTATGGGAATGGTCTATTTTAATCAGCCTGTCACCAACTAGCCAGCATATCTCATTACTGGGGGCAAAGCAATGGCCTTTGCTATACAGTCAGCTGTGACTGTAGCCAGAACAACTTTGGTGAGGGGGAAGACCAAGTTGTTGAGTCTATATAGGGCCTCCATCCCTGTAATCCTGGCCACTTTGGACAAGACTCCACGGTGCAACCACTGAGGTGCCGGGGGAAAAAATGACATTCACAGGATGGATCATCTTGTCCATCTGATTACCAAGAGCTGTCTGCCTCATATAAGCCCTTTGGAGGGCATTCACATAGGACAAAAATATATTTTGTATCCATTATGAGTATACCTCTACCCTGACCTATACTCACCAATTTTCCAATTTTATTCTTTGCAAATGTTGATCAGCTGGGAAACTATAAATGTTGGTCAGCACAGTCAATGAGATCCCTACCTCAGGCTTTTTCCCCTTCAAATGAAGTGGAAAACCAAACATACCACAAGTTGTGCCCACTGGAAGGATATCTTTTGATCATTTTCTAGGCCAACCGAGGAATTGAAATCATTAACTGTCCATTTTTAGATGATGCAGCATCCTGTATAGATCCAACTTATTCCTCCAACATATTCCCCCCTGTTAACTTGTCATGGGGACTTCCTATGAAGCCAAAGGTATGGAGATGATGTGGAGGCAATGCAGCGTAAGTAGTGGTTGCAGGAGTATGAGCCACCTGCTCATGCAGCTTACTTGGGCCTTCTGGACCTTCTCAGACTCATTCCCATACAGACCACATTTATTTTACACTAAAACAGTGCTACGTACTCTCAATTTTATGGTTTAATTGATTAGATAAATCCCAGGTCAGTCCATGATCATAGCACTTGGTATCTTATTGTCAAGCAACCAGTCTCTACCAGGACCAATTGCAAATCTGGAACAGATTTTCAAATGGAATATAGCTTCTGGCAGAAGAAGGAATTCACTGCCTTCTTCCTAAACCCTAGAGGTCTGTGCTGTGATTCTCCCATTAGGTCTCTTTAGAGACTCTACAGTTTTTCACTACCATGGACATTTCTAATGCTGTTGGGACTGCTGGGCCATAAAGCCCAAGTTGTAAGGCAGCTTGACCACATTGTGGATCTGCTACACACCTCTTTCTTGCTCCATGTCCCATTGAAGCCAGCTTGTTTGTTAGATCACCTAGTAAAGGGGTTGGAACAGCATGCCCAAAATATGTCATACATTAGCTCTCAAATCGAGAGAGGGCCTCTAAGTGTTGTGCTTCTTCAGGATGGATGGTACAAGGTACAGTAACTTGTCTCTCATTTTTGAAAGGATATCTCAAATGTCTTTAAGCTTCAATTATATGCCAGATCCTTAACTTTTTGCAAAGTTTATCTGCCTCCTTTTAGTGTGCATTTATCCTACTAAGCCACCAAGGAGCTGTTATTTTCTGCTCACCACATCCAATCAAGGTAAGGTCATCAATGTAATGGACAGGCATAATGTTCTATGGAAACAGATGTACAAGCCCCTGGGGACAAGAGCAGGAAAGGTGATGTATCTTCGGGAACAACATGTAAAAACACACGGTTCTTTCTGTGAAAATACAGACTGCTTCTCCTGTTGCTTAGTGATTGGGATGGGAAAGAACACATTTGCCAGGTCAGTTGCAGCATACCAGGTGCCAGGGGCTGTGTTGATTTGCTCTGTTGAAGAAGCCACATCTGGAAGCCTCGCTGCAATTGTGCCATCAGCTGACCTCTACCACTTCAAAGTTCCATTAGTCCCAGTGAACTAAAGGAACCAGTTCCATCACAGCTTTCCCCACTGTCATCTCCAGCCTTGTAAAGGACAGCCACCACAGAGTTCATCAAGAAATATGCTGCTCCTGGGCCAGACGTGGTGGCTCATGCCTGTAATCCCAGCACTTTGGGAGGCCGAGGCAGGCAGATCACAAGGTCAGGAGTTCAAGACCAGCCTGGCCAATATGTTGAAACCCTGCCTCTACTAAAAATACAAAAAAAAATTAGCCAGGCATGGTGGCACATGCCTGTTATCCCAGCTACTCGGCAGGCTGAGATAGGAGAATTGCTTGAACCTGGGAGGCAGAGGTTGCAGTGAGCCGAGATTGCGCCACTGCACTCCAGCCTGGGTGACAGAGTGAGACTCCGTCTCAAAGAAAAAAAAAAAGAGAAAGAAATATGCTGCTCCCCTCGCTCCCCTCACCAAGCTATTACTTCATAGCTTGATGAAAAAGGTATCTCCTGGAACTTCCTGGGGTGATGGCTAGACGGTGGTTTAGTAGATTGCACATAACAGAAACAAACACACAATTCCCTGAACTTTTAGAAATCCTTTTTCTAATGGAACAGAAATTAAAAAAAGAAAAAAAAAAGAATGTGTAAACAAAAACTCAGCTGTACGTAAGAAAACCCAACTCCCCCTAAGAAGGAGAAAGAGCTGGAGTCCTTTAAAAATTAACTGCCTGTTTTTCTGTGGCTAGTGAGCCTTATCTCTCCTTCTTTCCCAGGCATTGTGAAGACCCTGTTTCTCTAGCTGTGCAGCTGCAAGGTCACTAGACAGATAAACTCAAGTCATAAAACATGTTTTCCTTGAAAAGTAAGAAACGATGTAATGCACTTCTCAATTAATTGAATAACTATCTTTGTTTCTTGCTTCTGTAATATGCTTCCCCCTGCACAGATCTCCCCCAACCCCATGAAATGCTTAAAAGGTAACTTAACTCTTTGTTCAGGGCTCAGTCCTTTGGATGTTAATCCGACTGGGCCAGTACACCTAAAATAACAAATATCCTCCTCTACCCCATCGGTCTCTCTGATTCCTTATCAATCCTGCTACACTACAGTATACCAGAGAAGTTCCAGCATTTTGCAAAGGTAGAACTTTGGTTGGCTCTACCTAAATCAGGCTTTGATTAGCTAACTTAACAGACCATTAACATAATTTCTGGCCAAAGCATTAAATCCACAATCCCAGGTGAGTATGGCCATATCAGTAAGTTCGGCCCAGCCAACTCTCGATCTAACAACCTTAGAATCCACCCTCACACAATGCTTCTGAGATTCCTGGCAATGTAGATTAGTAATTTCTTGTAACTGTTCTGGTTTATAAACTATCTCCTCTTGGAGTGGACCTTGTACCTCTGTCTGGGCTGTCCTGAAATACAAATCTCATTGTGAGCTAAAGGCAATGAGAAATAGTAGAGGGGGAATCCTGAGGAGAATCAGCTTAAGTGTGTGTGGCAACTGTGCCAGTGCAGTCACTGAAAGGCTTTTATGCAGAAAAGGGCCGCTTCCCTCAAAAGGGAGAGTAAGGGTTCCCTACACCAACAAGGCACTTTGGAAGTTCAAGATTCTTAGCCTTGTGTATGTTTGCCCAAATGTCCTAATCCCAGGCCTCAGAGTTCTACTTCTTCCCCACTAGTGCCCTTATCTTAGTGCAAAAGACCTGGCAGAGTTAAGCATTTGGTAGTACTGTAGGCATTGTAACCCTGTGACCCTTGCAATGGAACCCAGGGTTGCCCTCAACCCATGCTGTGACTATGAGATAAAGGACCACTTCAGAGCTGCCAGGGAGGTCTTCTGATTTTCTGCACAGGTTTTTAATTTTTTTTTTTTTTACTATTTTATTGAGGTATGGTTGATGTACAATAAACTACACATATTTAAATTGTACAATGTACAGTTTTGACATGTCTATATACCTGTAAATCCATCACTACAATAAAAAATAAATCTATCCATCACCCTCTGACGTTTCCTTGTACTCCTTTGGAATCCCTCTCTTTTTCCTCTTTCCTATCTCCAGACAACTACTGATCTGATTTGTGTCACTTCAGATTTGTGTCTTCTAGAATTGTATGTGAATGGAATCATACAGTATGTATTCTTTTTTGATAGATTTATTTCATTCGGCATTATTTTGAGGTTCGTCCATGTCATTCTGTCTATCAGTAGTTCATTCTGTTGTACTGCTGCGTAGTATTCCTTTGTGTAGATATCCTACCACTTGCTTATCCATTCACCTGCTGATGCAAATTTGTGCTGTTTCTGGTTTTTCGCAATTAAAATGACAAATAAACCAGCTATGAACATTCACATACAATCTTTCTGTGGACATGTTTTTATTTCTCTTGGGTAAGCATGTAGGGGTGGAATGACTAGGTAGAATATTTGGTGTGTTTACTTGTTTAAAAAAAAACTTGTCAAACCGTTTTCTGAAGTACACATTCTAATTTGCATTTGCTCCATATCCTTGCCAACAATTGGCATGACAGACTATTTCAGTCATTCTAGTGGGTGTGTAGGGGTATCTCATTATCATTTTAGTTAGCACTTCTCTAATGATTAATCATAGTCACTGGTTGAGTTATGCTAATTTGCTAGGTATGTATCTTCACTGATGGAGTGTTTATTCAAATTTTTTGCCCACTTTAAAATGTGATTGTTTGAGAGGTTTTTTTTTTGTTTTTTTTTTTTTTACATATTCTTGATTCAAGAACTTTGTCAGATATATATTTTGCAAATGTTTTATCCCGGTCTATGGCTTTTAATTTTGATAAAGTAAAATTTAAAATTGTTTCTTTTATAGTTCCTGACTTCTATGTCCTCTTTAAAAAATCTTGGCCAGAACAAAAGGCACTAAGATTTTCTCCTTCAATTACTTTTAGATGCTTTATGGTTTTTGCTCTTATATTTAGATCTATAATCTCTTTTCAGTTAATTTTACACATGCTGTAAGAGAACACTCAAGTTTCATTTTTCTGCATTTGAAAATCCAATTTGTTGAAAAGACTATTTTTTCCCAATTAAGTTCCCTTGGCACCTCTGTTGAAAATTAATTAACAATATACATGGGGGTTTATTTATTTATTTTTTTGAGACGGAGTCTCGCTCTGTCGCCCAGGCTGGATAGTGCGAGGATAGCAGTGGCTGGGGGGAAAGGCTGACTGATTCCAAGGAATGAGTCATCTTGCTCACCTGATTATTAAGATTCTTCTCTGTTGAGATTGTTCTTTGGTGAGCATTCACATACGACACAAGCATCTTCTCACTTGGTGCCCATCTGGAGAAGTCTGCACATACCTCTTCCCCAGACCACTTGTCACCAATTTTCTAACCATGTTCTTTCCAAATCCCTGACCATCCAGTCAAACCATCCATCAATCACCATCCATCTATAGATCTATACTTCTGGCCATCTTTTCTTTCAGGCACAATATACAACCAGGTATGCTACTTGAGGTTCTGTCCCAGTAGGATTTCCCTTCCCCTCTGTACTGCAAGTGAAGCTGTAATGTATATGGAACTTCCTGTGAGTCCCACCTTTTACTTGACCCCCTTAGGCCTGTTAGGACTTGAGTTTGACCAATGGAATGCAAAATAAATGTTGCTGTGACTTCCAAGATAAGGCCTTAAAAAGCCTTGTAACTTCCACTTTCTGTCTTTGATACTTTTTTTTGTGTTTGTTTCGAGATGGAGTCTCGCTCTGTCACCCAGGCTGGAGTGCAGTGGTGCGATCTCTGCTCACTGCAAGCTCCGCCTCCTGGGTTCACGCCATTCTCCTGCCTCAGCCTCCCAAGTAGCTGGGACTACAGGCGCCTGCCACCAAGCCCGGCTAATTTTTTCTTTTCTTTTTTTTTTTTTTTGGATTTTTAACTAGAGACGGGGTTTCACCATGTTAGCGAGGATGGTCTCAATCTCCCGATCTCGTGATCTGCCTGCCTCAGCCTCCCAAAGTGCTGGGATTACAGGCGTGAGCCACCGCGCCCGGCCACATGGGGGTTTATTTCACAATTCCATATTCTGTTCCATTGACCTATATTTCTGTCTATATGCCAATACCACAATGTCATGATTACAGTAGCTTTATAAGTCTTGAAATCAAGTAGTATAGTTCTCCAATGTTGGGATTCGATCAGGCTGCTGGGAAAAATATTAGTTATGATGGCCACAAAACCTTTTTGGAAGGCCTGAGGGTTTTCACATGACCTCGGTAACAGACCGGGCCGAAGGCGGCCTGGTCCCATTAACTTTAGTTAAAAAGATTAAAGTAGTAAACAACGGGATGTGGCGAAGTTTTACCTAGTTAGCTTGTTTACTCATGCGGTCTTAAGACAAGCCTTTGATGTGTGCTTTTTACTCGGGAAGTCCACAATGTCAGTTAGCCTCTAATGGCGTTCACTCAAACTTTTGTTAACTAATCTTAATGAATAAATATGAGTCTCCCTAGCTGATTGGGGCCAGCTGCAGTGACAAGCCTCTCTTGGTGTGTAGGCGGTTGGACACTCAGCAGGACTGGCAAAACAGAATATCTGTGTGTCAGTGTGCGTTTTATTCATCTGTCGTTTGGGTCAGGGTCTGCGGGCAGACCCCCTGCAGCTAATGCCCTCTTGTGAGGAGCAATACCTCATTTCAAATTTGTTTTTTTCCCAAAATACTACGTATTTCCTTAGTAAGTGTTTCATCAACTTACATTTGCCTCATCCACTCTATTTTTCTAAGTTTTCTTTTCTTTTCCAAATCTTGCCTTCTCTTCAGTTTAGAGAAATGGAATTCACTTTCCTTTTTGTCTTCCACCACCATACCATCAGTAGATAGCCAAAACTATTGAGAAACAAAAATGAACATACAAAATGTTGAAATATCGATTGTGAGGTTATCTGGCAATAGACAAGAACTTCTATGTGTTCAGTAGGAATATGGCAAGATAGAAACAGAGGAGAGGATAGATACTTTCAAGGTATTTCTAATTAAGTGATGGGTGAGTAGTACACTCAGCCTTCAGAAGCACATGCTACAGATAGATCAACAAAGTACTAGTGTACTGAGGTGCTTAATAAGTGTTGAATGGATAAATAAACAGATATATTCTAAGAGTGTCTCATCTTCTCACATGAATAGACCTGACCTACTCTTAGTGCTGATGGCTTTTGATGACTCTAATCCTCAAGGAGTACAGCCACCCTTCAGGAATGCAGAAGTCCCTGTACCATGTCCTAAGACTTTGTGGTTTCCCCGTTATGACATTTTCTCCTAACTGGTTGTCTATTTTCCCCCTTCCAACTCATTCCCCCTGCTCTATCACACATACCCTAGATAATAAGGAAAGTTTGTTAATCCTTCCAAACACTATATATTTGCCCTTATTAAACCACTTAACATGTTTACCACACTGTACTGAAATATCCTGTTTACTTGACTGTCTCCCTAATTGAAAGGCAAACTACTTAAGTCTATCCCCTGCATCCAGAACAATGTCTGGTATATGGTTGATATGCAATAGTTTATTATTAAACAAATGAATGAATTCATACCTTGATCATTTTCACTTTTCATACTTGGTATATTCTTTTGTGTTTGTTTTTGTTGTTGTTGTTAGTTTGTTTTTTGAGACAGAGTCTCACTCTGTCGCCCAGGCTGAAGTGCAGTGGTGCCATCTCAGCTCAAAGTGCTGGGATTACAGGCATGAGCCACAGAGCCTGGTCATACTTAGTGTTAATATATTCAACATACCAAATTCTACAATCCGTATACTGGGTATATAATCTGCTGAGTACCAGAGAGTATCTAAAGATGGTCTAGATTCAAAGCTGATAATTAAAAGTAGAAATAAATGTAGTAAGAAAAAGATAAATTGCTGTGCCTTGAAGTATTATTAGCAACCCCTGAGTAGCTAACTTAAGCAAAATTTATCAATTAAATTACTAGGATTTATTATTTTAAAAAATAATTTTAAAATTAATTTTTGAAAAGACAAATGGGTTTCTAAATACGTAAGGTTAAAAATTAACATTTCTCTTTTCTTACTGTATCAGAAACTGGCCTCCAGCCATTGTTTTCTATACGATGATACCAGCCACTATGATCCTCTTCCTGAAGATGATCATTTTTATTATGAGATGTATGCTTTGCTGGAAGTTTTGCATAATTTCTAGGGCTGTTAGCACAGAGATCTTCAATAGGTCTGTGAGTAAAAATCTTATAGTATATATCAGGTGGAAATTTAACCTGTAGAAGGAAAAGTTCAAAGAGCCATTGTAATGTAACTACAAAAATGTTTTACATTTTGAAAAATTACATTGTTTCAATTTCATAAAAATGTGCTTTATAACTACTAAATAAGCATTCATCCATACTTACTCCACCTAATCTGAATCGCACATGAATGCCAGCAGCAGCATCTAGAAGCTCTGCCTATAAGAAAATATATTATTCTTATATATTATTCTTCAGGATTCTGTATGTATCAATTCACTATTTCTCACTCTATTATTTTAAATAATTGCTAAATATTGACTATTTAGGAAATCAGTCAGGTGAACCAACCTCAAATAATCAATTTTAAATTAGAAAAATTGTTAAAAAAATTTTTTTGAGATGGGATTTCACTCTGTTGCCCAGGCTGGAGTGCGGTGGCATGATCTCAGCTCACTGCAGCCTTAACCTCCTGGGCTCAAGCGATGCTCCCATCTCAGCCTCCCAGATAGCTGAGACTACAGGTGTGCACCACCATGCCTGGCTAATTTTGTATTTTTTTTTTTTTTTGTAGAGACAAGAGTCTTCCTATGTTGCCAAGCTGGTCTCGAATTCTTGGCCTCAAGTGATACTCCTGTCTTGGCCTCCCAAAGTGCTAAGATTACAGGCATGAGC
Organism: Homo sapiens; assembly: GCF_000001405.40. Classification (NCBI taxonomy): domain Eukaryota; kingdom Metazoa; phylum Chordata; class Mammalia; order Primates; family Hominidae; genus Homo; species Homo sapiens. Next base: position 108,407,606 of record NC_000011.10, read on the forward strand.
CACTGTGCTCAGCCATTAAAAAAAATTTTTTTTTTGTAATTAGAAAATATTTTATGAGGCCGGGCATGGTGGCTCACGCCTGTAATCCCAGAACTTTGGGAGGCCGAGGTGGGTGGATAATGAGGTCAGGAGATCGAGACCACGGTGAAACCCCGTCTCTACTAAAAATACAAAAAATTAGCTAGGCATGGTGGCAGGCACCTGTAGTCTCAGCTACTCAGGAGGCTGAGGCAGGAGAATGGCACGAACCCAGGAGGCAGAGTTTGCAGTGAGCCAAGATCGCCCCACTGCACTCCAGCCTGGGCGACAGAGCAAGACTCTGTCTCAAAAAAAAAAAAAAAAAAAAAGAAAAGAAAAGAAAATATTTTATGAGCTAAGGACTTAATTTCTTTTTATTATTATTATTATTATTATTATTATTATTTTATTATTACACTTTAAGTTTTAGGGTACATGTGCACAATGTGCAGGTTAGTTACATAGGTATACATGTGCCATGCTGGTGCGCTGCACCCACTAAAAGGACTTAATTTCTTATGGACATCTATGGTAAATGAAAAAATGATACCAAACTGTTTCCTTTTTATGCAATATATAAACATAAAAGCCAAGTAATTTTTTAGTCATAAAACTTAACTTTTAAATAACTCCTCAAATATTACATATAAAATATTATCTTGCAGGTAAATTCAAAGAAAAAATTATGACTGATCAACCTAAATTCAACAGTAGATGACCTTTCCTAATTAGCTATTGTTAAATTTAAAAATCCATGTTTAAAATTCTGGGCCGGGCGTGGTGGCTCACACCTGTAATCCCAACACTTTGGGAAGCCGAGGAGGGTGGATTGTTTGAGGTCAGGAGTTCCAAAGCCAGCCTGGCCAACATGGTGAAACCCTGTCTCTACTAAAAATACAAAAATTAGCTGGGTGTGGTGTCGGATGCCTGTAATTCCAGCTACTCTGGAGGCTGAGGCAGGAGAATCGCTTGAACCAGGGAGGTGGAGGCTTCAGTGAGCAGAGATTGCACCACTGCACTCCAGCCTGGGCAACAGAGACTCTGTCTCAATAAATAAAATAAAATAAAATAAAATAAAATAAAATAAAATAAAATAAAATAAAATAAAATGATATAAGAATTGTATATAATAGGTTTTCTAGATTTTAGTTTGGTATGCAGCACCAAATGGAAAGTAGAGAAAAAAATTCTTGGTCCTTTATCGGAAGACAGTTCAATCTTGTCTCCTGATCATATTAGGTTAGATCAGAAAATAGATGTTATTCAACCTATAGAGTCTTAAAGACAACATTAATTTTGCAGAATAATCTTCTCTTGACTAAAACTTTTATGAATTCAAATATGAAGTGTGAGATCCTGTTATAAAACATATTTTCTATATTTGAGCCATAATAATATATACACATTTTTTTCACTAAGGTGGACAGATCTTAAGTGTACAGCTCCATGAATTTTTACATATGTATTGTACTCTCTTGTGCTTGGCTTATTTTGCTCAACATGAATCTGTGATAAATCTCTAAGATTCGTGTATGTAGTTGTAGATAGCAGCAGTTAGTTCTTTTTCACTGCTATCTAACATTCCATCATATAATAGAATATATGACAATTTATATTATTGTTGGACATTTGATATGTCTCTAGTTTTGGGTTAAAATGAATAAAACTACTCATTCTGTGAACATTCATTTTTATGTCTTCTGTGGGTTATAACAATCATTTCTCTTTGTTACATACCCAGGAATGAAATATGAGAGGTCATGAGGTATATATGGTATGTAAGTATACAGATGGCCCCGACTTAAAGTGGTTCAACTTACAATTTTGACTACAATGGTGTGAAAGTGATATGCATTCAGTAGAAATCATACTTCACATTTTGAATTTTGATCTTTTCCCAGGCTAGCAATATGTGGTATGATGCTCTTGTCGTGATGCTGGGCAGTGGCAGCAAGCCACAGCTTCCAGTCAGCCACATGATCATGAGGGTAAACAACTGATACTCTACAGCAGGGGTCCCCAACCCCCAGGCCATGGACTGGTACCAGTCCATGGCCTGTTAAGACTGGGCCACACAGCAGGAGGTGAGCGGCAGGAGCATTACTGCCTGAGCTCCCCATCCTGTCAGATCAGCAGCAACATTAGATTCTCATAGGTGCACAAACCCTCTTGTGAACTGCACACGCACAGGATCTAGGTTGCATACGCCTTATGAGAATCTAATGCCTTGATGATCTGCGGTGGAACAGTTTCATCCCAAAACCATCCTCCACATCCCAAGTCTGTGGTAAAATTATCTTCCACTAAACCGGTCCCTGGCACCAAAAAGTTAGGACTGCTGCTCTACAGTATAGACTAAGTTAAATTGGTAAGTTATGTTTGGCAGGTTAGGTATATTAAGTGCAGTTTTTGCTTATGATATTTTCACCTTACAATGAGTTTATCTTAACATAACCCTGCCATAAGCCAAGGAGCATCTGTAATTTGCTGTACTAGTGACTACCAAAGAGTTTTCCAAATTTTTGTAACAATCCCCCCACCAGCAATATATGAGTTCTGGTTGCTCCGTCTCTTTATCAACATTTGGTACTGTCAATCCTTCTAATTTTAGCCATTCTGGTGGGGTTATAATGGTAGCTCATTGTAGTTTTTAATTGTATTTTCTTATGACTAACCATGCTGAGCACCTTGCATATGCTTATTGGCCATATGGATCTATCAGTCATGCTAGTAGTTTATCAATTTTATTAACATATTCAATGAACCAACTGGCTTTTATTTGCATAGTGGCACCATCATGGTTCAATGCAGCCTCAACCTCCCTGACTCAACTGATCCTTCTACCTAACCATTCCAAGTAGCTGGGACTAAAGGCACGCACCATCGTGACAGGCTAATTTTTTTAATTTTTTGTAGGTAAGGGATTTCTCCATGTTGCCCAGGCTGGTCTCAAACTCCTGGGCTCAAGTGATCTGTGCACCTTGGCTTCCCAAACTGCTGGGATTACAGATGCGAACCACCCTGCCAGCCACTTCTACTTTCTATTCATTGATTTCTGATTTTATCTTCACTATTTCCTTCCTTTTACTTTTTTTTTTTTTTTGAGACAGAGTCTTGCTCTGTCGCTCAGTCTGGGGTGCAGTGGCCTGATCTTGGCTCACTGAAACCTCTGCCTCCTGAGTTCAAGTGATTCTCCTGCCTCAGCCTCCTGAGTAGGTGGGATTACAGGCACACGCAACCACGACTGGCTAATTTTTTCATATTTTTAGTAGAGACGGGGTTTCACCATGTTGGTCAGACTGGTCTCGAACTCCTGACCTCATGATCCCCCTGCCTTGGCCTCCCAAACTGCTGGTATTACAGGCATGAGCCACCATGCCCGGCCCCCTTCCTTTTACTTTCTTTGGTATTAATTTGGTTATCTTTTTCTAGCTTGAAGTGTAAACTTTGTAAATTGATTTTTAATTTTTCTTCTTTTCTAATATTTGCATTTAGAGGTATAAATTTCTGTCTGAGCTCTACTTTAGATACATTCCACATGTTTTGATGTCACATTTTCATTATGACTTAGTATAAAATATATTCTAATTTTCTCTTTTAATCCATAGATTATTTAATTTCATGTGCTTAATTTGCAAAAATTTGGTGGTTTTCTACTTCTGTATTCTCATTAATTTTTAGTTTAATTCCACTGGGACTAGAAAACATTCTCTGTGATTTCAAAACTTGGAAATTTGTTGAGACTTTCATTAAATCCAAGCATGTGATCTATTACGGGAAACATTTTCTGTGCACTTAAAAATAACATTACTTTTGCAAAACTGTAGACATTTTGCAGTGTTGCAAAAGTAGTGACAGCGTTCTCTCTATATATCAATTAGGTAAAGAATTTAAAATCTACAATATCTGTACTAAATTTTTTTGTGTGCTTGTTTCTATCAGTTACCAAGAGAGTTGTGTTAAAATCTTCGACTATGCTTGATGATTACTATATTTCTTCTGGTAATTATGTAAGTTTTTGTCTTATAAGTACAGAATTTTTATATTTTTCTATTGAACTGACTCTATCATTATGAAACTGCTCTCTTTATATCTCACAAAACTTTATCCCTTAAAGCTTAATTTGTCCAATACTAACATAATGACACTGATTTTCTTTTTCTTTTTTCTTTTTTTTTTTTTGAGATGGAGTCTCGCTCTGTCATCCAGGCTGGAGTGCAGTGGTGTGATCTCAGCTCACGCAACCTCCACCTTCCAGGTTCAAGTGGTTCTCCTGCCTCAGCTTCCCAAGTAACTGGGATTTACTTTTGCCTGACTAAATTTTGTATTTTTAGTAGAGACGGGGTTTCACCACGTTGGCCAAGCTGGTCTCGAATGCCTGACCTCAAGTTATCCACCCACCTCGGCCTCCCAAAGTGTTGGGATTACAGGTGTGAGCACCATGCCTGGTCTGACTTTCTTTTAATTAAAGTTTGCATGATGTATATTTTTCCATTGTCTTATTGTTTTATATTCTTATTGTTTAAAGTATGCCTCAAAAATAATAAACAGATGGGGTTTTTGTCAGTCTGACAACCTTTGCTTTCATTTGGGTTCTTTAGTCTATTTACATGTAAAACATACACATGAAATCGTATAAAATGCTCAATTAAAACCAGAGAAGGCAGTAAAGTGAAGGAATACAGAGAAAAAAAAAACAATGGCAACAAACAGGAAACAATTACAAATACAATAAATATCGATTGAACTATATCAATAACTTTAAATGTCAATGATCTACATATACCAATTACAAAGGGCAGATCAGAGACTGTCAGAGCGGATAAAAAATCAAGACCCAACTATATGTTATCCACAAGCAACCCACTTTAAATATAAAGACACAGATTAATAACAAAGAAAAGAACAAAGACGAACCTGGGCAATATAGTTAGACTCTGACTCCACGCAAAAAATTTTAAAATTAGCTGGGTGTGGTGGCATGCACCAGTAGTCCCAGCTACTTCAGAGGCTGGGGCGGGAGGATCACTTGAGCCTGGCAGGTCAAGGGCGGCAGTGACCCATTATGACACCACTGCACTCCAATCTGGACAACAGAGTGAGGCTTTATCGAAGAGGAAGAAAGAAGAAAGAAGAAGAAGAAAGATATATGATACTAACACTAATAGAACGAAAGCTGAGCTGCTATATTAATTTCAGACAAGGCCAAATTAAGATCAAGGAAAACTGTCAGGACTAAATGGAGCATTACATGATGATAATGTATGTACTTAACAACAAAGCAGCAAAATATGTGAAGCAAAAACTGATAAAACTGCAAGAAAAAATATAGTAATTTACTAACATAATTGGAGATTTCAATACCCCTCTATCAGTAATTGACAGATTCAGCAAGTCAGAAAACCAGTAAGGCCATAATTGAACTGAACAGCAGCATAAATTAACTGGATCCAATTGACATTTATAAAACACTTCTTCGAACAACAGAATATATATTCTTCTCCAGCACAGACAAAATATTTGGCAAGACAGACCACGTTCTGGGCCATAAAACACACCTTAATACACTTTTTTATTTGTACAAATTTGTGCAGTATATGTGCAATTTTGTTACATGCATAGAATGCAGAGTGGTCAAGTCAGGGCTTTTAGAGTATCCATCACCCAATTAATGTACATTGTATCCATTAACTAATTTCCCATCGTCCACTTCCCTCCAACCAGCTCATCCTTCCAACTCTCCACTGTCTATCACTCCACTCTCTACGTTCATGTGTATACATTTTTAGCATCCACTTCTATGTGAGAACATTTGATATATATATATAAGATCATGTCACCAGTAGAAAAAAGATAATCTGACTTCTTATTTTCCCATTTGAATGCCTTTTATTTCTTTCTCTTGCCTGATTGTGCTGGCTAGGACTTCAGTACTGTCCTGAACTTGAGTGGTAATAATAAGCATCCTTGTCTTTTTCCAATTCTTAGAGGAAGCGCTTTCAACTTTTCCCCATTCCATACAATATTAGCTGTGGATTTGTCATATATGGGCCTATCTTAACAAATTTAAAAGGAATAGAAATCATACAAAGTATACTCTCACACCTCAATAGTATTAAACTAGAAATCAGTAACAGAGAGATAACTGGAAAACCCCAAAACTTGAAAATTAAATAACACACTTCTAAATAACAAGTAGGTCAAATAAAGAGTCTCAAGAGAAGTTAAAAATACTTTGAAATAAATGAAAACGAAAATACAACTTACTAAAATTTGAGGGATTCAGCAAAAACAGAGCTTACAGGAAAATTTATAGTACTGAATGTGTGTATTAGAAAACAAAAAATATCTGAAAGAAATAATCTAATGTTCTGCCTTGAGGGACTAGAAAAGCAAAGCAAATTAAATTCAAAGCAAGCAGACGAAAATAAATAATAAAGATTAGAGCAGAAATCAATGAAATTGATAACAAGAAATCTATAAAGAAAATAAAAGAAACAAAAAGCTGGTTTGAAAAGATCAATAAAATTGATAAGCTTCTGGCTAGGGTAACTAAGAAAAAAAGACAGATATTACACATTACTAATATCAGAAATGGTCCTTGTCATTTCTGTCTAATTGAATACTTTATTGTCATGATGATGGTTACTCTTCATGGACATCTTAATCTTCCACACACATCCCCTTTTTTTGGAATAAAATTTGTAAAGAATGAAAATGGTGAAGGAAAAAAAAAGAAACAAAATAGAGGTCATCATTACTGATTGCATGGACACTAAAAAGGATAATAAACAAATTTTATGAGCACAAATAACTCTATGCCCTCAAATTTTATAACCTAGATGAAAGAGACCAATTCCCTAAAGACATAATCTACCAAAAATCACAGAAGTAGTAGATAATTTTAATAGGCCTATCTCTATTAAAGAAATAGAATCAATAATTAAAACTTTTCAAAACAGAAAAAAAGCACAAGGCCCAGATGGATTCACTGGTAAATTCTACCAGACATTTAAAAAAGAAATTTATTTTACTATTTACAGTCTCTTCCAGAAAATAAAATCAAAGGGAATACTTCCTAACACATTTGATGAGGCCAGCATAACCCTAATACAAAAACCACACAGAGACATTACATGAAAGGAAAATTATAGACCAATATCTCTCATGAGCATAGACTTAAAAATCCTCAAAAATTTAGTAAGTCAAATCCAACAATGTATAAAAATAATTATACACCATGATCAAGTGGGATTTATTTTGCAAGGCCACTATTATATTGTATCAACAGGCTAAAGAAGAAAAGTCATATGATCATATTAGCAGATGTAGAAAAAGCATTTGACAAAATCCAACACCCATTCATGATAACAACTTTGGCAAACTAGGACTAGAGGGGAACTTCCTCTAATTAATAATATCTACAAGAAACATACACCTAATATCATACTTAATGGTGAGAAACTAAATGTTTTCCTACAAAGATGTCCCCTCACCTTTTCTATTCAACATCACACTGGAAGTCCTAGCTAATGCAATAAGACAAGAAAAGGAAATGAAAAGTATACAGATTGAGAAGGGAGAAAAAGAACTGTCTTTGTTCTCAGATGACATGATTGTCTATGTTAAAAAATCCCAATGAATCACAAGGTTAATATACTAATCAACTGCTTTATTATATACCAGCAATAAGCAACCAGAATTTGAAATTTTAAAACACATTGTCATTTATATCAGCACGCAAAAAAGTAAAATACTTAGGTATAAATCTAACAAAATATATAAAAATCGATATGAGGGAAACTACAAGACCGTGATGAAGGAAATCAAAGAAGATTTAAATGAATGGAGAGATATTCCATACACCCGAATAGGAAGACTCAATATTGTCAAGATGTCTGTTCTTCCCATCTTTCTGGATCTATAGATTCAATGCAATCTCAATCAAAATCCCAGGAACTTATTTTGTGTATAAGGACAAACTGATTATAAATTTTAAGTGGAAAGGCAAAAGACCCAGAATAGCCACTATAATATTTCAGGTGAACAACAAAGTTGGAGAATTGACACCACCCAACTTCAAGACTTACCACGAAACTACAATAATCAAGACACTGTGGTACTGGTGAAAGAATACACAAATAAATCAATGCAACAGAAGACAGAGCCCAGAAATAGACCCACACAAACAGTTAACTATTCTCTGACAAAGGGGCAAAGGCAATTTAGTGACAAAAGAATAGTCTTCAACAAATGGTGCTGGAACACCATTTGGACATTGCGGGAATCCACGTTCAAGAAAAAAAAAATCTAGACAAAGATCTTACACCTTTCACAAAACAGTAACTAAAACTGGATCATAACTTAAATGTAAAATGCAAAACTATATAACTCTTAGAAGATAACATAGGAGGAAATCTAGGTGAGCTTGGGTTTGGTGATGACTTTTTAGATATAACACCAAAAGCATAATAGATATGACGGACTTCATTAAAAAGTTGTACTCAATGAAAGACATTAAGATAATGAAAAGACAGGTCATAAACTGGGAAGAAAATACTTGCAAAACACATATCTGATAAAGGGCTGGTATTTAAAATATACAAAGAACTCTTTAACCTTCACTATAAGAAAACAAACAACCTGAATTAAAAATGGGCAAAGGACCTGTAAAGCTATCTTCACTAAAGAAGATATACAGACGATACATAAGCATATGAAAAGATGGTCAACGTTGTATGTCATTAAGGAATTACAAATTAAAACAACAATGAGGGCCCGGGCATGGTGGCTCAAGCCTGCAATCACAACACTTTGGGAGGCTGAGGCAGGTGGATCACTTGAGGTCAGGAGTTTGAGACCAGCCATGGCTAACATGGTGAAACCCCGTCTCTACTAAAAATACAAAAATTAGACGGGCGTGATGGGGTGTGAATTCCAGCTACTCGGGACACTGAGGCAGGAGAATCACTTGAACCTGGGAGGCAGAGGTTGCAATGAGCTGAGATTGTGACACTGCACTCCAGCCTGGGCGACAGAAACTCCGTGTCAAAACAACAACAACAACAAAACAAAAACAATGAGATACCTCTATACACCTTTTAGAATGACCAAATTCAAATACTGACAACACTAGATGCTAGCAAGGATGTGGAGTGGTAATTCTTTGCTGGTCGGAATGCAAAATGGCACAGCCACTTTGGAAAAAGTTTGGCAGTTTCTTATTGAACTAAATGTACTCTTACCATAAGATCCATCAATAGAGAATTTAAAAGAACAACAGCAAGAATATAAGTCAAAGGGGATAATGAGAAATAAGTGCATTGTCTGGGAGAAGATAAAAATGCAAATCTATATATGATTTCATAAGTCAAATATGCATGTTGCAATCTCTTGAATAAGTTTAAAAGAATGATAATATATAGAGAAAAATATAAAAAACTCATTCCCATAGAAGGCCATAACATGTTGAAAAAGAACGTAGAACGTCTGAGACATACAGAGAGTAAATAGTAACAGGGTAGATTTAAATCCCCAAACATCAGTAATTACATTACATGTGAATGAAGTAAATGTTCTGACAAAAGACAAAGAGTATCCTACTGGATAAAAAATGTTAGCTAACAACCTGCTGCCAGGTCAGGTGCGGCGGCTCACACCTGTAATCCCAGCACTTTGGGAGGCCGAGGCAGGAGGATTGCCTGAGTTCAGGAGTTTGAAACCAGCCTGGGCAACATGGCAAAATACCATCTCTACTAAAAATACAAAAAATTAGCCGGGCGTGGTGGCACATGCCTGTAATTCCAACTACTGGGGAGGCTGGAGCACAAGAATGCTTGAACCCGGGAGGTGGAGGTTGCAGTGAGCTGAGATAGATAGTGCCACTTCACTCTAGCCTGGGCAACAGAACGAGACTCTGTCTCAAAAAAACAAAAACAAACAAACAAAAAAAAACCTGCTGCCTATAAAAAGACACAGCAAAAATGTAAAGATTCAGAATGTTGGAAGTAAAATGACAGGAAAGATGTACCATGCAAATAAGAGACAGTTGGTGTGCGCATGTTCTCACTCATAATGGGAGTTGAACAATGAGAATGAACACATGGACACAGGGAGGGGAACATCACACTCTGGGGCCTGTCAGCAGGTGGCGGGCTAGGGGAGGGACAGCATTAGGAGAAATACCTAATGTAGATGATGGGTTGATGAGTGCAGCAAACCACCATGGCAAGTGTATACCTATGTAACAAACCTGCACATTCTGCACAAGTATCTCAAAACTTAAAGTATGATAATAAAAAAAGGAAACACAATATTACTGACAGTAAAACTTTCTGATTTGTTAAAAAAAAAAAAAGAGACAGTTGGTGTGGTTGTATTAATACCAGAAATTTGAGACCTTAAGGGACACACTTTATAATGATAAAAGGTTCAATTCAAGAAAGATACAATAATCTGAAGTATTCACTTAATAACATGGTCTCAAATATATACAAACCACCAGAAAAATAGACAAATCTTCAGTCATAGTGGAAGCTTTTAATACATATCTCTCAGTAACTGATAGTATAACTAGACAAAAATATTCAGTAAGGCTATAGAAGATTTGATCAACATAACTGAAAAATTTGACCTAATTGACATCTATGCAATACTATGCTCAATAACTAAAAAATATATATTCTTTTCAAGTACAGATAAAAATTTATAAAAAATAGACAACAGAGGATTGAAAGTACAGCACAATCAAGATAAGGGCTGACAACAAAAAGATAACTGGCTAATTTCCAAATTAAATAACTGAAATAAAGTAGAAATTTTAAAATATTTTGAACTGAATTTGATATGAAAATATGACATATCAAAACTTGTAAGCTGCAGCTAAGACCATTCTTAGATAAAAATTTATGTCCTTAAATACATATACCAGAAAAGGCTACAAGTCAATAAATTCAGCATCCATTTCAAAAAGTTAGAAAAATAACAGCAAACAGAATTCAAAGAAAATATAAAGAAGGAAATAATAAACAGCAGAAAATGATGAGGTAGGACACAAATGAACAACACAAAGAAACAACAAAGCTAAAAATTGTTTTTGGAAAAGACCAATAAAAGTAATAAACTCCAAAGAGACTGCTCAAGAAAAAAAAGAGGAGATGCAAATAACCAATACCAGGAATAAAATAAAGATAACTATTACAGATTCTAAGGCATTAGAAAGATCATAAAAAGTATTATGAATAATTTTAAGCTAATAAATTTGAAAATTTAGATGAAAACTTCCTAGAAAAATACAACTTATCAGAGCTAGCACAAGAAGAAATACAAAATAGAAATAGAACTATAATTCTAAATTGAATGTAATTTAAAATCTTTTCATGGAAAAAACTTCTGGCACAGATGGTTTCATTAGTAAATCCTTACAAAGTACATTTAAGGATGAAAATAACACTCAATGTGAAAAAGAAATTCAGAAAATAAACAGAGTAGAAACATTTCCCAATTTGTTTTAGGAGGCCAGCTAAATGTGATACCAAAATCTGACAGAGACAGTAAATTAGACGTTCTGCAGGAACACAGGTGCAAATATTTATACCAAATATTAGCAAACTAAATTCAGTGATATTTTAAAGGGATAAGATAATCATAACCAAAATGTACCTATTCTAGGAACGCTAAGACGATTTAACATTCAAACAAAAAATAAGAACAAAAGAAAAATTGTATCTCAATTAAAGCAAAAAAGGTCTCATAAAATTTAGCATCTGTTCTTGGATTTCTAAAAAACTCTTGTCTGGGCACAGTGGCTCATGTCTGTAATCCTGGCACTTTCAAAGGCCAAGGCAGGAGGATTGCTTGAGGACAAGAGTTTGAGACCAGTCTGGGCAACATAGGAAGACTCTGTCTCTACAAAAAAAGTTTTAAAAAATTAGCTGGGCATGGTGGCCCACACCTGTGGTCCCAGCTACTTGGGAGGCTGAGGTGGAAGGATCACTTGAGCCCAGGAGGTTGAGGCTGCAGTGAGCTATGATGGCACCAATGCACTCCAGCCTGGGTAACAGAGTGAGACCTGGCCTCTAAAAATAAAATCAAAAAACTCTTTTAGTTCAACAGGAATAGAAGGAAACTTCCTTAATCAGATAAAAGGATTCTATAACAAACAAACAAACAAAAATAGCATACCTCATACTTAATGATGAAATATTGATCCTTTCCCTCTGAAATCCAGAATAAGACAGTGGTTATCACTTCTATTCACCATTACTGAAGGCTCTAGCCAGTGTATAATGGCAAGAAAAAGAAATAAAATGTATCATGTTTGAAAAGGCAAAAACAAAACTCATTGAGGATGACATGATTGTTTATATTGAAAATCCAAAATAATCAATGTACACATTATTAGAATTAATAAATGAGGATTGCAAAGTTGTTGGGAACAAAGCTAATGTGCAAAAATTGATTGTCTTTCTACATAATAGCATCAAAAATAAGAAAATAAAAATTTTGTAATTAACCATTTATAGGAGCATTAAAAAGCAAGTTATAAATCTAGCAAAAGATATGTAAGACCTCTCTATAGAAAACTATAAAGCATTTGTTCAGAGAAAATTTAGAAGAACTAAATAACATTTCAAATTAGGTTTTCCAAAAGAAGATGCTTATATGAAGTTTGAGTGCCACAGGTTTATTAGGGCTCAATACCTATGGAAGAAAGGGGAGGGAAGAAGAACTGGGCAGAAGAAGAGTTGGAACTGCAATGTAAGCCACACAAAGCCTGGGCCAATTCTGCTTGGACCTCTAAAGTGAATACTGCCACAATGGCTTCTAGACCCATCTCCTCACCCACCACATTCTGCTCAGTCACTGGACATGGGTTGACCTAGCATCACTGGAAAGGGTTGACCTAGCATCAGGCAGTTCTTTGCAATTAGGGTAGAAACTGAAGATCCTCACAGCTGGAGGCTGTCTGTGGACTGCAGTCCCTGAGATTGGGTAGTAAATCCTTCTTAAAGAGGGATCTAACAGCATATCCCTTATTTCCCACAAATGTTCATGATTTAGAGCTCTCAGTATTGTCATGATACCAGTTTTCCTCAAATTGAGCCAAATATTCAATACAATCTCGATCAACATTCCAACAGACTTTTAATTTAATTTTTTATTTTTATTTTGTAGAGATGGGGTCTCACTATGTTGCCCTGGCTGGTGTCAAACTCCTGAGCTCAAGTGATCCTCCTGCCTCAGCCTCCCAAAGTGCTGGGATTACAGGTGTGAGCTACCGCACCCGGCCAAAATTCCAATAGACTTTAAAAATATGTTTTATTTTGGTAAAAATCCACACAACATAAATTAACCATTAGTGACATTTAGTACTTTCATATTATACAGCCACTACTTCCACAATATTTTCATCACTCCAAAAGGAAACCCCATATCTATCAAGCAGTCACTTCCTTCACCCTAGCCCCCAACACCTGGCAAGCACTAGTCGTCTTTCTCTTTTTTGATAATCTCTATTTGTTCAGACATGTCCATGTATCTTTCTCCTCAGCTTCATTCTACCTAGATTTTTAGGTTTGCCTGTTCCTGCCTTGTCTGCTGTCTATTGCCTGAGGTGGCTGCAGGTTGTATATGATTTTAAATCCTATAAGCTGGCCCATCCCTGTGATGGCATGGAGAGGTGTGAAATAAAGGGAAACTCTGTGCAGGTTCCTCGGGGAACTGCCAGACAAATCAAAATACACAACCAGGCCAGGTGCGATAGCTCACGCCTATAATCCCAGAACTTTGGGAGGCCGAGGCGAGCGGATCACTTGAGGTCAGGAGTTCGAGACCAGCCTGACCAACATGGTGAAACCCTGTCTCTACTAAAAATACAAAAAAAATTAGCTGGGCTTGGTGGTGGCGCCTGTAATCCCAACTACTTGGGAGGCTGAAGCAGGAGAATCACTTGAATCTGGGAGGCGAAGGTTGCAGTGAGCCGAGATCGTGCCACTGCACTCCAGTCTGGGTGACAGAGCAAGACTCCATCTCAAAAACAAAAACAAACACACACACTCAAACATAACCACAATTTTTGAGAACAAGTTCTATATTTTACACTCTGGCCCCAAAAAGCCACACCAGGAATAGGGGCCTTTGTTTCCACAGCTGCTGCCAAGCTGGAGAACAAGGCATGTTTGATAGGTAGGCAAAAACACCACCCTGCTTTCTTCAAGTTTAGTAGCCTTTTTCTCCATTAAAAGCATTCCCCTGGTTGCTCTAAGTTTTTAATTAGATTCCAGAGTTCCAATAAAGTTGATTCTGATGGTTATTCTTTTTTTTTGAGACGAAGTCTCACACTGTCACCCGGGTTGGTGTGCAGTGGCGCAATCTCGGCTTGCTGCAACCTCTGCCTCCCTGGCCCAAGCGATTCTCCTGTCAACCTCCCGAGTAGCTGGGACTACAGGCGCATGCCACCATGCCTGGCTAATTTTTGTATTTTTAGTAGAGACGGGGTTTCACTATGTTGGCCAGGCTGGTCTCGAACTCCTGACCTCATGATCCGCCCGACTCAGCCTCCCAAAGTGCTGGGATTACAGGCGTGAGCCACCGCGCCTGGCCGACACTTATTCTTAGAATTCCTTACTCTACAATTTTCACTTCCCCAACAGATTTATTTTGGTGTGGAAATTGAAAAGCTAATTCAAACATTTATGTGGAAATAAAAAGCATTCAAGAATAGCCTGGAGTGTTTTCTTGAAAAAGAATTGTAAGATTGGAGGTCTTCTCTACCATTTAATAGGACTGTTATAAAGCTGTAATAGTTACGACAACAGTAGAAAAATAGACCAATGGAACAGACCAATACATAAATGGCCACCTGATTTAATTATTTTAAAGGTGGCACCGCAGAGCAGTAGGGACAGGATAGTATTTTCAATAAATAGCATTTAATCACTTGGATATCTGTAGGGAAGAATGAGAATGTTGACCTGGGCTGGGCATGGTGGCTCACACCTGTAATCCCAGCACTTTGGGAGGCCAAGGTGGGCGGATCACGAGGTCAGGAGATGGAGACCATCCTGGCTAACATGGTGAAACCCCGTTTCTACTAAAAATACAAAAATTAGCAGGGCATGGTGGCGGGCACCTGTAGTCCCAGCTACTCGAGAGGCTGAGGCAGGAGCATCACTTGAACCTGGGAGGCGGAGGTTGCAGTGAGCCAAGATCGCACCATGGGACTCCAGCCTGGGCGACAGAGCAAGACTCTGTCTCAAAAAAAAAAAAAAAGCTGGCCTGTACCTCACACCATACACAGAGGTCAGTCCCAGGTGGACTGCAGATCTAAGTATAAAATGCAAATCAATAAATCTTGTATAATATGAGAATATTTTTATAACCTTGGAGTTGGAAAAGGTTATAAAAAGCACCAGCTGTGCATTCTGGCCAGATACTATGCTTTTCGCACGATCTTCCCAACCTGCACACCAGGAGATTCCCTAGGTTGCCTATGCCAACAGGGCCCTGGGTTTCAAGCACAAAATTGAGCAGCCCTTTGGGCAGACACCAAGCTAGCTGCAGTTTTTTTTCATACCCCAGTGGCACCTGGAATGCCAGCGAGACAGACCCATTCACTCCCCTAGAAAGGGGGCTGAAGCCAGGGAGCCAAGTGGTCTAGCTCAGCGGATCCCACCCCCATGGAGCCCAGCAAGCTAAGATCCACTGGCTTGAAATTTTTGCTGCCAGCACAACAGTCTGAAATCGACCTGGGACACTGGAGTTTGGTGGGGGGAGGGACATCTGCAATTACTGAGGCTAGAGTAGGCTGTTTTCCCCTCACAGAGCACCTGGGGGAAGGGGTGGCTGTGGGTGTAGCTTCAGCAGACTTAAACGTTCCTGCCTGCCAGCTCTGAAGAGAGCAGCAGATCTCCCAGCACAGTGCTCGAGCTCTGCTAAGGGACAGACTGCCTCCTCAAGTGGATCCCTGACCCCCATGCCTCCTGACTGGGAGACATCTCCCAGCAGGGGTTGACAGACACCTCATATAGGAGAGCTCTGGCTGGCATCTGGCAGGTGCCCCTCTGGGACAAAGCTTCCAGAGGAAGGAACAGTCAGCAATCTTTGCTGTTCTGCAGCCTCCACTGGTGATACCCAGGCAAATAGGGTCTGGAGTGGAACTCCAGCAGACTCCAGCAGACCTGCAGCAGAGGGGCCTGTTAGAAGGAAAACTAACAAACAGAAAGGAATAGCATCAACATCAACAAAAAGAACATCCACACAGAAACCCCATTCGACGGTCACCAACATCAAAGACCAAAGGTAGAGAAAACCACAAAGATGAGGAAAAACAGGCACTAAAAGGCAGAAAATTCCAAAAACCAGAATACCTCTTCTCCTTCAAAGTATCACAACTCCTTGCCAGCAAGGGAACTAAACTGGACAGAGAATGAGTTAGACGAATTGACAGAAGTAGGCTTTAGAAGGTGGATAACAAACTCCTCCGAGCTAAAGGAGCATGTTCTAGCCCATGTAAGGAAGCTAAGAACCTTAAAAAGAGGTTAGAGGAATTGCTATCTAGAATAACCAGTTTAGAGAAGAATATAAATGACCTGATGGAGCTGAAAAACACAGCACAAGAACTTTGTGAAGGATACACAAGTATCAATAGCTGAATTGATCAAGCGGAAGAAAGGACATCAGAGATTGAAGATCAACTTAATGAAATAAAGCATGAAGACAAGATTAGAGAAAAAAGAATGAAAAGGAGTGAACAAAGCCTCCAAGAAATATGGGACTATGTGAAAAGACCAAACCTACATTTGATTGATATACCTGAAAGTGATGGGGAGAATGGAACCAAGTTGGAAAACACTCTCCCAATACAGGAACACTCAGATTCATAAAGCAAGTTCTTAGAGACCTACAAGGAGACTTAGACTCCCACACAATAATTATGGGAGACTTTAACACCCCCCTGTCAACATTAGACAGATCAACGAGACAGAAAATTAACAAGGATATTCAGGACTTGATCTCAGCTCTAGACCAAGCAGACCTAATAGACATCTACAGAACTCTCCACCCCAAAGCAACAAAAGATACATTCTTCTCAACATCACATCGCACTTATTCTAAATTGACCACATAATTGGAAGTAAACACTCCTCAGCAAATGCAAAAGAATGGAAATCCTACCAGTCTCTCAGACCACAGTGCAATCAAATTAGAACTCCGGATTTTAAAACTCACTCAAAACTGCACAACTACATGGAACCTTAACACCTGCTCCTGAATGACTACTGGATAAATAACGAAACGAAGGCAGAAATAAATAAGTTATTTGAAACCAATGAGAACAAAGACACAATGTACCAGACTTCCCAGGAAACAGCTAAAGCAGTGTTTAGAGGGAAATTTATAGCACTAAATGGCCATAGGAGAAAGCGGGAAAGATCTAAAATTGACACCCTAATATCACAATTAAAAGAACTAGAGAAGCAAGAGCAAACACATTCAAAATCTAGCAGAAGACAAGAAATATCTACGATCAGAGCAGAACTGAAGGAGATAAGAGACACAAAAAAACCTGCAAAAAATCAGTGAATCCAGGAGCTGTTTTTTTGAAAAGATTAACAAAATAGACCACTAGCCAGACTAACAAAGAAGAGAGAAGAATCAAATAGATACAATAAAAAATGATAAAGATGATATCACCACTGATCCCAGAGAAATACAAACTATCATCAGAGAATACTATACACACCTCTATGCAAATAAACTAGAAAATCTAGAAGAAATGGATAAATTCCTGGACACATACACCCTCCCAAGACTAAACCAGGAAGAAGTCAAATCCCTGATAGACCAATAACAAGTTCTGAAATTGAGGCAGTAATTAATAGGCTACCAACCAAAAAAATCCCAGGACCAGATGGATTCACAGCTGAATTCTACCAGAGATACAAAGAGGAGCTGGTACCATTCCTTCTGAAACTATTCCAAACAATAGAAAAAGAGGGGCTACTCCCTAACTCATTTTATGAGGCCAGCATCATCCTGATACCAAACCCTGGCAGAGACACAACAAAAGAAGAAAATTTCAGGCCAATATACCTGATGAACATCAATGTGAAAATCCTCCATAAAATACTGGCAAACCGAATCTAGCAGCACATCAAAAAGCGTATCCACCACGATCAAGTCGGCTTCATCCCTGGGATGCAAGGCTAGTTCAACATACACAAATCAATAAATGTAATCCATCACATAAAAAGAACCAATTACAAAAACCACGTGATTATCTCAATAGATGCAGAAAAGGCCTTTGATAAAATTCAACACCGCTTCGTGCTAAAAACTTTCAATAAACTAGGTATTCATGGAACGTATCTCAAAATAATAAGAGCTATTTATGACAAACCCACAGCCAATACCATACTGAATGGGCAAAAGCTGGATGCATTCCCTTTGAAAACCGGTATAAGACAAGGATGCCCTCTCTTACCACTCCTTTTCAACATAGTATTGGAAGTTCTGGCCAGGGCAATCAGGCAAGAGAAAAAAATAAAGAGTATTCAAATAGAAAGAGAGGAAGTCAAATTGTCTCTATTTGCAGATGACATGATTGTATATTTAGAAAGCCCCATTGTCTCAGCCCCAAATCTTCTTAAGCTGATAAGCAACTTCAACAAAGTCTCAGGACACACAATCAATCTGCAAAAATCACAAGCATTCCTATACACCAATAATAGACAATCAGAGACCCAAATAATGAGTGAGCTCTCATTCACAATTGCTACAAAGAGAATAAAATACCTAGGAATACAACTCACAAGGGATATGAAGGACCTCTTCAAGGAGAACTACACACCACTGCTCAAGGAAATAAGAGAGGACACAAACAAATGGAAAAA
The DNA here is from genome assembly GCF_000001405.40 of Homo sapiens. Taxonomy (NCBI): domain Eukaryota; kingdom Metazoa; phylum Chordata; class Mammalia; order Primates; family Hominidae; genus Homo; species Homo sapiens. Next base: position 108,426,520 of record NC_000011.10, read on the forward strand.
CATTCCATGCTCATGAATAGGAAGAATCAATACTGTGAAAATGGCCATACTGCCCAAAGTAATTTATAGATTCTATGCTATCCCCATCAAGCTACCATTGACTTTCCTCATAGAATTAGAAAAAACTACTTTAAATTTCATATGGAACCAAAAAAAAAACCTGTATAGCCAAGACAATCCTAAGCAAAAAGAACAAAGTTGGAGGCATCATGCTACCTGACTTCAAACTATACTACAAGGCCACAGTAACCAAAACAGCATGGTACTGATACCAAAACAGATATATAAACCAATGGAACAGAACAGAGGCCTCAGAAATACCACCACACATCTCATCCTTGACAAACCTGACAAAAACAAACACATCTTTGACACTATCTCATTTTTCACAAACCTGACAAAAACAAGCAATGGGGAAAAGATTTCCTATTTAATAAATAGTGCTGGGAAAAATGGCTAGCCATATGCAGAAAACTAAAACTGGACCCCCCTTCCTTACACCTTATACAAAAATTAACTCTAGATGGATTAAAGACTTAAACGTAAGACCTAAAACCATAAAAATCCTAGAAGAAAACCTAGGCAATACCATTCAGGACCTAGGCATGGGCAAAGACTTCATGATTAAAACACCAAAAGCAATGGCAATAAAAGCCAAAAGTGACAAATGGGATCTAATTAAACTAAAGAGCTTCTGCACACAAAAGAAACTATCATCAGAATGAACAGGCAACCTACAGAATGGGAGAAAATTTTTGCAATCTATCCATCTCACAAAGGGCTAATATCCAGAATCTATAAGGAACTTAAACAAATTTACAAAAAAAAAAAAACCCCACCAAAAAGGGGGTGAAGGATATGAACAGATGCTTCTCAAAAGAAGACAATTATGTGGTCAACAAACATATTTTAAAAAGCTCGGCCGGGCGCGGGCTGACGCCTGTAATCCCAGCACTTTGGGAGGCCGAGACAGGCGGATCACGAGGTCAGGAGATCGAGACCATCCTGGCTAACACGGTGAAACCCCGTCTCTACTAAAAAAAAATACAAAAATTAGCCGGGCATGGTGGCGCGCGTCTGTAGTCCCAGCTACACGGGAGGCTGAGGCAGGAGAATGGCGTGAACCCGGGAGGCGGAGCTTGCAGTGAGTTGAGATCGCGCCACTGCACTCCAGCCTGGGCGACAGAGCGAAACTCCGCCTCAAAAAAAAAAAAAAAAAAAAAAAAGCTCATCATTACTGGTCATTAGAGAAATGCAAATCAAAACCAAAATGAGATACCATCTCACGCCAGTTAGAATGGCAATCTTTTTTTTTTTTTTTTTTTTTTTGAGACAGAGTCTCGCTCTGTTGCCCAGGCTGGAGTGCAGTGGCGGGATCTCGGCTCACTGCAAGCTCCGCCTCCCGGGTTCACGCCATTCTCCTGCCTCAGCCTCCCAAGTAGCTGGGACTACAGGCGCCCGCCACTACGACCGGCTAATTTTTTGTATTTTTAGTAGAGACGGGTTTCACCGTTTTAGCCGGGATGGTCTCGATCTCCTGACCTCGTGATCCACCCGCCTCGGCCTCCCAAAGTGCTGGGATTACAGGCGTGAGCCACCGCGCCCACCCAGAATGGCAATCATTAAAAAGTCAGGAAAGAATAGATGCTGGAGAGGATGTGGAGAAACAGGAATGCTTTTACACTGTTGGTGGGAGTGTAAATTAGTTCTACCAGTTGTGGAAGACAGTGTGACAATTCCTCAAGGATCTAGAACCAGAAGTACCATTTGACCCAGCAACCCCATTACTGGGTATATACCAAAAGGATTATAAATCATTCTACTATAAAGACACATGCACACGTATGTTTATTGGAGCAGTGTTCACAATAGCAAAGACTTGGAACCAACCCAAACGCCCATCAATGACAGACTGGATAAAGAAAATGTGCCACATATACACCATGGAATACCATGCAGCCATAAAAAAGGATGTGTTCATGTCCTTTGCAGGGACATGGATGAAGCTGGAAACCATCATTCTCAGCAAACTAACACAGGAACAGAAAACCAGACACCGCACATTCTCACTCATAAGTGGGAGTTGAACAATGAGAACACATGGACACAGGGAGGGGAACATCACATACTGGGGTCTGTAGAGGCGTTGGGGGGCTAGAGGAGGGATAGCGTTAGGAGAAATACCTAATGTAGATGACAGGTTGATGGGTGCAGCAAATCACCATGGTACATGTATACCTATGTAACAAACCTGCATGTTCTGCACATGTATCCCAGAACTTAAAGTATTAAAAAACAAACAAACAAACAAAAATACCAAAAAACGAAACAAAACAAAAAACACCAGCTTGGTGTAGTGGCTCATGCCTGTTATCCCAGCACATTGGGAGGCCAAGGCATAAGGATTGCTTGAGCCCAGGAGTTTGAGACGAGCCTGCGTAACCTAGGGAGATCCCATCTCTACAAAAAATGAAAAAATTAGCTGGGCATGGTGGCATGTGCCTGTTGCTCCAGCTACTTGTGAGGCTGAGGTGGGAGGATCGCTTGGGCCCAGGAGGTTGAGGCTGCAGTGAACTGTGATCACACCACTATGCTCCAGCCTGGGAGACAGAACGAGACCCTGTCTCAAAAAAAGAAAAAGAAAAAAGAAAAAAACAAATTAAAAAGGCACCAACCACATAGGAAAATATTGATAAATTGAACTACATTAAAATTAAGAACTTTGTTCATCAAAAGACACCACTGCTTCAAAATAACCTAGAGGTTGTAGAAAGTGGGTAGAGGTATAGATGAAATAAGATTGGTTATGAATTGCTAACTGTTGAAGCTAGATGATGGGTACATGGTGGCTTATGATTTTACTCTTTCTCCTTTTGCATATATTTGACATGTTTTATAATAAAAATCAAAGGAAAGACTCCATTAAGAGAGTGACAAGCCACAGAGTGAAAAAAAGATGCAAGTAACAGATAACTGACAAAGGGCTTCTATGAAGAATATATAACCCTTGTGCATTATTGGTGAGAGTACAAAATGGTACAGCCACTGTGGAAAACAGTATGGTTGTTCCTAAAAAACTTAAAAATGGAATTACCATATGATCCAGCAATTCCACTTCTGGATATATACCCAAAAGAATTAAAAGAAGGGTCTCAAAGAGATATTTGTATAACCATTTATAGAAGCATTATTCATAATAGCTAAAACATGGAAGCAACCCAAGTGTCCATTGGTGGATGACTGAACAAGTACAATGTAGTATATACACACAATGGAATATTATTCAGCCTTAAGAAAGGAAAGAAATCCCGCAATAAACTATTACATGGGTGAATCTTGAGGACACTGTGCTAAGTGACATAAGCCAATCACAAAAAGGCAAGTACTGTATAATTCCACTCCTATGAGGTAATTAGTCAAATTCATAGGGACAGGAGGTAGAATGATAGTTGCTGGGAGATAGGTGGAAGGGAAAATAAGGAGTTACTGTTTAATGAGGATAGAGTTTTGGTTTTGTAAGATGAAAAGATTTATGGAGATGGGTGGTGGTGATGGTTGGTGATGGTTACACACATTATAAATGTGTTTAGTACTACTGAACTGTATTCTTTTTTTTTTTTTTTTTTTGAGACAGAGTCTTGCTCTGTCGCCCAGGCTGGAGTGCAGTGGTGTGATCTCTGCTCACTGAAAGCTCCGCCTCCCACGTTCATGCCATTCTCCTGCCTCAGCCTCCCGAGTAGCTGGGACTACAGGCACCTGCCACCACGCCTGGCTAATTTTTTTTTTTTTTTTTGTATTTTTAGTAGAGACAGGGTTTCGCCATGTTAGCCAGGGTGGTCTCGATCTCCTGACCTCGTGATCCGCCCGCCTCGGCCTCCCAAAGTGCTGGAATTACAGGTGTGAGCCACTGCGCCCAGCCTGAACTGTATTCTTAAAAATCGTTAAGATAGTAAATTTTATATTATGCGTACTTTACCACAAAAAGTAAATTGAGAAAAAAGTAGTTTTAAAAAAATACAAAGAACTGATTTTTAAAAGACCAATAAGGGTACGGTGGTTTACACCTGTAATCCCAGCACTTTGGGAGGCCAAGGTAGGCAGATCACTTGAGTCCAGGAGTTCAAGACCAGCTTGAGCAACATGGCAAAACCCTGTCTCTACTGAAAATACAAAAAATTAGCTGGACGCGGTGGCATGCGCCTATAGTCCCAGTTATTCATGGGGCTGAAGCAGGAGGATTGCTTGAGTCCAGGAGGTTAACGCTGCAGTGAGCCCTGATCGTGCCACTGCACTCTAACCTGGGTGACAGAGTGAGACCCTGTCTTAAAAAAATAAATAAATAAAACAAAAAAAAACCCAAAACCCATAAGGATAGGGAACACACACACACACACACACACACACACACACACACACACACACACACAGAGGAGAGTTGAATAAGCACTTTCCACATCACAAAAGTATCAGGGAAATACAAATTACAAACTGACAATATTATGTATTGGTGAGAATGTAAAGCACTAAGAATACCAAAGATTGCTAGTGCAAATATAAATTAGTACAATAGCTTTGGGAAATAATCTGGCATTATCTCCCAGAGTTGTGATAAGGATAATTTGTTGCTCACCAATTCCATTTCTAGGTGTAGTATAAACAAAAAAAAAATGTGTACACTTATCCATGAGGAGACATGAAAATTCCCAGAAACAGTTATTAAAATAGCCCCAAACTAGAAAAAATACAAAAGTCAATCAACTGTAGAATGAATAAATAGCAATATATTCATAAAAGAGAATAATGGCTATTAATTAAAAATGAATGAATTTTAGCTACATAAATGTATTGTTGGATGAACAAATATATACCCCAAAGCATACTATAGGATTCTATTTATATACAGTTCAAAAACAGGAAATTAAAGTATTATGTTAGAATATAAAATAGTGGTTACCTTTTGGAAGAAGGGAGTTGGCAATGATTTGCAGGGTACCCAAAGGGAGTGATTTGGAGTATGAAAACATTGATCTGGGTGACGGTTACATAGGTGTTTGCTTTGTGATGATTCATTGAGCTATATATGTTTTATGAACTTTCAACATATGTGTAATACTTTAATAAAAACAGTTTTAAAAAGAAACAAATATGATGAGCACACTGAATTGATAAAGTAATCACATTTTATGGAAAAATATAGGATGCTATATCAATAAGTAATGTCCTTACCTCTTTGGGATTAATATATTTCACTATCTGACGTGGTTCTCCTTGTCTTCTTAAATCAATCAGACTTTTAAAGTGTTGAAATATAGCGACATTCTAAAGGTTCAAACACAAGATTTCATGATCAAAACTGGATTTTCTATTTCTACTTCGCTTTTTGTCTAATCAGGGCAAAAACGAATAAAGTACCATAAAATAGATTTTTATGTATCCACACTAGATTTTAGAAATATTATGCACTCAGGGTTTGCTTTGATAACCCTAGTAGTATTAGTATAATTCTCACAAAGAGATTTATTCTTAAATTTGTAATTGCATCACTACCAACTATAAATGTAATATCCCAAACTTTGGTAAAGTCATCTCAGTGTACTCTCCAGAGTAATCTAGAAAAAAACCAAAATACAGACTACTGATTAAGAACCACTGAGTATGGGATACTCTTGTCTGGGTTCAGCTGTTAGTATTTAGCAGCTGTGACTGTCGACAAGTTGCTTAACCTCTTTGCACTCAGTTTCTTCAACTATAAAGTGGGAATGATAGTAGCCATCTCATACAGCTTTGGTGAGAAATACATGAATTAATATTTGTAGAGCATGTAAAGCTTTCTGACACAAGAAAACATTCAATAAATATTAGCCATTGTTACCATTGCAGAATCCTCCTTATTCCTATAGTAATCCCACTGATGTATTACAGGATTCTGTAATGGTAACAACGACTAATATTTATTGAGTGTTCATCTATTTTTCACATTAGTGCAAATTTAGCTAAACAATCCCTACCAATTAGTCCATCTTGGAAAATTATTTCTTTGGTAACTCTCCCCTCAAGCCCCATCTCCCTAAAAATGCTTTAATAACTCTTGGTAAACACCCCACTCCCCATTTGCTTATGTTAAAGCAAATAAAATAAATTCAAATTTAAGTAACCCATAGTACCAATATAACAATCTAAAGCCCCACTACAATTGCCTATGGAAGATGGTACAGCCCATGTCTATACTAATAGTATTCTTTCTGAAAGGAGGATATAATTTTCCCCAAATAAAACTCCAAATTGAGTATCAAGAAATACTTATTATGGTTTAAAATCTGAATAGTATCTTCTAAATAGGTGGTTACTATATCAGTTGTCTACTAATACATAACAAACCACCCTAAAACTTAGTGGTTTAGAGCAACAACCATTTATTATTTCTCTCTTCCTGTGGGTTGACAGGGGAGTTCTGCTGGTCTTGGTTGGACTCATACATGTGGCCTTAGTCAGCTGCCAGATCAGCTGGAGTTGAGTGATTTAATATGGCCTCACCCACATATCAGGGTCTTCAGCTGAAATTTTTGGAATATCTAGGATAGCTGGGCCTCTCTTTCCAAACAGACCTTCAGTTTGAGCTTCTTCATAGTATGGAGGTTTTAAAGTACCAAAGAGAGACTGGGTGCAATGGCTCACGCCTGTAATCCCAGCACTTTGGAGGGGCGAGGCATTAAAAAAAAATTTATATATATATATCTCTCTCTATATATATATAGATATATATAGATATATATATATGCCGGGCTCAGTGGCTCACGCCTATAATCCCAGCACTTTGGGAGGCCAAGGTGGGTGGGATCATGAGGTCAGGAGATCGAGACCACCCCGGCTAACACAGTGAAACCCTGTCTCTACTAAAAATACAAAAAAAATTAGTTAGATGTGGTGGCAGGCGCCTGCAGTCCCAGCTACTCGGGAGGCTGAGGCAGGAGGATGGTGTGAACCCAGGAGGCGGAACTTGCAGTGAGCAGAGATCACGCCACTGCACTCCAGCCTGGGTGACAGAGTGAGACTCCGTCTCAAAACAAAACAAAACAAAACAAAACAAAACAAAAAAAGTACCAAAGACAGAAAGTGGAAGTTACAAGGTTTCTTAAGGCCTTATCTTGGAAGTCACAGCAACATTTATTCTGCATTCCATTGGTCAAACTCAAGTCCTAACAGGGCTTGTTAGGCTTGGCCCCTAAGGGGGTCAAGTAAAAGGTGGGACTCACAGGAAGTTCTATATACATTACAGCTTCACTTGCAGTACAGAGAGGAAGGGAAATCCTTCTACTGGGACAGAACCTCAAGTAGCATACCTGGTTGTATATTGTGCCTGGAAGAAAAGATGGCCAGAAGTATAGATCTATAGATGGATGGTGATTGATGGATGGTTTGACTGGATGGTCAGGGATTTGGAAAGAACATGGTTAGAAAATTGGTGACAAGTGGTCTGGGGAAGAGGTATGTGCAGACTTCTCCAGATGGGCACCAAGTGAGAAGATGCTTGTGTCGTATGTGAATGCTCACCAAAGAACAATCTCAACAGAGAAGAATCTTAATAATCAGGTGAGCAAGATGACTCATTCCTTGGAATCAGTCAGCCTTTCCCCCTAGCCACTGCTATCCTTGCACTATGTGCTCATGAACAAAGTGGTCATAGCAGTAGGAATGGAGGTTATGTCTGGGTGTGGTGGCTCATAGCTGTAATCCCAGCACTTTGGGAGGCTAAGGCAGGTGGATCACTTGAGGTCAGGGGTTCGAGATCAGCCTGGCCAACATGGTGAAACCACATCTCTACTAAAAATACAAAAATTAGCTGGGCATGGTGGTGTGTGCCTGTAATCCCAGCTACTCAGGAGGCTGAGGCAGGAGAATCGCTTGAATCTGGCAAGCGGAGGTTGCAGTGAGCCGAAATGGTGCCACTGCACTCCAGCCTGGGTGACAGAGGGAGACTCTGTCTCAAAAAAAAAAAAAAAGGAATGGAGGTTATTCATAGGCTCAGCAACATGAATTTCTACCCACTAGATCTGGCTACTGCCACCACTGAGAGAGTCCAACTTGCCAACACAGAGACTAACACTGAGCCCCTGGTATGGCATAATTCCTTGGGGGAACTACCTAGCTTCCTTGAGACAAAAATTGATTATTTGGAACACTTCCATTATGGAAAGGGCAACACTTCTTTTCTCACTGGAATTGACATCTGATCCTTCCATGTGCACAGTGTTTCCACAAAAACCTTCTGTGTACTTTGAAAATGCTTTATTCTCTGTCATGGTATTCCACACAGCATTGCTCCTGATTAGAGAACTTGGTTCACAACAAGTGTAGCACACCAATGGGCCCATGCTTGTGAAATTCATAAATCTTACCTTGTTCCCAATCACCCTGAAGTAACTGGCCTGATAGAATAGTGGAATGGCATGTTAAAGACTCAGTTGCAATTTAGAATTCAGTGATAACACTTTTCAGACTAGGACGACATCCTCTATGTTGTAGTAGATGCTCTGAATGAATATCGTGCTATTTCTCACACAGCCAGCATCCATGAATTTGGGAATTAAGTGGTAGAAATGGAAGTGGCTCCCTCTCAATATTATCTTTAATGATCCACTAGTGAAAATTTTGCTTCCTGTCCTTCTTTGTACCTTTGTGCTCTGCAGATATAATGGTCTTAGTTTCCACAGGAAGAACGTTTCCACCAAAGTACATACCAATGTTAAAATGGAAACTGATACTGCCACCTGACCATCTTGTTCTCCTCATACCAATAAACCAACATGAAAAAAAAAAGACAATTACCATACTGGCTGGGGTAATTAATCCTGATTCTTAGGAGAAAATGAGCTATTACTACCAGTAGAAATTAAGGAAGATGTCTAGAATTCAGGAGAACTTTTGGGGTGTTTTTTAGTAATACCATATTCTGTAAGAAAAGTTAATGGAAAATTATAACAACCCCAAACAGGCAGAATTGTTAAAGGTCTAGCCCCTTTAGGAATGAAGTTTTGCGTCATTCCCTTCCTCCACCCCTGAGCAAGGAACCACAACCAGCTGAAGTGCTTGCTGAAAAAAAGAGAGAATATGAAATAGCTAGTGGAAGAAAAAAGTTAAAAATACCAGCTATGATTCCCATAATTAGCTGCAGAAACAGGTAGTATCTATGAGTATTTCTTCTATATATCTGCATATAAATATTAGCCATTTTTTTCTTTTGTTTTCTCCTGCTCCCATTCCCCTAAAACAAATGTAAAGTGTGTTAATCATAGTGTGGTAGGCAGCATAACGCTCCCTAACAAAAGATGTTCACACCTAATCCCTGTAATCTGTAATGTGTAAATATGCTGTTACATGGAGAGGGTGAATTAGGATTGCATTTGGAACTAAGGTTGCTAATCAGCTGACTTTGACACAGGGAAATTATCCTCATTGGCCCAAGGTAATTGCAAGGGTCCGTATAAAGGACATAGAAGAGTCAGCAAGAGTGGTGTGATGAGGGAAAGACTTGACAGGTCATTGCTGGTTTTGAAAATAGACAGGGGTTGCTCCAGGAAAGGATTTTAGGAGGAAAAAAAAAAAAAAGAAAGAAAATAGAAGGGCATAATGAGCCAAGGATGCGGGCAACTTCTAGAAGGAGGAAAAGGCAGGAAATTCTTCCCTAGAGCCTCCAGAGAGAACACAAGCTCTGCTGACGCTTGATTTTAGCCCAGTGAAGCCCATTTCAGACTTCTGACCTCCAGAACCGTAAGATAATACATTTTTGTGGTTTAAAGCACTAACTTTGTGGCAATTTTTACAGTAGCATTAGGAAATTAATACAAGTACTTAACCTTCCACCTGGTATTTAAAGTATAAGATATCATAGGTAGAGTATGGTTCAGCAAAAAGAGGAATAAAAATGATCCAAAAAGGGATAAAGGTACTTTTGGGAAGGTTGTGAATATGCTTTGGCCTGTATGAGGAATGTTAGGTGGAAGCATGGTTTTGATTCTATTTGGAAGTTAAATATGGTTAAAAGGGATTTGTATGGATGCCAAGGTGACAAGGGGTAGACTCAGCTGGGTTATTCTATTGTCAACTTGACCAAACAAGGACAAATATAAAGAAAATGACATATAGACACATCATAATCAAACTGCTAAAAACCAAAGACAAAGACGCAATTTAAAAGCAGCCAGAAAATAAATACCACAATACTTTCAGAGTAGAAACGGTAACACTATTTATTGACTTTTTAATAGAAACTATGGGAGACAGAATACAATGGAATGCCATCTGAGTGCTGAGGGGGGAAAAATCCCAATAACATGCCAGTCCAGATTTCTATGAAATGTGATAATATTCTTTGAAAATAAAAAGGAAATAAATATGCTTTTAGACAAACAAAAGCTGAAGGGATTTTTCACAGGAGGTCTGGCATCTAAGAAATCTTATAAGAAATACTACAGACACATCTATAGTTCCAGAACTTTGGGAGGCTGACATGGGAAGATCACTTGAGGCTAGGAGTTTGAGACCCACCAGGTCAACATATTAAGAACCCATTACGACAAAAAAAAAAAAAAAAGGGGGGGGGTGGACAAAATTTTAAAAATTATCTAGGTGTGGTGATGCACACCTGAAGTCCTAGCTACTCAGTAGCTTGAGGTAGGAGGATCACTTGAGCTCAGGAATTCGAGGCTACAGTGAGCTATGATTGCACCACTGCACTCCAGCCTGGGTGACAGAGCAAGAACTTGCCTCTCAAAAACAAAATCAAACTACAGAGAATTCTTGAGTTGGCAGAAAATTAATACCATAAGGAAGCAAATAAGGCTGCAGGAACAAATGAAGGGCTCTGGAAATGGTTTGTATCTGGATAGATAAAAATAGATACTGAAGGCTGGGTGCAGTGGCTCACGCCTGTAATCCCAGCACTTTGGGAGGCTGAGGCGGGCAGATCATGAGGTCAAGAGATCGAAACCATCCTGGCCAACATGGTGAAACCCCGTCTCTACTAAGCATACAAAAATTAGCTGGGCATGGTGGCGCATGTCTGTAGTCCCAGCTACTCGGGAGGCTGAGGCAGGAGAATCGCTTGAATCCGGGAGGCAGAGGCAGAGGTTGCAGTGAGCTGAGATAGCACCACTGCACTCCAGCCTGGTGACAGGTGAGACTCAGTCTTAAAAAAAAAAAAAAAAAAAAAAAAAAAAAAAGGATAAGGAAATTAAACGGAAAAACACCCCACATTCACAGATTGGAAGCCTTAGTATTGTTAAGATGACAGTATTACCCAAAGCAATGTACAGATTCAATGTAATCACTATCCAAAATCCCAACGGCACTTTTTGAAAAAATAGAAAAGCCCATCCTAAAATCTATGTGGAACACAAGGGACCCTGAATAGCCAAACAGTCTTGAAAAAGAATAAAATAAGTGAAAAAGTGTGAGTTGGAGAGCCATACTTCCGGATTTCAAAACTTACTAAAGCTACAATAATCAAAACAGTTTGGTACTGGCCTAAGGACAGATATATAGGCCAATGGAATAGCATAGAGAGCCTCCAAATAGACTCATATATATGTCGTCAACTCATTTTTGACAAGGGTTTCAAAACCATTCAATGAAGAGGACAGTATTTTCAACAAATGTATCCGTGACAATTATATACCCACATGAAAAATAATGAAATTGGGTCCTTAATTTACACCATATGCAACATTAAATCAAAATGGATCAAAGATTTAGGTGGCATGCAGTGGCTCACGCCTATAATTTCAGCAATTTGGGAGGCCGAGACGGGCAGATCACTTGAGGTCAGGAGTTTGAGACCAGCCTGGCCAACGTGGTGAAACCCTGTCTCCACTAAAAATACAAAAATTAGCTGGGCATGTGGCGCACTCCTGTAGTCCCAGCTACTCGGTAGGCTGAGGCAAAAGAATCCCTCAAACCTGGGAGGCGGAGTTGGCACTGAGCTGAGATTGAGTCACTGCACTCCAGCTTGGGCAACAAAGCAAGATTTCGTCTGGAAAAAAAAAAAATCAAAGATCCAAATATAAGAGTTAAAGCCATAAAACTCCTAGAAGAAAATATGGGGGAAAAGCTTCATGACGTTGGATTTGGTAATGATTTCTTGGATATAACACCAAAAGCACAAGAAACAAAATGAACAAAAAGATAAACTGGACTACATAAAAATCAGACTGGGTGCAGTGGCTCACGCTTGTAATCCTAGCACTTTGGGAGGCCAAGGCGGGCAGATCACTTGAGGTCAGGAGTTTGAGACCAGTCTGGCCAACACAGTGAAACCCCATTTCTACTAAAAATACAAAAATTAGCCAGGCATGGTGGTGGTCGCCTGTAGTCCCAGCTACTCAGGAGGCTGAGGCAGAAGAATCATTTGAACGCAGGAGGCAGAGGTTGCAGTGAACCGAGACTGTGCCACTGCACTCCAGCCTGGGTGACAGAGCGAGACTCCATCTAAAAAAAAAAAATTAAAACTTTTTGTGCATCAAAGGACACTAACAAGAGAGTAAAAGGGCAATCCACAAAATGGGAGAAAATATTTGCAAAGCAGATCTTCGAAACATAAAGAACTGCTACATCTCAACAACAAATGCAAAACAACTCAATGTAAAAATGGGCAAAGGTCTTGAATATATATTTCTCCAAAGAAGACTTACAAGTGGTCAATAAGGACAAAAAAGATGATCAATATCACTAGTCATAAGGGAAATGTAAATCAAAACTGCAATGAGATACGACTTAACATCCATTAGAATGGCTATTACCAAAAAACTTGAAAATAGCAAGTATTGGCAAGGATATAGAGCAACTGGAAACCTTGTGCATTGCTGGTGGGAATGTAAAATGGTACAGCCACTGTGGTAAAGTTTGGCAGTTCCTCACAAAGTCAAACATTGAATTACATAATCCAGCAATTCCACTTCTAGACATATACCAAAAAGAAAGCAATGGCTCAAACAGATATTTTTACATCAATTTATTAGCAGCATTATTCACAGTAACCAAAAAGTGGAAATAGCCCAAATGTCCATTAACAGATGAATGGATAAATACAATGTAGCATATAGATATATAATGGAATATTATCCATCCTTAGAAAGGAATGAAATTCTGATACATGCTATAAATTGGATGAACATTGAAAATGTTATGTTGAGTAAAATAAGCCAGATACAAAAAGATAAATCCACTTAAATGAGGTACCTAAAATAGGAAAATTCACAGAGACACAAAGTAGAATAGAGATAACTGGGGTCTGGTGGTTAGGAGGTTTTTGTTTAATGGGTACATGAGGTTTTGTTTGGGATGATGAAAAAGCTGTGGAAATGGATACTGGTGATAGGTGCACAACATTATGAATATACTTAATGTAATTGAGTTATACACCTAAAAACGGTTAAACTGGTAAATTTTATGTTATGAACATTTTACTACAATAAAAAAGTGAACACTGGCTGTTTAAAACAAGAATAATAATGTCTCCTGGTACTTAAAACAAAAGTGTAAGTGAAATATCTGGAAATAACAGGACAAAGGTGAAGAGGCTAAAGTGAGTTAACATGTTATGAGCTTCTTACATTGTTCTGAAAAGGGTAAAAGTACTAATTTAAGGTAGAGACTAACTAATCAAGGGCAAATATTGTAACTTTGCCCTTTCTAGCTTAACCCTCTAAAAGAATATATAGCTGTTCTAATCATCTATTACTGTGTAGTAAAGTACCTCAAAACTTAGTAGTGTAAAAACAACCACCATTTTATTATGCTCATAATTATGGGTTACGAATTCTGGTAGGGAATAGTAGGGAAGTCTTGTCTCATCTCCACAATGACTGAGGCTTCAGCGGGGATGACTTGAACAGTAGAAATGGCTGGGATGGCTCAAGTGGGGCCCAATATCAAGGACCTGCATTCTAGCTGTCAGCTAGGTCTCTTGGTTCTTTTCCTTATTACACTTATTGGGCATGGAATATAAAAAATGGCCTTTTCACTTACGTATCTGCTTAAGTGGGCTGTAATATCTGTTAAAACAGGATAGTCAATCATCAATCTCTGGAGGCAACCTCTCCATGAGGCTAGCCTGGGATTCACTTCAGCATGGCAGTTTCAGGGCAGTTATCCTTCCTACATGGTGGCTGTTCTCACTCAGAATGAACATTTCAGGACACAGACTTGGACACTGCAATGCTTTTTATGACCTAGACTAAGAGGTTCCAGAATGTCATGTCCTATTTTAGTGGTTTTAATGGTAAAGCAAGTTACTAAAATAGCCTAGATGAAAGGGAAAATATGACCGATAGGAAGAGGAGGTTCCAAGATGGCCAAATAGGAAGAGCCCCAGTCTACAGCTCCCAGCATGAGCAACGCAGAAGACAGGTGATTTCGGCATTTCCAAGTGAGGTACCGGGTTCATCTCACTGGGGCTTGTCAGACAGTGGGTGCAGCCCAAGGAGCATGAGCCAAAGCAGGGCAACGCACTGCCTCACCCAGGAAGTGCAAGGGGTTGGGGAATTCCCTTTCCTAGCCAAGGGAAGCCGTGACAGATGGTACCTGGAAAATTAGGACACTCCCACCCTAATACTGTGCTTTTCCAACAGTCTTAGCAAACAGCACACCAGGAGATTATATCCTGCACCTGGCTCAGAGGGTCCCACACCCACGGAACCTTGCTCACTACTAACACAGCAGTCTGAGATTGAACTGCAAGGCGGCAGCGAGGCTGGAGGAGAGGCGTCTGCCATTGCTGAGGCTTGAGTAGGTAAACAAAGCAGCCGGGAAGCTCGAATTGGGTGGAGCCCACCAACAGTTCAAGGAGGCCTGCCTGCCTCTGTAGACTCCACCTCTGGGGGCAGGGCATAGCTGAACAAAAGGCAGCAGAAACTTCTGCAGACTTAAACGTCCCTGTCTGACAGCTTTGAAAAGAGTAGTTGTTATCCCAGCATGGAGTTTGAGATGAGAGAATGGGCAGACTGCCTCCTCAAGTGGGTCCCTGACCCCCAAGTAGCCTAACTGGGAGGCACCCCCCAGTAGGGGCAGACTGACACCTCATACGGCCAGGTGCCCCTCTGAGACAAAGCTTCCGGAGGAAGGATTAGGCAGCAACAATTGCCATTCTGCAATATTTGCTGTTCTGCAGCCTCCGCTGGTGATACCCAGGCAAACAAGGTCTGGAGTGGACTTCCAGCAAAGTCCAACAGACCTGCAGCTGCGGGTCCTATTAGAAGGAAAACTAACAAACAGAAAGGACACCCACACCAAAATCCCATCTGTATGTCACCATCATCAAAGACCAAAGGTAGAGAAAACCACAAAGACGGGGAGAAACCAGAGCAGAAAAGCTGAAAATTCTAAATATCAGAATGCCTCTTCTCCTCCAAAGGAATGCAGCTCCTTGCCAGCAACAGAACAAAGCTGGATGGAAAATGACTTTGATGAGTTGAGAGAAGAAGGCTTCAGATGATCAGTAATAACAAACTTCTCCGAGCTAAAGGAGGATGTTCAAACCTATCACAAAGAAGCTAAAAACCTTGAAAAAAGATGAGATGAATGGTTAACTAGAAGAAACAGTGTAGAGAAGACCTTAAATCACTTGATGGAGCTGAAAACCATGGCAAGAGAACTAGGTGATGCATGCACAAGCTTCAGTACCCGATTCAATCAAGTGGAAGAAAGGGTATCAGTGATTGAAGATCAAAAGAATGAAAGGAAGCCAGAAGAGAAGTTTAGAGAAAAAAGAGGAAAAAGAACGAACAAAGCCTCTAAGAAATGTGGGACTATGTGAAAAGATGAAACTTACGTCTGATTGGTGTACCTGAAAGTGATGTGGAGAATGGAATCAAGTTGGAAAACACTCTTAAGAATACTATCCAGGAGAACTTCCCCAACCTAGCAAAACAGGCCAAAATTCAAATTCAGGAAATACAGAGAATGCCACAAAGATACTCCTCGAGAAGAGCAATCCCAAGACACATAATTGTCAGATTCACCAAAGTTGAAATGAAGGAAAAAATATTAAGGGCAGCCAGAGAGAAAGGTCGGGTTACCCACAAAGGGAAACCCATCAGAATAACAGCGGATCTCTCAGCAGAAACTCTACAAGCCAGAAGACAGTGGGGGCCAATATTCAACATTCTTAAAGAAAAGAATTTTCAACCCAGAATTTCATATCCAGCCAAACTAAGCTTCATCAGTGAAGGAAAAATAAAATACTTTACAGACAAGCAAATGCTGAGAGATTTTGTCATCACCAGGCCTCCCTTACAACAGCTCCTGAAGGAAGCACTAAACATGGAAAGGAACAACCAGTACCAGCCACTGCAAAAACATTGTAAAGACCATCGATGCTAGGAAGAAACAACATCAACTAACGAGAAAAATAACCAGCTAACATCATAATGACAGGATCAAATTCACATATAATAATATTAACTTTAAATGTAAATGGGCTAAATGCTCCAACTAAAAGACACAGACTGGCAAATTGGATAAAGATTCAAGACCCATCACTGTGCTGTATTCAGGAGACCCATCTCATGTGCAGAGACACACATAGGCTCAAAATAAAGGGATGGAGGAAGATCTAACAAGCAAATGGAAAACAAACAAACAAAAAAAGCAGGGGCTACAATCCTAGCCTCTGATAAAACAGACTTACACCAACAAAGATCAAAAGAGACAAAGAAGGCCATTACGTAATTATAAAGGGATCAATTCAACAAGAAGAGCTAACTATCCTAAATATATATGCACCCAATACAGGAGCACCCAGATTCATAAAGCAAGTCCTGAGTGACCTACAAAGAGACTTAGACTCCCACACAATAATAATAGGAGACTTTAACACCCCACTGTCAACATGAGACAGATCAACGAAACAGAAGGTTAACAAGGATATCCAGGAATTGAACTCAGCTCTGCACCAAGCAGACCTCATAGACATCTACAGAACTCTCCACCCCAAATCAAGAGAATATACATTTTTACAGCATCACACGACACCTATCCCAAAATTGACCCCATAGTTGGAAGCACTCCTCAGCAAATGTAAAAGAACAGAAATTATAACAAACTGTCTCTCAGACCACAGTGACATCAAACTAGAACTCAGGATTAAGAAACTCACTCAAAACCGCTCAACTACATGGAAACTGAACAACCTGCTCCTGAATGACTACTGGGTACATAACAAAATGAAGGCAGAAATAAAGATGTTCTTTGAAACCAACCAGAACAAAGACACAACATACCAGAATCTCTGGGACACATTTAAAGTAGTGTGTAGACAGAAATTTATAGCACTAAATTACCACCAGAGAAAGCAGGAAAGATCTACAATTGACACCCTAACATCACAATTAAAAGAACTAGAGAAGCAAGAGCAAAAACATTCAAAAGCTAGCAGAAGGCAAGAAATAACTAAGTTCAGAGCGGAACTGAAAGAAATAGAGACACAAAAAACCCTTCAAAAAATCAATGAATCCAGGAGCTGGGTTTTTAAAAAGATCAACAAAATTGATAGACCACTAGCAAGACTAATAAAGAAGAAAAGAGAGAAGAATCAAATAGACGCAATAAAAAATGATAAAGGGGATATCACCACCGATCCCACAGAAATACAAACTACCATCAGAGAATACTATAAACACCTCTACGCAAATAAACTAGAAAATCTAGAAGAAATGGATAAATTCCTGGATACATACACCCTCCCAAGACTAAACCATGAAGATGAATCCCTGAATAGACCAATAACAGGCCCTGAAATTGAGGCAATAATTAATAGCCTACCAACCAAAAAAAAGTCCAGGACCAGACGGATTCACAGCCGAATTCTACCAGAGGTACAAAGAGGAGCTGCTACCATTCCTTCTGAAACTATCCCAATCAATAGAAAAAGAAGGAATCCTCCCTAACTCATTTTATGAGGCCAACATCATCCTGACACCAAAGCCTGGCAGAGACACAACAAAAAAAGAGAATTTTAGACCAATATCCCTGATGAACATCGATGCAAAAACCCTCCATAAAATACTGGCAAACCGCATCCAGCAGCACATCAAAAAGCTTATCCACAGGGTGGAGCCAAGATGGCCGAATAGGAACAGCTCCAGTCTACAGCTCCCAGCATGAGCGACGCAGAAGACAGGTGATTTCTGAATTTCCATCTGAGGTACCAGGTTCATCTCACTACGGAGTGCCAGGCAGTGGGTGTAGGACACTGGGTACAGCGCACCGTGCACGAGCTGAAGCAGGGCAAGGCATTGCCTCACTCCGGCAGCGCAAGGGGTCAGGGAGTTCCCTTTCCTAGTCAAAGAAAGGGGTGACAGATGGCACCTGGAAAATCCAGTCACTTCCCATCCTAATACTGCACTTTTGCAACGGGCTTAAAAAACGGCACACCAGGAGATTATATCCCACACATGGCTCGGAGGGTCCTACGCCCACGGAGTCTTGCTGATTGCTAGCACAGCAGTCTGAGATCAAACTGCAAGGCAGCAGCAAGGCTGGAGGAGGGGTGCCTGCCATTGCCCAGGCTTGATTTGGTAAACAAAGCAGCCGGGAAGCTCCAACTGGATGGAGCCCACCACAGCTCAAGGAGGCCTGCCTGCCTCTGTAGGCTCCACCTCTGGGGGAAGGGCACAGACAAACAAAAAGACAGCAGTAACCTCTGCAGACTTACATGTCCCTGTCTGACAGCTTTGAAGAGAGTAGTGGTTCTCCCAGCATGCAGCTGGAGATCTGAGAATGGGCAGACTGCCTCCTCAAGTGGGTCCCTGACCCCCGAGCAGCCTAACTGGGAGGCACCCCCCAGTAAGGGCAGACTGACAACTCACGCAGCAGGGTACTCCTCTGAGACAAAACTTCCAGAGGAACGATCAGGCAGCAGCATTTGCAGGTCACCAATATCCACTGTTCTATAGCCACCGCTGTTCTGCAGCCACCACTGCTGATACCCAGGCAAACAGGGTCTGGAGTGGACCTCTAGCAAACTCCAACGGACCTGTAGCTGAGGGTCCTGTCTGTCAGAAGGAAAACTAACAAATAGAAAGGACATCCACACCAAAAACCCATCTGTATGTCACCATAATCAAACACCAAAAGTAGATAAAACCACAAAGATGGGGAAAAAACAGAGCAGAAAAACTGGAAACTCTAAAAAGCAGAGCACCTCTCCTCCTCCAAAGGAACGCAGCTCCTCACCAGCAATGGAACAAAGCTGGATGGAGAATGACTTTGACGAGCTGAGAGAAGAAGGCTTCAGACGATCAAACGACTCCGAGCTACAGGAGGAAATTCAAACCAATGGCAAAGAAGTTAAAAACTTTGAAAAAAAAATTAGACGAATGGATAACTAGAATAATCAATGCAGAGAAGTGCTTAAAGGAGCTGATGGAGCTGAAAGCCGAGGCTCGAGAACTACGTGAAGAATGCAGAAGCCTCAGGAGCCGACGCGATCAACTGGAAGAAAGGGTATCAGTGATGGAAGATGAAATGAATGAAATGAATGAAATGAAGTGAGAAGGGAAGTTTAGAGAAAAAAGAATAAAAAGAAACGAACAAAGCCTCCAAGAAATATGGGACTACGTGAAAAGACCAAATCTACGTCTGATTGGTGTACCTGAAAGTGATGGGGAGAATGGAACCAAGTTGGAAAACACTCTGCAGGATATTATCCAGGAGAACTTCCCCAATCTAGCAAGGCAGGCCAACATTCAGATTCAGGAAATACAGAGAACACCACAAAGATACTCCTTGAGAAGAGCAACTCCAAGACACATAATTGTCAGATTCACCAAAGTTGAAATGAAGGAAAAAATGTTAAGGGCAGCCAGAGAGAAAGGTCGGGTTACCCACAAAGGGAAGCCCATCAGACTAACAGCGGATCTCTCAGCAGAAACTCTACAAGCCAGAAGACAGTGGGGGCCAATATTCAACATTCTTAAAGAAAAGAATTTTCAACCCAGAATTTCATATCCAGCCAAACTAAGCTTCATCAGTGAAGGAGAAATAAAATACTTTACAGACAAGCAAATTCTGAGACATTTTGTCACCACCAGGCCTGCCCTAAAAGAGCTCCTGAAGGAAGCACTAAACATGGAAAGGAACAACCGGTACCAGCCACTGCAAAATCATGCCAAAATGTAAAGACCATCAAGGCTAGGAAGAAACTGCATCAACTAACGAGCAAAATAACCAGCTAACATCATAATGACAGGACCAAATTTACACATAACAATATTAACTTTAAATGTAAATGGGCTAAATGCTCCAATTAAAAGACACAGACTGGCAAATTGGATAAAGAGTCAAGACCCATCAGTGTGCTGTATTCAGGAAACCCATCTCATGTGCAGAGACACACATAGGCTCAAAATAAAAGGATGGAGGAAGATCTGCCAAGCAAATGGAAAACAAAAAAAGGCAGGGGTTGCAATCCTAGTCTCTGATAAAACAGACTTTAAACCAACAAAGATCAAAAGAGACAAAGAAGGCCATTACGTAATGATAAAGGGATCAATTCAACAAGAAGAGCTAACTATCCTAAATATATATGCACCCAATACAGGAGCACCAAGATTCATAAAGCAAGTCCTGAGTGACCTACAAAGGGACTTAGACTCCCACACAATAATAATGGGAGACTTTAACACCCCACTGTCAACATTAGACAGATCAACGAGACAGAAAGTTAACAAGGATACCCAGAAATTGAACTCAGCTCTGCACCAAGCGGACCTAATAGACATCTACAGAACTCTCCACCCCAAATCAACAGAATATACATTTTTTTTTAGCACCACACCACACCTATTCCAAAATTGACCACATAGTTGGAAGTAAAGCTCTCCTCAGCAAATGTAAAAGAACAGAAATTATAAAAAACTGTCTCTCAGACCACAGTGACATCAAACTAGAACTCAGGATTAAGAATCTCACTCAAAACCGCTCAACTACATGGAAACTGAACAACCTGCTCCTGAATGACTACTGGGTACATAACAAAATGAAGGCAGAAATAAAGACGTTCTTTGAAACCAACGAGAACAAAGGCACAACATACCAGAATCTCTGGGACACATTCAAAGCAGTGTGTAGAGGGAAATTTATAGCACTAAATGCCCACAAGAGAAAGCAGGAAAGATCCAAAATTGACACCCTAACATCACAATTAAAACAACTAGAAAAGCAAGAGCAAACACATTCAAAAGCTAGCAGAAGGCAAGAAATAACTAAAATCAGAGCAGAACTGAAGGAAATAGAGACACAAAAAACGCTTCAAAAAATTAATGAATTCAGGAGCTGGTTTTTTGAAAAGATCAACAAAATTGATAGACTGCTAGCAAGACTAATAAAGAAAAAAGAGAGAAGAATCAAATAGATGCAATAAAAAATGATAAAGGGGATATCACCACCAATCCCACAGAAATACAAACTACCATCAGAGAATACTACACAGACCTCTATGCAAATAAACTAGAAAATCTAGAAGAAATGGATAAATTCCTTGACACATACACCCTCCCAAGACTAAACCAGGAAGAAGTTGAATCTCTGAATAGACCAATAACAGGATCTGAAATTGTGGCAATAATCAATAGCTTACCAACCAAAAAAAGTCCAGGACCAGATGGATTCACAGCTGAATTCTACCAGAGGTACAAGGAGGAACTGGTACCATTCCTTCTGAAACTATTCCAATCAATAGAAAAAGAGGGAATCCTCCCTAACTCTTTTTATGAGGCCAGCATTATCCTGATACGAAAGCCAGGCAGAGACACAACCGAAAAAGAGAATTTTAGGCCAATATCCTTGATGAACATTGATGCAAAAATCCTCAATAAAATACTGGCCAACCAAATCCAGCAGCACATCAAAAAGCTTATCCACCATGAGCAAGTGGGCTTCATCCCTGGGATGCAAGGCTGCTTCAACATATGCAAATGAATAAATGTAATCCAGCATATAAACAGAACCAAAGACAAAAAACACATGATTATCTCAATAGATTCAGAAAAGGCCTTTGACAAAATTCAACAACCCTTCATGCTAAAAACTCTCAATAATTTAGGTATTGATGGGACGTATCTCAAAATAATAAGAGATATCTATGACAATCCCACAGCCAATATCATACTGAATGGGCAAAAACTGGAAGCATTCCCTTTGAAAACGGGCACAAGACAGGATGCCCTCTCTCACCACTCCTATTCAGCATAGTGTTGGAAGTTCTGGCCAGGGCAATTAGGCAGGAGAAGGAAATAAAGGGTATTCAATTAGGAAAAGAGGAAGTCAAATTGTCCCTGTTTGCAGACGACATGATTGTATATCTAGAAAACCCCATCATTTCAGCCCAAAATCTCCTTAAGCTGATAAGCAACTTCAGTAAAGTCTCAGGATACAAAATCAATGTACAAAAATCAGAAGCATTCTTATACACCAATAACAGACAAACAGAGAGCCAAATCATGAGTGAACTCCCATTCACAATTGCTTCAAAGAGAATAAAATACCTGGGAATCCAACTTACAAGGGATGTGAAGGACCTCTTCAAGGAGAACTACAAACCACTACTCAGTGATATAAAAGAGGATACAAACAAATGGAAGAACATTCCATGCTCATGGGTAGGAAGAATCAATATCGTGAAAATGGCCCTACTGCCCAAGGTAATTTATAGATTCAATGCCATCCCCATCAAGCTACCAATGACTTTCTTCACAGAATTGGAAAAGACTACTTTAAGGTTCATATGGAACCAAAAAAAGAGCCCACATAGCCAAGTGAATCCTAAGCCAAAAGAACAAAGCTGGAGGCATCACACTACCTGACTTCAAACTATACTACAAGGCTACAGTAACCAAAACAGCATGGTACTGGTACCAAAACAGAGATATAGATCAATGGAGCAGAACAGAGTCCTCAGAAATAATGCCGCATATCTACAACCATCTGCTCTTTGACAAACCTGAGAAAAACAAGCAATGGGGAAAGGATTCCCTATTTAATAAATGGTGCTGGGAAAACTGGCTAGCCATAGGTAGAAAGCTGAAACTGGATCCCTTCCTTACACCTGATACAAAAATTAACTCAAGATGGATTAAAGACTTACATGTTAGACCTAAAACTATAAAAACCCTGGAAGAAAACCTAGGCAATACCATTCAGGACATAGGCATAGGCAAGGACTTCATGTCTGAAACACCAAAAGCAATGGCAACAAAAGCCAAAATTGACAAATGGGATCTAATTAAACTTAAGAGCTTCTGCACAGCAAAAGAAACTACCATCAGAGTGAACAGGCGACCTACAAAATGGGAGAATATTTTTGCAACCTACTCATCTGACAAAGGGCTAATATCAAGAATCTACAATGAACTCAAACAAATTTACAAGAGAAAAAAAAACCCATCAAAAAGTGGGCCAAGGATATGAACAGACACTCCTCAAAAGAAGACATTTATGCAGCCAAAAAACACATGAAAAAATGCTCATCATCACTGGCTGTCAGAGAAATGCAAATCAAAACCACAATGAGATACCATCTCATACCAGTTAGAATGGCGATCATTAAAAAGTCAGGAAACAACAGGTGCTGGAGAGGATGTGGAGAAACAGGAACACTTTTACACTGTTGGTGGGACTGTAAACTAGTTCAACCATTGTGGAAGTCAGCACGGCAATTCCTCAGGGATCTAGAACTAGAAATACCATTTGACCCAGCCATCCCATTACTGGGTATACACCCAAAGGATTATAAATATAAAGACACATGCACACGTATGTTTATTGCGGCACTATTCACAATAGCAAAGACTTGGAACTAACCCAAATGCCTAACAACGATAGACTGGATTAAGAAAATGTGGCACATATACACCATGGAATACTATGCAGCCATAAAAAATGATGAGTTCATGACCTTTGTAGGAACATGGATAAAACTGGAAACCGTCATTCTTAGCAAGCTATGGCAAGAACAAAAAACCAAACACCACATGTTGTCACTCATAGGTGGGAATTGAACAATGAGAACACATAGGCACAGGAAGGGGAACATCACACTCCAGGGACTGTTGTGGGGTGGGGGGAGGGGGGAGGGATAGCATTAGGAGATATACCTAATGCTAAATGATGAGTTAATGGGTGCAGTACACCAACACGGCACATGTATACATATGTAAGAAACCTGCACATTGTGCACATGTACCCTAAAACTTAAAGTATAATAATAATAAAATTTTAAAAAAAAGCCTTATCCACCATGATCAAGTCGGCTTCATCCCTGGGATGCAAGGCTGGTTCAACGTACACAAATCAATAAATGTAATCCAGCATATAAACAGAACCAATTACAAAAACCACATGATTATCTCAATAGATGCAGAAACGGCCTTCAATAAAATTCAACAGCTCTTCATGCTAAAAACTCTCAATAAACTAGGTACTGATGGGACGTGTTTCAAAATAATAACAGCTATTTATGACAAACCCACAGCCAATATCATACTGAATGGGCAAAAACTGGAAGCATTCCCTTTGAAAACTGGCACAAGACAGGGATGCCCTCTCTCACCACTCCTATTCAACATAGTGTTGGAAGTTCGGGCAGGGCAATCAGGCAGGAGAAAGAAATAAAGGGTATTCAATTAGGAAGAGAGGAAGTCAAATTGTCTCTGTTTGCAGACGACATGATTGTATATTTAGAAAACCCCATCATCTCAGCCCAAAATCTCCTTAAGCTGATAAGCAACTTCAGCAAAGTCTCAAGATACAAAATCAATGTGCAAAAATCACAAGCATTCCTATACACCAATAACAGACAAACAGAGAGCCAAATCATGAGTGAACTCCCATTCACAATTGCTACAGAGAATAAAATATCTAGGAATCCAACTTACAAGGGATGTGAAGGACCTCTTCAAGGAGAACTACAAACCACTGCTCAACAAAATAAAAGAGGACACAAACAAATGGAAGAACATTCCATGCTCATGGGTAGGAAGAATCAATATTGTGAAAATGGCCACACTGCCCAAGGTAATTTATAGATTCAATGCCATCCCCATCAAGCTACCAATGACTTTCTTCACAGAATTGGAAAAGACTACTTTAAAGTTCACATGGAACCAAAAAAGAGCCTGCATTGCCAAGACAATCCTAAGCCAAAAGAACAAAGCTGGAGGCATCACGCTACCTGACTTCAAAGTCTACTACAAGGCTACAGTAACCAAAACAGCATGGTACTGGTACCAAAACAGAGATATAGATCAATGGAACAGAACAAAGTTCTCAGAAATAATACCACACATCTACAACCATCTGATCTTTGACAAACCTGAGAAAAACAAGCAATGGGGAAAGGATTCCCTATTTAATAAATGGTGCTGGGAAAACTGGTTAGCCATAGGTAGAAAGCTGAAACTGGATCCCTTCCTTACACCTTATAAAAAATTAATTCAAGATGGATTAAAGACTTAAACGTTAGACCTAAAACCATAAAAACCCTAGAAGAAAACCTAGGCAATACCATTCAGGACATAGGCATGGGCAAGGACTTCATGACTAAAACACCAAAAGCAATGGCAACAAAAGCCAAAATTGACAAATGGGATCTAATTAAACTAAAGAGCTTCTGCACAGCAAAAGAAACTACCATCAGAGTGAACAGGCAACCTACAGAATGGGAGAAAATTTTTCCAATCTACCCATATGACAAAGGGCTAATATCAAGAATCTACAAAGAACTTAAACAAATTTACAAGAAAAAAATCAAACCACCCCATCAAAAAGTGGGCAAAGGATATGTCTTCTCAAAAGAAGACATTTATGCAGCCAACAGACACATGAAAAAATGCTCATCATCACTGGCCATCAGAGAAATGCAAATCAAAACCACAATGAGATACCATCTCACACCAGTAAGAATGGGAATCACTAAAAAGTCAGGAAACAACAGGTGCTGGAGAGGATGTGGAGAAATAGGAACACTTTTACACTGTTGGTGGGACTGTAAACTAGTTCAACCATTGTAGAAGACAGTGTGGCAATTCCTCAAGGATCTAGAACCAGAAATACCATTTGAGCCAGCCATCCCATTACTGGGTGTATATCCAAAGGATTATAAATCATGCTGCTATAAAGACACATGCACACGTATGTTTACTGCAGCACTATTCACAATAACAAAGACTTGGAACCAACCCAAATGTCCATCAATGATAGACTGGATTAAGAAAATGTGGCACATACACACCATGGAATACTATGCAGCCATATAAAAGGATGAGTTCATGTCCTTCGTAGGGACATGGATGAAGCTGGAAACCATCATTCTGAGCAAACTATCACAAGGACAGAAAACCAAACACCGCATGTGCTCCCTCATAGGTGGGAATTAAACAATGAGAACACTTGGACACAGGGTGGGGAACATCACACACCAGGGCCTGTCGTGGGGTGGGGGGAGGGGGGAGGGATAGCATTAGGAGATATACCTAATGTAAACGATGAGTTAATGCGTGCAGCACACCAACATGGCACATGTATACATTTGTAACAACCTGCACGTTGTGCATGTACCCTAGAACTTAAAGTATAATTAAAAAAAAAAGAAAAAAGAAAAAAAAAAGAAAGGGAAAATATTGCCACCTCCTGTCAACAGGAGAAATAGAAAACAACTTATGGCATCTTTAATCAATCAAAATAACTAAAAAGTTAATAGAGAAGAAAATAATGACAAACTAACAATATTTAATTACCACCAAGAAAGGGAAAAGGGAGGGGAAAATACAGGAAGAACAGATCAGATAAGTAGAAAACAAACAGCAAGATGGTAGCCTTAAGCCCAATGAATACAGTAATTACAATAAATATAAATGGTCTAAACATGCTAATTAAAAGACAAAGATTATTTAGAATTATGCAAAATTAAATCCAACTGTATTTTGTTTACAAGAGACACAATTTAAATATAAGGGCACAAAAAGATGAAAAGTAAAAGAATAGGAAAAGATGTCATGTAGGTACTCACCAAAAGAACACTAGGGTAGCTATAACAATATAAAATAAAATGTTCTTTCAGACAAGAAGTACTGTAAAATATACGAAATATCTATTGAAGTGATCACATGCTTTTTGTCCTTTATTCTGTTAATGTGGTCATCGCATTTATTGATTTGTATATGTTGAACCACCTTGCACACAAAGGATAAATCTCACTTGATCATTATTTTAATGTGCTGTTAAATTCAGTTTGCTAGTATTTGGTTGAAGATCCTATTCATCTATGTTCATCAGGGGCATTAGCCTGTAATTTTATGATAGCATCCTCATCTGGCTTTGGTATCCAACTCATGTTGGCTTTGTAAATGAGGTTAGAAGTATGCTCTCCTCTTTAATTTTTTGAAAGAGTTTGAAAAGGGCAGATTATTATTTCTTCTTTAAATATTTAGTAGAATTCAACAGCAAGGTCATCAGTGAATTCAACAGTGAAGCCATCCTGGGCTTTTCTTTGACGGGAGGTTTTTTATTACTGATCCAATTTTCTTACTCATTATTGGTCTATTCATATTTTCTATTTCTTCATGATTCAGTCTTGGGAGGTTACATGTATCTAAGAATTTGCCCATTTCTTCTAAGTTATCCTATTTATTGGCTTATAATTGTTCATAGTAGTTTCTTATTATCTTTTGTATTTCTGTAGTATCAGTTGTAATGTCTCATCTTTCATTTCTGATTTTATTTATTTGAGTCTTCTTTTTTTTTTTTTTTGAGACACTTTCACTCTTGTTGCCCAGGCTGGGGTGCAATGGCATGATCTCAGCTCACTGCAACCTCTGCCCCCTGGGTTCAAGTGATTCTCCTGCCTCAGCCTTCCGAGTAGTTGGGATTACAGGCATGTGCCACCATACCTGGCTAATTTTGTATTTTTAGTAGAGACGAGGTTTCTCCATGTTGGTCAGTCTGGTCTTGAACTCCCGACCTCAGGTGATCCGCCCACCTTGGCCTCCCAAAGTGCTGGGATTACAGGCGTGAGCCACTGCACCAGGCCTACTTTTACATTTTTGTTTATTTATTTATTTATTTATTTACTTTTAGAGATGTAGTCTCACTATGCTGCCAAGGCTGGACTCAAACTCTTGGGCTAAAGTGATCTTTCTGCCTCAGTCTCCCAGGTAGCTGAGACTACAGACGTGTGCCACCACACCTGATTTTCTTGTTTTTATTAGTTAGTCTAGTTAAAGATTTGCCAATTTTGTTTATCTTTTCAAAAACCCAACTCCTGGTTTTGTTGATCTTTTCTATTGTTTTTCTAGTTTTTATTTCAATCATTTCTGCTCTAATCTTTATTTCCTTCCTTCTGATAACTTTGGTCTTAGTTTGTTCTTCTGTTTCTAGTTCCTTGAAGTGTAACATTAGGTTGTTTGAGATCTTTCTTGTTTTGTGATGTAGGCATTTATTGCTATGAAATTCCCCTTTAGAATTGCCTTTGCTGCATCCCATACGTTTTGGTATGTTGTGTCTCCATTTTGTTTGTCTCAATATATTCCTTAATTTACCTTTAAAGGTCACATATGACAAGCCCACAGCTAACATCATACTCAATGGTGAAAAGTTAAAAGTTTCTTCTCTAAGATCAGGAACATGGATGCCCCTGCTTACTACTTGTATTCAACATGGCACTGGAAGTCTCAGCCAGAGAAATTAGGCAACAGAAAGAAATAAGACATACAAATTGAAAAGGAAGATGTTAAATTGTCTCTGTTTCCAGATGACATGATCTTATATACAGAAGACCTTAAAGACTCTTATCAAAAAACTGTTAAAAATAATAAGCAAATTTAGTAAAGTTACAAACTCAACATACAAAAATCAATGGTGTTTCTATAAACCAAAGATAGAAAGTTCACAAAGGAAAAGTAAAACTGTCATCATTCAAAGATAACATGACTAAGAAAATCCAAAGGAATTTATAAAAAAGCAATTAGAGGCCAGGCACAGTGGCTCATGCCTGTAATCCCAGCACTTTGGGAGGTCGAGGCGGGCGGATCACGAGGTCAGGAGTTCGAGACCAGACTGACCAACATAGTGAAATCCCATCTCTACTAAAAATACAAAAATTAGTCAGGTGTGGCGGCACATGCCTGTAATCCCAGCTACTCGGGAGGCTGAGGCAGGAGAATCGCTTGAACCCAGGAAGCGGTGGTTGCAGTGAGCTGAGATCACATCACTGCACTCCAGCCTGGGTGACAGAGCAAGACTCCACCTCAAAAAAAAAAAAAAAAAAAAAAAAACATGGAGAGAAATTTAAGATCCAAAGACATGGGCCAGCTGTGGTGGTTCATGCCTGTAATCCCAGAACTTTGGGAGGCCAAGGTGGGTAGATCACTTGAGCTCAGGAGTTAAGAGACCAGCACGGGCAACACGGCAAGACACCCCATCTACAAAAAGTACAGAAAGTATCCAGGCATGGTGACCCATGCCTGTAGTCCCAGCTATTTGGGAGGCTGAGGCAGGAGAATTGCTTGAACCTGGGAGGTGGAGATTTCAGTGAGCTGAGATTGTGCCACTGCACTCCAGCCTAGGCAACAGGGTGAGACTCTGTCTTAAATAAACAAATAAATATACACAAATAGACCAATGCAACAGAATAGACACTATAGAAACACTTTACATATATGATTACATGATTTAAACAATGGCACCACAGCAATTCATTGTGAAAAGGATGGTATTTTCAAAGGTATTTGATCAGTTGGATATCCATAAGAAAAAAATGAACTTTGTACCTCTAAGTATACACAACAATTAATTTGAGATGGATACTATATATCAATCTGAAACTAAAGCAATTAAGCCTCTAGAACAAACATAAGGAAAATATCTTCTGACTAGGTTAGACAAAATTTCTTAAACAGGACCCAGAAAGCACTAACCATGAAGAAAAAGTGGTGGCTGGGCATGGTGGCTCACCTCTGTAATCTCAGCACTTTCGGAGGCCAAGGTGGGAGGACTGCTTGAGGCCAGGAGTTCAACACCAGCCTTGGCAACATACCTAGACCCTGTCTCTACAAAAAATTAAAAAATTAGCCAGGCATGGTAGTGCACACCTGTAGTCCAAACAGGAGGCTGAGGCAGGAGGATTGCTTGAGCCCAGGAGTTCAAGGTTACAGTGAACTGTGATCATGCAACTGCACTCTAGCATGGGCAAAAGAGTGAAACCCTATCAAAGAAAGAAAAAAAAAAGAAAGAAAGAAAGGAAAGAAGGAAAGAAAGAGAAAAAGTCACAAATTGGACTTTATTAAAATTAAAGACTTCTTTTCATTAAGAACATCTTAGAGGAACGAGGCAAGCCTGGGAGAAGATATTCAACACATATAGTATTTAACAAAGGACTTGCATTCAGGATGTATGAACTCCTCCAGAGAATACTTATAACGTAATAGTACAGGTAATAGATCTTGGCGGTTTGAAGATGGAGAGGAGAGGTAAAGAAAAGGGTAGGGATACTTTGTTCTCATCATATATAATGGGAAGTCAAGTGATTCTATGTCAGCCTGATGGAACAAGAAACTAAGACTTAAATATTCTTTAAACCAATAAGGTAATAAAATAGAGGAATTAAAAAAAAACATGATGATACTGGGAGGGGAGATAAGCAGGGCTGTGGAGGGTAAGTAACCTACCCTCTCAATTATCTTTGCAGAAAGCCAACAGATTACTTCTAAAGTTAATAAAAGATAATTGTACACGCACATTATTTAGAAGCATGGAAGTAACTACTAGAAGATCTACAATAAAAATAGTTAAAAATGGGCCAGGCGCGGTGGCTCACACCTGTAATCCCAGCACTTAGGGAGGGAGAGGTGGGTGGATCACTAGGTCAGGAGTTCAAGATCAGCCTGGCCAAGATGGTGAAACCTCATCTCTACTAAAAATACAAAAAACTCAGCTGGGTGTGGTAGTGGGCGCCTGTAATCCCAGGTACTCGGGAGGCTGAGGCAGAGAACTGATTGAACCTGGGAGGCGAAGGTTGCAGTGAGCCGAGATTGCACCACTGCATTCCAGCCTGGGCAACAGAGCAAGACTCCATCTCAAAAAAAGAAAGTTAAAAACGGTTGCTTTTAGTGTATGAGGGTGAAAGAAAGTAGGATGGGGTAAAATATTTATTTTTCATAATAAATTATTCTATATTACTTATTAAAGAAGTACTCATGTTACTTTGATTAAAATATTTAATTTTTTAAAATCCCTACATTTAC
The DNA here is from genome assembly GCF_000001405.40 of Homo sapiens. Taxonomy (NCBI): domain Eukaryota; kingdom Metazoa; phylum Chordata; class Mammalia; order Primates; family Hominidae; genus Homo; species Homo sapiens. Next base: position 108,457,809 of record NC_000011.10, read on the forward strand.
ATTACTATAACTATGCAAATAATTCACTTCTACAGCCAAGCAATGTGCTAAAACTATGCATCCTTTTTTTAGAAGTCACCCACTTGACTGTATCTAGAATCAAGATGCTGTGTCTAGAATCAAGAGCAAATGTATTCTCTTCACATCTTAGAACAATTTTAATCTGTCATATCTGAACCATGACTTTCACAGTTAGCTCTTTTTCAGAGTTTCTAACCTCTTTTTTCTAAATCCAGCCTCTGTCATACTTTCTATTGCATGGGGTACCATTTTCCTCCCATATATAACCCTCTTAGAGGCACTCAATATCCTGATCTAATTTAAATTTATTACTATTTTTGTTTTCTTCAGGTTCTATCTTTTTTTTCTTTCTTTTTCTTTTTGTTTTGACATTATTGGTTTTCCCTAAAAGTGAACCTTGGGTGTGGTGGCACGTGCCGGTATCCCACCTACTCGGGAGGCTGAGGCACGAGAATCACTTGAACTGGGAGGCGCCAAAATTACACCACTGCATTGCAGCCTGGGAGACAGAGCAAGACTCTGTCTCAAAAAAAAAAAAAAAAAAAAAAAGAGGTGGTTGGAGAAGATCACCAGACAGGAAGTCTAGCTTCTGGTCTTTGTTCAGAGTCAGCATGGTCTTCAAAGAGGGTTAGATGCTCAGGCCAGCCTCTCAGGATCAGCACAAATCATGCAGTGGTGAACAGACTTGGGTGTCGTTTCCCCCAGGTGTGGGTGAAATTCCTAGACTAGACCAGATATCATTGGGTAAAAGGTGTGCCTGTTTAACATTTGGATAAATATCACTATTGTCCAACATACAGAAGTTTCTGTCCACACCACCTCCTCTCAGAACAAGAATGCCTATTTCCCCATGCCCTAACCAACTCATATTTTTAAGTATTTTATTAATTTTTTGACTAGGTAATGTTTGCAGATGGCACAAAATTTAAAAAAGTAGGGAAGGGCATGCAGTGAGAGGTCTCCACATTCCCGTCACAGCCATCCCAGTCCTGTCCCCAGAACCACAAACTTTGATCTCAGCCTTTCTGGTAAATGGAAAGTGGTATCTCACTCAATAAATCTCACAATTATGTGGGAAAAAAAAAGTGAACCTTGGTTGTCCATTAATACTTAAGAATGAAAGTCTGTGTCAGTTTTTCTAGGCGCTAGTACGAGTATCTTTTGTTAGTATTCTGTCTACCCAGTGTTCTCACTCAGGAGTGGGAAAATTGCCTGGGGGCTTCATGACATGAGTGGAGTAAGTAATTACCAGGCTTTCTCTAATGGGTATCGTCAAGTAGCCAGCTATTAAGCAGGGTGTCTCTCAAATACCAAAATTAAGAGGCAACACAACAAAATTAAGAGGGTTTCACTGTGGAATGCCAAATTCATGCTAGAACTAGCTTTCTCAGATAGTTCATTTGATTTTTCATTTTTCATTTTTTTTTAAAAAAGAGATAAGACTCCAGGGTTTCTTTGTGTCTTTTTTGCCTAATAGTATGTATCTGTCTACAAGCAGATTTGTGACTAGCAGTAAACATCCACCTACCTGCAGCTCTTGGTCTGCAAAAGACTGGAGACAACTGGCACAGCTGCCCCATATACAGACCTTCAATTAACCCCTGTCTTCAGTCCTTCTCCTTCCAGCTCTTTTAAATTGTTAACTCCAAATTCATATCCTCTCTGGGGTTCCAATGGCAAACCAATTCCCTCATTGGAACCCCTATGAAATGTGTCTAGGCAAGTGTTTCTACAGTTTTTCCAAAGGATGCTATCATCTATTTTTAGTTTTCCAAAAATTAGATAAAATTTTTATCTGCTCATGAACCCCCTTCTCTTTGTTATGGATTAACCTTCTACACAGTGTCGTTTCAATGGGGTTCTGGAGAGATAGAAGGTGAAAATGTGTCCTCCGTCTACACACACACACACACACACACACACACACACACACACACACACCTCTTTATTTACATGGCTTCTCTGCTGAAGCTCCTTCAAGGGCAAGGATGTATTCTGAAATGCCTAGCACAATGTCAGGAACACAACAGCTAGTCAAAGGTGTGTGGCTGGTTGGATGTGAGAGAAAATAGCTGCAAACGATAGAAAAGCTTACGCCTAGATGATGTGTATGTCAATCAAAACCAACTAAGGAAGAATAAGTTTTAAAAGAAGATTAGCTGGGTATAACAGTGCTCGGCTATAGGGCAAGTTACTTGGGAAGCTGAGGTTGGAGGATCACTTGAGCCCAGGAGTTTGAGACCATCCTGGGCAACATAGTGAGATCCCTGTATCTTAAAAAAACACATATTATTTTAGTGTTAGAAATCAACATAGTTATACCCCAGCATAGGTTTTATGGCCTTGGTAGAGGCAAATAATGAAGCAACTTTACAAAATGGGATTAACTGATACAAAGGTGGTCTTGTAAGCCATAAAACCTTTGTATCAGTGTGTGCTAGAAACAGAGCCATATTACTTCACTTAAAATTACCAGGCACAGAGTCCTGCTGCTATCAGAGAGAAAAGAGTGAGGTCATTTTACCTCTTGGCTCTCACCCAACCAGATAATTCAACTTGGAATATTCCTTACACCTATAAGACCAGCTCTACCCTTATAAAAGCACAAGTGACCACGACATTAACCCGGATATAGTGTATTATTAATAAACTTGAAGCTCCTCGAGAATAAGTACTCAATAAATATTTAATGAGTGGCTATATTCCTAACATCTGCTCACAATGCTGGTTCCTCAGTCAAGAAATAAAGTGTTGAGAGGTGAAAGGCAAATAATCTTATTAATGATACTTTCATTGATAGCCATTATAAAAGTGCCTGGCCCAGATCAGGAACTCAATAAATATTTGTGCAGCTAGTGAAATAATTGTAACTTTTTGAAATGTTAAAAAAGTCTGCTTTGTTGTTGTTGTTGTTGTTGTTGTTGCTGCTGCTGCTGCCCAGGCTGAAGTGCAATGGCGTGATCTCGGCTCATCACAACCTCCGCCTCCCAAGTTCAAGTGATTCTTCTGCCTCAGCCTCCCGTGTAGCTGGGATTACAGGCATGCGCCACCACACCCAGCTAATTTTGTATTTTTAGTAGAGACAGGGTCTCTCCATGTTCGTCAGGCTGGTCTCAAACTCCCGACCTCAGATGATCCGCCTGCCTCAGCCTCTCAAAGTGCTGGGATTACAGTCGTGAGCCACCACGCCCGGCCAAAAAGTCTGCTTTTTAAAGTGAAGAATGGCACACAATTCTGCAAGTATACTAAAAGCTACTGAATTGTACACTTTATATAAAAAGTATTGAACTGGCTGGGTGCAGTGGCTCACGCCTGTAATCCCAGCACTTTGGGAGGCCAAGGAGGGTGGATCACCTGAAGTCAGGAGTTCGGGACCAGCCTGGCCAACATGGTGAAACCCCGTCTCTACTAAAAATTCAAAAATTAGCCAAGCATGGTGGTGCACCTGTAATCCCAGCTACTGGGGAGGCTGAGGTGGGAGAATTGCTCAAACCTGGGAGGCAGAGGCTGCAGTGACCCAATATCATGCCACTGCACTCCAGCCTAGGCAACAGAGAGAGATTCTGTCTTAAAAAAAAAAATTGAACTGTACACTTTAAATTTTATGACATAAAAATTATATTTCAATAAAACTTCTAAATAAACTCACAAGGAAACTTTTCCAGGCCTGCTGAATGACTCTGGCAGCCTTATCCTGCTTTGTAAATTCTGATTCCTCTTTCCAAGGCATTTGAAATTCCTAAAAGAAAATGAGCAAAAAGGGTACATTTAAAATAATTTTAATTTACTTTCATTTTTATTTATTTATTTTTTTTAGAGACACATTCTTGCTCTGTCACCCAAGCTGGAGTGCAGTGGTGCGATGATAGCTCACTGTAGCCTCAAACTGCTGGGCTCAAGTGATCCTCTTGCCTTAACCTCCTAAGTAGCTGGGATTGTAGGCGTGCACCATCACACCTGGCTTTCTTTTTTTAATTATTATTTTTTTGTAGAGATGGGGTCTTGCTATGTTGCCCAGGCTGGTGTCAAACACCTTCTGGCTTGGCCTCCCAAAGTGCTGGGATTGTAAGCGTGAGCCACCGCGCCCAGCCTAAAATTATTTTATATGCTCTATTATAAAACTACCACTAGAACTCAATGAAAATTAAATAGAGTTGTATAAATAAAACAATTAAAATAAGATTTTGTATCAAAATAATAAAAATAAAAATAGTCACCTTCTTATTTTTTAAGAGACAGAGTCTTTCTCTGTTGCCTTGGCTAGAATGCCATGGCAGGATCATAGGTCACTGCAGCCTTGAACTCTTAGGCTCGATTGCTCCTCCTGCCTCACCCTCCTGAGTAGCTGGGACTACAGGCACATGCTACGATGCCTAGCTAATTTTTAAAATTTTTTGTAGAGACAGGTTCTTGCTATGTTTCCCAGGCTGGTCTTGAATTCTTGTACTCAAGCGATCCTCCCACCTCTGCCTCTGAAAGTGCTTGGATTACAGGCATGAGCCACTGCACCAAAAGTAGTCAGCAATTATTGGTGATTTAATATGTTCTAATTTGTATATTTTTTTCTAGTTCCAGCAACAACCCTGCATAACAGATTTTGCTAATATGCTTGTGTTAGAGATGAGGAGCCTAGGCTTTAAGGCCTAAGGTCAAATAGTGAGTAACTAAACCAGTTATTGAATTCAAGTTTATCTTGAAAGTCCATGACTTTTACATACCCTGTTGTATGACTTCAAATAAACCTTTCTTAACGTGCATAGAGACAGAGTTGCATCCACAAAATTGCGCAGGTCCCTAACCTAAAATTAGACCTTATGTGGTCAAATATAAAAGGAAAAAAAGGTCATGCACTGAATACAGGGAGAAACATGGATTTTTACTTAGTCTTAAGAGTTATTAATACTTCACAGAATAATGTCACTCATTACATTTACAGTAGCAATATGGTTCTGACATGCTTTATCATAATCCAAAGTGAACAAATTTTGCTTAAAAGCTTAAAATTCTGGGCTGAATATAGTGACTCATGCCTGTAATCCCATGGTTTTGGGAGGCCAAGGCAGGAGGATTTCTTGAGGCCAGGAGTTCAACACCAGCCTGGGCAATATAGCGAGACCCCCATCTCTACAACAACAGCAACAACAACAAAAAGCTGGGCAGGTTGGCACATACTGTAGTCCTAGCTACTTGGGAGGCTGAAACAGGAGGATGGCTTGAGCCCAGGAGTTCAAAACTGCAGTGAGCTATGATTGCACCACTGCACTCCAGCCTGGGCCACAAAATGAGACCATGTCTCTAAAAATAATAAAAATGTAAACTCTGAATTGGTGCATGTAAAATGCAAAACGTGTAAGGATTTACAAATCCCAAAGCCCTGACCTATTTAAACATATAACATACATCTACTAATGTTTAGAAAGACAGAGGCTAAACAGAAAACTTTCAAAAAGGATACGCCATTCATAAGAAAAATGTATTTATATATTTCTCAACTTGCCATTTTTCCCTTTTGACGTTTAAAGTTATTCAGATGCTTAAAACTAAAGGTGTTTTCTTCCTAATTTGGTAAATTGTTGTTTTTTAAATTCACATTTTTAAGAGTTGGGAGAAGGTTCGCTATGAAAAAAACTTATGTCTTTTTTGCTTTCCCTACAAATAGCCTTATTAATATAGGAGGCATGGGAAGACAGGTTAAGTCTTTGGACTCTGAGGCAAGATAGACCAGGGTTTAAATCTCAACAAATTCTACCTCATTCTTAGCTGCATGATTTTGCCGAAGTTACTTAACTCACTCAAACTTCAAGTTACTCATCTGTAAAATATGGGGACTCATTGTACCTAACTCATAGAATTGTTAGGATTAAGTCAGATAACACAGGTAAAGCATTTAGTATAGTTTCTGACCCACCATAGCCACTCAATAAATCATATTATTATAATACAAACTATTTTCCAAAATAAAAACTATTCATGTGCATTATTCCAGTTAGGAAACTGAGATAACATTTTAAGTACAATTATTCTCTTAATTTACAAATAACTGTTAGCACAAATGAGATTAAGGAATGATATTTCAGGCCTAAAAGATTTGTTAATTTTTTTTTTTTTTTTTTTTGAGACAGAATTTTGCTCTGTCACCCAGGCTGGAGTGCAGAGACATCATCTCAGCTCACTGCAACCTCCACCTCCCGGGTTCAAGTGATTCTCATGTCTCAGCCTCCTGAGTAGCTGGGATTACAGGTGTGTGCCACCACGCCTGGCTAATTTTTGTATTTTTAGTAGAGACAGAGTTTCACCCTGTTGGCCAGGGTGGGCTCGAACTGCTGGCCTCAAGAAATCCACCCGCCTTGGCCTCCCAAAGTGCTAGCATTACAGGCATAAGCCATTGCGCTCAGCGGCAACAATTTTTGTAGGATAGTTTTTACAAGTGGAATTGCTATGACAAAAGGTATGCACATATATATTTCTGTTTTTTGTTTGTTTTCTGAGACGGAGTCTCGCTCTGTCGCCAGGCTGGAATGCAGTGGAGCGATTTTGGTGCACTGCAACCTCCGCCTCCTGGGTTCAAGCGATTCTCCTGCCTTAGCCTCCCCGCGATTTCCACTCACTGCAACCTCCGCCTCCCGGGTTCAAGTGATTCTCCTGCCTCAGCCTCCCAAGTAGCTGGCACTACAGGTGTGCACCACCGTGCCCAGTTAATTTTTGTATTTTAAGTAGAGATGGGGTTTCACCATGTTGGTCAGAATGGTCTCCATCTCTTGACCTCGTGATCCACCCACCTCGGCCTCCCAAAGCGCTGGGATTACAGGCATGAGCCACTGCGCCTGGTGCACATATATATTTGAATTGACTCTCTCTGGAAAGGGATATGAGAAATTACTAAGAATGATTGTCTCTAGGAAGGGACCTGTGGACTGAGGAGCCTGGGTTCGGAAAGGGAAGAGATGTTTTTGTTCCAGTATACTCTTTTATGCTGTTGGTATTTTTCCACAATGTGCATTTAGTTCAGATATATACAATATAACTTCATTAAAAAAAACAGCGTGCATATTGAAACCTAACACTGCCAAACTGTCCTCAAAAATGGTGTCTAATTTATGCCCATAAACATTCTATGGGAATGCTTGACTCTAAATTTTAGAAAAGTAAAAAACTAAACGTAAATTAGATATTAGGATTAAAATGGGTCTTTTAATACTTTCCAAGAACTAAACTGTGAGATTTTTTACCTGTTATCAATGTAGTGTGTGTGTTATTTAACGTGACAGCATTAGCATTAATTCATCACAATTTCATCATTTTCCCAAATACATTCCCAATTTTGTAGGTGGAAATTTAACACTGGATCTTAAAAATCCCTTGAAAATCCTGAACCAGTTTATTGAATACTTTGATCTAAATAATTTTACACGGGCTTTCTGCATACACCTGCTTCCTGCTTCTCTAGTGACATAGGCTAAAGGGTGTTTAGAAGCTGCCAAAAAAGTATGTCATAAATGCCACCATTATATGTTTATGAATACACAAAATATAGAGGAAATATATTCCAGCATTCAAAATTATCTGATTCAGAAATAAACAATGAAGTTCCACAATTTCAAGAAAGAACATATTCAATTGTGTCAAATATTGTTGCAAGGGCAAGTAAATACAGAGGAAAAAAAGGGAGATTTGGCCAGATAAAGTCACTAGTGACTGTACAGGCACTGCTTCAGTGGAGTAAGCAGGGAAGGAAGTTTGGGTTGGGTTGAGGAAGTGGGAAAGTTGAGACAGTAAGTACAGTAGTAATTCTTTGGAGTGCTGTAAGGGAGCAGAAAAATGGGGTGTAGCTAGAGAGTGAGAATGGATTAAAGGTTTTTTTTTAAAAAAAAAAGGCTGGGCGCGGTGGCTCACGCCTGTAATCCCAGCACTTTGGGAGGCCAAGGTGGGCGGATCATCTGAGGTTGGGAGTTTGAGACCAGCCTGACCAAAATGGAGAAATCCCGTCTCTACTAAAAATACAAAATTAGCTGGGTGTGGTGGCGCATGCCTGTAATCCCAGCTACTCAGGAAGGCTGAGGCAGGAGAATTGCTTGAACCTGGCAGGCGGAGGTTGCGGTGAGTCGAGATCATGCCACTACTCCAGCCTGGGCAACAAGAGTGAAACTCGGTCTAAAAAAAAAAAAAAACAACAACAACAACAAAAAACGACAGATTCTAAAGCATGTTAAAATGTACCATCCAGTAGTGAGGGAGAAATTAAAGTGACGGAGAACTTAAAGGGGCAAAAAAAGGGATAAGTTAAATGGTAAAACCTTTGAGTAGGTGTAAGAGGACACCATCTGGAGCAGAAAGGAGGGTGGGACCGTTGCTGGCTTTAGATAAGAAATAAGATCGACTTTATATGGTTATTATGATGCTCCAGATAAAATAACCATTGTGAAAACCCTTCATAAGTTTTAAGATACTAAAATGTACTACCAGGCCGGGTCTGGTGGCTCAGGCCTGTAATCCTAACATTTTGGGAGGCCAAGGTGGGCAGATCACCTTAAGTCAGGGGTTTGAGACCAGCCTGGCCAATATGGTGAAACCCTGTCTCTAGTAAAAATACAAAAATAAACTGGGTGTGGTGGCGCACACTTGCAGTCACAGCTACTCGGAAGGCTGAGGCAGGAGAATAACTTGAACCCAGGAGGCAGAGGTTGCAGTGAACTGAGATCACGCCACTGCACTCAGCCTGGGCAACACAGCGAGATGCCTTCTCAAAAACAAACAACAACAAAAAACTAACCAAATAAAATGTACTATCAAACAACTGCTCAGGCAATGAAGTATTTTACTACACCCATGTGCCACTTGTAGATTCACAGATAAGTATTTTCCAAGCTTATTATATCCCTAATCAATAAAATTTTTTATCATAATAGATGATGTTTTCACTTATTTATTTTTACGCTTCGTGGAAAAAAGCCCACAAGACGTGTTTGGATTCTTGGTTTCACTTTTAAAGCAGCAAACAATCTTTACTTTGCTTGAATTGGAACCTGTATACGTCCTATTTTGTTTCCTCTACTAAATTTATTGAATAAACAAATGATTCGCGTGGCCTTTATAAGTTTCGTAATTTCGCTTTTCCTTTTTACCTGTGGTCCTTGATGCTAGGGGCAGGAGAAGAAAAACTAACCTATTCTTTAAAAACGCGTTTCCCTTTTCCATCTCTAAAAAAACTGAAAAGACGTAAAACAAATGGGAGGGGGCAAAGGAAAGAAATGAGGAAAAATCTAAGGAAGATTAATGTGTACTTCCCGGTCAGCGGGAAGGTGGACGGAGTAATATCTTTGCGGAGGATTGGGGTGTGGGGATCTGTGAAGGCGCAGTATGAGCAGTAAGGACTTGTCAACCAGCCCGACGCAACTTCACCGAGGGCGAGGAAAGGAGCTCTGAGGAAGGGGTTACTCCCGGGCAGGACTGTAAACCAGCTGGAGGCCTCGCTGGGAGGGCTTTAGAGGAATGAAACGTCCTTAAGAGGGGCGGATGGGGAATGGTATCAAGGGTATGGGTTCTTTAGGGCCTTGAAACAACGAAGGCTCAAACCAGTGGGCACAAAGGCTACCGGAACAGTAGTACGCGCTGAGAGAAGGGACACTATTCCCTTCACCTACCAATCGCTGCTGGCCCGGGCGCCGCTGGACTCCTAGGTAACGTCGCAGGCGGAAATGACGTAACTCAATCCGTTCTGTCCCGCCCCATTGCCCTCCTAGCCCCGCCTTCTAGGCCCCGCCTTTCCTCTATTCGCGCTCTGACAAAGTGCAGGGGATATAGACCAACCGCTTGTGAAGGCTGCTGGTTCTGTTAGAAGCCCGCTTTCGATTGTCAGTGGCTTTGAGGCAAAGGATTTTGGAAGGGAAAGCAAAGTGATTGTCTACGAAGTTGGGCTTAGTATATAATAAAGCCCAGTCATTTCAACCAAGAACCTTAAAGATGTTGAGAAATATAATGAAATATTTTCTATTAATTTTTGTAAAATTTTTCTTGAGATAGGGTCTCAATCTGTGGCCGAGGCTGGAGTGCAGTGGCGCGATCTCGGCTCACTGCAGCCTGGAACTCCCCTGGCTCAGGTGATTCTCCCACGTCAGCCTCCCGAGTAGCTGGGACCGTAGGAGTGCACCACCACGCCAGGCTCATTTTTCTATTTTTATTAATAGTGGCGACAGGGTTTCTCCATGTTGTCCAGGCTGGTCTTGAACTCCTGGGCTCCAGCGATCCCCCCCTACCCCATCTCCCGCCTTGGCCTCCCAAAGTGCTAGGATTACAGGCGTGAACCACCGCGCCCGGCCTATTTAATTAGTTTAATTTATTCATTTGAAAATGAGACAACTGATCCTTCTAGCTATTTGACAGGTCTTGCTCAAGGTCAAAGAATACGTGACTTGCAGTCCAATGTTATTTCTAAATGTAAGCTCTTCAGCTGGTTAAGCTAAACTGCTTTAAGTGAAAACAGACGACCTCTTGAATGAGTTTTCAAATGACCTTAAATAATGCAAGCACTGCTTATCTAAAGCAAGTCTGACTTGCTTGAATTCTGAGTCTGACACTTTGGCAGTGCTTTAGTTGGTCACAGATTATTGCAATGTGAAAAAATCTTGTTCAGAACTGCCCAGTTTTGCTATGTTCGTCCTATGTTCATGCATGGAATATAATTTGTTTGTAAGGAAGATAAACTTTTAAGGAGGGAAAAGAAACACCTGAAGAGAAATTTCCCTGTATAATGAAAACATTTGTACAGAAAAAATTCTTGGTAGGTTAATTCAGTGACTCACTGAACTTCCAGAGTTCTTTAAAATCATCACAATCATAAGCAAGGGGTGAGCTTCAGTTCCTCTTTATGTAGTTGCCTTGATGCATTAATACACAGTAGTTATGAACAATAAACTGTAAAAATATAGTCATGGAAACATTATGTATATCTTAATTTTCAATCTAATAGAAACTGGGTTAAAAAATTTAAATTCAGGCCAGGTGTGGTGGCTCACACCTGTAATCCCAGCACTTTGGGAGGCTGAGGTGGGCGGATCACTTGAGGTCAGGAGTTCAAGACCAGCCTGGACAACATGGTGAAACCCCCTCTCTACTAAAAATACAAAAATTAGCCCAGCCTCCCAAGTAGCTGGGACTACAGGCGCCCTCCATGATACCCGGCTAATTTTTTGTATGTTTAGTAGAGACGGGGTTTTACTGTGTTAGCCAGGATGGTCTCAATCTCCTGGTGGCGCGCTGCCTGTAGTCCCAGCTACTCAGGAAGCTGAGGCAGGAGAATTGATAGAACCCGGGAGGCAGAGGTTGGTTGCAGTGAGCCGAGATAGCGCCATTGCACTTCAGCCTGGCAACACAGCAAGATTCCCTCTAAAAAAAAAAAAAAATTAAATTCAAAATTACACAACAATGTGAATGTACTTAAGTCCACTGAATTGTACAATTGAAACTAGTTAGAAGGATAAATTTATGTATATTTTACCACAATTTAAAAATTTTAAATTAAAAAACTGCAAAACTAAGCCAGTAAATAATTTAGAACAAAAATTCCTAAATGTACTGGATGAAATATAAAAATAAATTTAAGGTATACTGCTGTTTAGATATTATTTTTATTAGGTTGGTGCAAAAGTAATTGCGGTTTTTGTCATTAAACATACATAATTAAACATAATGGCAAAAACCGCGATTACTTTTGCATCAACCTAATAAACTGCATATTTTTAATGTAGTGCTTATCTGAATTATTTTAAAAAGTATTTACAATAGTTACTGTTGAGTACTTATGTTACCTCTAACCTGATCCACAAGAATTCAGCAATTTCTACATAACAGGCTAGAACATTTTCTTATTGCTCTAATACATGTAAAAATTGTTCAGTTCTTTAAAAGTATCTTTCTTTAAAGTAGCCACAAGGGATCATTAAGACTAGAAACTGTCAAGTGTTAGGTTTATTCATTTATATGTACCTGCTTAAATCTAGGAACAGTTTACTAAGACGCAGAACTCAGAAGAACTTCTGGGTGGTTTCACAGAAATCGTTCCTTCCTTCCTTCTCTCTTCCCCTCTCCACTTATTCTCTTCCTCTTCTTTTTCTCTCTTCTTTGTCTTACTACTATTATACAATATATCATATTATATTTATGAAATTAATATTCTTGCTTTCCACTTACAAGGCAAAGATTTTTCTTTATAAACCATGTGAAGACAAGAGATAAGGAAACAAAAATGAATTGGCATGAGGAAAGGGGAAATATCTGTAGTGCCGAGGGAGAAGAGTCACAATTACATGCCATTTTGCCTAGGGAGAAGAGTCACAATTATATGCCATTTCTTTCCTCTCTGCTTTGGCACTGGAGCAAACTCCAACAATAGGGGACTCCAAGGCTGTCTCCCGGATGTGAGCATGGAATCTTTTATAATTGTGGAAAATATGTCATGTAGTAGAAAACCACAATGTCACACATGAGGAGTGGGTGTGGGTCAAAGGCACAGGTCCTGCAGTGGTCCTAAAGGAGGCCAGAGGGACCTCCAACCAGGCATCAATCCTCTTGTTGAGGCTTAGCAGTTTGAAGAGGCTAGAGGAAGGGAGTTGGCACCTTTAGCTAATTCTTGGCTGAGAAATCTGTCCTCTTCACTACAGTGACTCTTGTTATGCCAGGGGACTGTTTGTCTTCTGTGTACCCTTGTTGTATTTTCTTTTTCTTTTTTTTTTTTTGTTTTTGAGATGGAGTCTCGCTCTGTTGCCCGGGCTGAAGTGCAGTGGCAGGATCTCAGCTCACTGCAAGCTCTGCCTCCTGGGTTCACGCCATTCTCCTGCCTCAGCCTCCCAAGTAGCTGGGACTACAGGCGCCCTCCATGATACCTGGCTAATTTTTTGTATTTTTAGTAGAGATGGGGTTTTACTGTGTTAGCCAGGATGGTCTCGATCTCCTGACCTTGTGATCCACCCACCTCGGCCTCCCAAAGTACTGGGATTACAGGCGTGAGCTACCATGCCTGGCCCCTTTTAGTATTTTCACCATCAACAAAAATAATGGTGCCAAGCTTAAATATTTTTTCTTTTCTTTTCTTTTTTTTTTTTTTGAGACTGTAACCACACAATGAGTTCTCCTTGTCTGCTGCCTAGACAGAGCCAATTTATCAAGACAGGGGAATTGCAATAGAGTTTAATTCTTGCAGAGTTGGCAGTATGGGAGACCGCAGTTTTATTTCTTGAATCAGTCTCCCTGAAATGTCAGGGATTGTGGTTTTTAAGGACAATTTGGTGGGTAGGGGATCAGAAAGTGGGGAGCTGCTGATTAGTTGGGTCAGAGATGAAATCAAAGGGAGTCGAAGCTGTCCTCCTATGCTAAGTCAGTTCCTGGGTCGGGGCCACAAGACCAGATAAGCCAGTTTATTGATCTGAGTGATGCTAGTGGAATCATCAAGTGCAGGGTCTGCAAAATATCTCAAGCACTGATTTTAGGTTTACAATAGTGATGTTATCCCCAGGAGCAATTTGAGGAGGCTCAAAGTCTGGCAGCCTTCAGATGTATGAATCCTAAATCATAATTTCTATGTTTCAGCTAATTTGTTAGTCCTGCAAAGGCAGTCTAATCCTCAGGCATGAAGAGGGCTTCTTTTGGGAAAGCGCTGTTACCATCTTTGTTTCAAAGTTAAACTATAAACTAAGTTCCTCCCAAGGTTAGTTTGGCCTATGCCCAGGAATAAACAGGGACAGCTTGGAGGTTAGAATCAAGATGGAGTTGGTTAGGTCAGATCTCTTTCACTGTAATGATTTTCTCATTTATAATTTTTGCAGAGGTGGTTTCAAGACAGGATCTTGCTCTGTTGTCCAGGCTGGAGTGCAGTGGCATGATCATAGCTCACTGTAATCTCAAACTCCTGGGGTCAAGCAGTCATCCCACCCCAGTCTACCAAGTAGTTGGGACTACAGGTGTTCACCACCATGTCCAGCTAATTTTTAAATTTTTTCTTTTGTAAAGTTGAGGGTCTCACTATGTTGCCAGGGCTAGTCTTAAACTCCTGGGCTCAAGTGATCCTCCTGCCTCGGCCTCCCAAAGTGCTGAGGTGTGAGCCACCGTGACTGGCCTTTTCTTTCTTCTAATGTTATTATAGATTTCTGCCCTTTAGGGACTGAGTGGTGATTTTGGTTCATTTACTCATGAAGACATAATAGAATCAAAATTAGACCAATGCAGTTACAGAAATACCAGGGCTATAAGTGGTTACAACCTCTTTCTTAAAAAACAAAAGGTATCTTTTTCAACTTTTTATTTAGAAAATTTATTTTATTTAAAAGGTATATATATACATAAGTCCCAAGATATAAAGTTCTAAACATAGATTTAAAAAGAGCAAAATGGAAAAAATATAAATATTTGCTGTTCCTGTTTATATCTTTTGTGCATTTATTGTCTTTTCTAAGGTTGGCATTTTTCTTTATTTTGCAATTTGATCCATACTTACAGTAAAAAAAAATCTAAATATTATAGAAAGGTATAAAGCAAAAAGTAAGAATTCCCTTCACTCCATCTTCTCCTCAGATATTGGTGAATCTCCTCCCAAACTTTCAACCACATAGATGCATTTTTGTTTTCAAACCAGAAAGCCATTAACACTAACTCTTTAAAGGCTGCGGCTGAATTGGCGAGATGAAGAATTATGTAGATTAAGGCTGCTGTCTCCCTATAGAATTTTTTGAGGGATTCCACCTTTTTTTAAAGCACATCCTTCCTGTTCCACACACTGAATCTGCCTGGTTTGTCTCAACTTGCTTTTAACTATTAGGCCTGTTTGGCAGAGGCAATATAAATTTTTAAAAATGTAAGATGTTTAAAATGCCATTAGCCTTTAGCACCTGGAATTTGAGGCAGAAAGGTATGAGTTAGGCAACCTTTCTTGCCATAATCCCAGTTTTGACAAGCCTCAAACACAATGTACAATATTTAAGACACAAATTCATTAGGTATGGGCTCAGGACAGCTTGCTCTTATTTAATACTTGCGTGCTTGTGGTTTTGCACAATGGATGGGTATTAGAGTTTGCCTTGGATACTTGGCATTGATTAGACTGTTCTGAAATTTGGTTATGCTTAGTCAAAAAATTCTGTTTATTGTTCTTCAGCAAGAATAGATGTAACCACTTTAAAAATAGTTACATTGTTTTCCAGATTAAGTAAATATTTCAGTTAGGAGAATACATATTTTTATTTTTATTTTCAGTTTTTGAGATGGAGTCTCACTCTGTCACCCAGGCTGGAGTGCAGTGGTGTAATCTCAGCTCACTGCAACCTCTGCCTCCCAGGTTCAAGTGATTCTCCTGCCTCAGCCTCCCGAGTAGCTGGGATTACAGGCAAATGCCACCATGCCTGGCTAATTTTTGTATTTTTAGTAGAGACGGGGTTTCACCATGTTGGCCAGGCTGGTCTCAAACTCCTGACCTCAAAAGATCCGCCCATCTCGGCCTGCCAAAGTGCTGGGATTACAGGCGTGAGCCACTGCAACCGGCCAGAGTACATATTTTAAAATTTGGAATGAGGATAGCTCTTGTTTTAGAACATGCACTTTAGTGAACTGAACCTTGGACTGATGGTTACAAGGAGTATGTAATGAGCTTTCAGGCTATGAGTCCTAAATCCTGACCCTGTCCTAAAAGAGAAAGGAAATTTCCAAAGTCTTCATCGTAGCAACGACACCCACTGAAATAGAAAAGTGGTGGAGTGAGGAATGGATGCTTGCCTTTGTTCTTGGCCTATTATTAGTGAATCCCAAGATAGCAGGCTTCCTGAAGATTGTTGTAGAGGTTTTCAGTGTTTTCAAGGATCCCCTTTTCAGCTTAAAAATAATGAATGCCTTTCACCTGACTACAGTTATCTTTCACCTATTCAATATAGAGATAATGAATGATGCCTATAGCATACCTTCATCTATGTTAATAACTGTATTGTCTTTGATGGGTATACAACTCAGATAGATTTGGAATTACTAACTTAAGGTACAATTTCTCCTTAATGTTGTCTCGGGCTTTGGCAAAATTTAGTTTAAAGGATATGAGTAGTGCTTTAAAAAATATTCCCTCCACAGTCTCCATGCCACCTTTAATAACAGAGTCATTCTCTTCTTCCTTAAATATCCTTATCAGACCTTCTAAAAGGAAGCTGTTATTAATGAAAGCCAAAAGCAGCTTGTAAGAGGAGAAATTATGCAGTGACGGGGGGCGGGGGGACAACCCTGAACAAATATTTTCTCTTCATAATTGGAAGTGGAAGAGAAAAAGTGAACAGGGGATAGAAATAAACCAATAAAATATGTAAACCAATAAATATGTAAACAGTTTTGCAGAGGCTGATTTATATTTTAGCAAGTCTCTCTATCGGCTATGATCCCCAAGTTTTCTTTTTAGAGAAACTATGATGCTGATAATAGCAGTTTTTACGCAAAAGATATTAATATTCAATGATATTTGGTAATGCTTGTTCAAATACAGGTTGAACATTCCTCATACAAAAATCTAAAATCTGAAATACCCCAAAATCCAAAACTTTTTGAGTGCTGACACCACCACTTGGGTCGCTAAGATAGTGACACCTTTGCTTTCTGACAGTTCAATGTATACAAACTTTGTTTCATGCACAAATTATTAAAAATATTATATAAAATTACCTTCAGGGTATGTGAACAAGGTATATATAAAATATAAATGAATTTTGTGTTTAGACTTGGATCTCATCCCCAAGATACCTCATTATGTACATGCAAATATTCCCAAATCTTAAAAAATCTGAAGCCTGAAACACTCCTGGTCCTAAGCATTTCAGATGAGGGATACTCAACCAGTACTGCTATATCCATCTACATATATAAAGCCACCGGGAGAACTAGTCCACTTGGTGCAGTCTTCTATACTGTCCTTCACAGCTTAGATTCAATCTTTCCTTAAAGTGTAGCCGGGATACACAGGAGTGTGATTCTGGGCTGACTCAAAGTTCTTCTCTTGAAGGCTTTTTCCTGTGGCACTGGCAGATGGCTGTGCTATCTTCTGGCTGAGGAACAAGTTCCATTCCATCACGTACTTCGGGTTTGCTGGACTGGCGCTCGGCATATTTCTGAAACGTGGGTTTAAAGGGAACTGAAAGGTTAGTTCACACTGCATTCTGTTGACTCCCCCACCCACTCCCATCCGCAGTCACGCCATCTTTTCTAGTTGCTGTGTGTCTGCAGACTAAAACCAAAGGTCTGGTTTATTCCAGTCCTAAAGTTACATTTTAACTTTAGCTATCACAGGCACTAGTTATAATTCATAATCTAGCAAGAAACCCCAATCCACAATTTTATGTGTTGGTTGGAAGCCTCTACAAAAGGGATGCCAAGCCAGACGTCCCTACCTGAAACAAACAGCAGCTCTCAGCATTTATTTTCCACTTGTTATTGAATAATTAACTTTGTTGAATACTCAAGCCAGCAAACAAACAAGATAACCATCTGAAAAGTTGGCAGTCTCACACATTCTTTCTTTTAGGCCTATAGTCACACGCATTTTTGAATGGCAACAGGTCTGTGTAATGTTCCTCCACTGTGGCCCTGAGTGAAATATTTCTATAAATGGAGTTTTTTTTGTTTTTGTTTTTTTTTTTTTTTGAGACACGGTCTTACTCTGTCACTGAGGCTGGAGTGCAGTGGCGTGATCTTGGCTCACTGCAGCCTCCAACATCCTAGGCTCAAGTGATCCTTACACCTCAGTCTCCTAAGTAGCTGGGACTACAGGCGCGTACCACCATGCCCAGCTAATTTTTTTCATTTTTTGTAGAGATGGCGTTTCACCATGTTGCACAGCCTGGTCTTCAACTCCTGGACTCAAGCAATCTGCCTACCTCAGCCTCCCAAAGTGCTGGGACTACAGGCATGAGCCACCCTGCCCAGACATAAATTGGATATTTCAATTCAATGATTCCATGTCCCTTTTGCTGTATATTCCTGGTACTGGACCAAATGCAACAAAATGTTGACACAGTAGATAAGCCTAATTAATATTTTAGAGAGAGAAATTCCTAACATTAAAATTGAAACTATTTGGGAGGCTGAGGCTGGAGAATCACTTGAGGAACCAGGGAAACACGGCAAGAGCTTGTTTCTAAAAAAAATAAATAAATTAGCTGAGTGTGGTGGTGTAGTCCCAGCTACTAGTGGGAGGCTGAGGTGGGAGGGGGGAAGAATCGCTTGATCCTAGGAGGTTGAGGCTGCAGTAAGCTGTGATCATGCCACTGCACTCCAGCCTAGGTGACCGAGTAAGAAATATATATATTTTTAGATGCATTTTGCTCTTGTTGCCCAGGCTGGAGTGCAGTGGTGCAATCTAGGCTCACTGCAACCTCTGCCTCCCAGGTTCAAGCGATTCTCCTGCCTCAGCCTCCTGAGTAGTTGAGATTACAGGCATGTGCCACCACACCTGGCTAATTTTGTATTTTTAGTAGAGACGGGGTTTGACCATGATGGCCAGGCTGGTCTTGAACTCCTGACCTCAGGTGATCCACCCTCCTCGACCTCCCAAAGTGCTGGGATTACAGGTGTGAGCCACTGCACCCGGCCAAGAAATTGTTAAAAAAACTGTTTAACGATTAAAGCTAGACCAACAGAGGGGACAGACCAATTTAAGGGAAGGAAGGGCTGCTTCTAGTAAATAGTGTAACTTATCATTTTTATTTTTCTATGAAAATGAAAATATGAGAGGGTAGTATCCACAAGCATCTAGGGAAATTTACTTTTACTATGCCTACAGAAAAATAAATTTAGGTTAAAAACAAGAACATAATTTCCTTTTTTTATTCTTCCTGTCTAGATTTTTCTGAGTAAAACTCAAGGTAGTTACTCAAAAGACCAATCCTCGGATTCCCAATAAACACTATACTTCAGGATTCAGCCCTAAGGTGTTAGAACTGTTATACATATTTCTCATTAGTTTGTTTGCTACAGCAAGCTAAATATTTGCATTCTGCCTTGTACTATAAAAGGCATGAATCTTAAGTATCAAGGAGAATAAGGAGGCGACATTTTGAGTAAAAAGGGATGTTAATGATCTCCAGTCCAACCATCTTGTTTTCCAAATAAGAAAAAATGTTTTTCTCTGAGGTTCCAGAACACCTACACTAGGAATTCAATAAAGCATTTAATAAAAGAGAGCACTGAGAAGATGGGAGGAGTTGCTAATCTATATTTGTGAGGGCTCCCAGCGTCGTTTTACATAATATGGAATAAAGATGAAAATATGGAGGCCACGGCTGGGCGTGGTGGCTCACACCTGTATCCCAGCACTTCAGGAGGCCAAGGCAAGGCAGATCACCTGAGGCCAGGAGTTCAAGACCAGCCTGGCCAACATGGCGAAACTCCGTTTCTACTAAAAATACAAAAATTAGCTGGGCATGGTGGCGTGTACCTGTAATCCCAGCTACTTGGGAGTCTGAGGCAGAATTGCTTGAACCTGGAAGGCAGAGGCTGCAGTGAGCTGAGATTGAGACACTGCACTCCAGCCTGCATGACAGAGTGAGACTTCATCTCAAAACAAACAAACAAACAAAAAACAAAAAAAAGGGGGCCACCAAATGAAGACTTAGCACTATCTTTCCCTAGGCAAGTGCCTTGGCTTAGCCAGTGGTCCATAGGCTTGACTGTGAGTCCTTCAGGAAGCCAGGCAGGAAGTGTACAGGCCAAGCGGGTAGTCTGAGGACACCCGACCCAGCAGTGTGGACGGACACTCTGAACTGACCTGCAGTACTTGGTAATAGTAGCAGTAAAGCCTGTGTGGCTGTAGTAGGTCCCTAGCCATCAACTGTCC
Organism: Homo sapiens; assembly: GCF_000001405.40. Taxonomy (NCBI): domain Eukaryota; kingdom Metazoa; phylum Chordata; class Mammalia; order Primates; family Hominidae; genus Homo; species Homo sapiens. The sequence goes on from NC_000011.10 coordinate 108,477,676, forward strand.
TTCTTTTGCAATCTTCTTGGCTTCTTCATCATTTTCCTGAAAGGTTAAAAAAAATAAAAATGAATGAAAATTACTACTGCGACCCACAAAGAGAGGGTTAAGTGTGAGGTGGGACAGATGTGGGGTTGAAAGTGAACAGCATGGGAAAGCCAGAACATAATGGAATTATAACTTAAGAATGAGGCTACAGGGGCCGGACATGGTGGCTCACACCTGTAATCCCAGTACTTTGGGGGCCCAAAGCTAGAAGATCACTTAAGGTCAAGAGTTCGAGATCAGTCTGGCCAACATGGTGAAACCCCATCTCTACTAAAAATACAAAAATTAGCTGGGTGTGGTGGCGGGTACCTGTAATCCCAGCTACTCAGGAGGCTGAGGCACGAAATTCCTTGAACCCGGGAGGCAGAGGTTGCAGTGAGTGGAGATCGTGCCACTGCATTCCAGCCTGGGCGACAGAGTGAAACTCTGTCTCAAAAATAAATAAATAAATAAATAAATAAACTAATAAATAAATAAATGAAAGAATGAGGCTACAGGAAGAGACAGAGTATTTTCCTAGACATCTCCGTTAAAGAGAAACGATCACATGTTTGGCCCCTCTTCCACAGTACTAGGAAGCCACTCCTTCTCCCCACAGTGCAACAACCCACATGCAGCCCCTATTGTGACCATCTTGGTACCTTCCTGGCCACCCAGGAAGTACTCTTCAGCTTCCGCATCTGTCCCACCAGCCTATTTCCTCTCTGCATAACAGGAGAATGAATCCGTTTTCACGTTACAACATCTTTTAAAAGCTCCATGCAAATACGCAGTCAACGTCAAAAAGTTGTGTTATAAAATGGTAGCTATAAAAGACTGTATTGCTTTTGTAACCGAAAAATTCAGTCATTAGTACCCACAGGCTGTTCATTCAGTACCAGAAATAGTCAGCGTTCCTAATTATACTTTTGGAAAACAGTTAATCTTCTACAATGCTGCCCGCAGGTAAGCCATTTGCAAGCAACTGAGGCTCTTATGAAGGGTCACAAAAGTGATTCTGCCTCAGGCGCCCAATTATTTCTATAACCATATATTGTTTCTTAGAATCTTAGTATAAAGTCTCATAATGGAAGGGTACATTTTTATAGCTTTATAATAAAACGCAACAGCTTTTTAATACTTTTCCTTTTAAAAAAGGAATTCCTATTTTATAGGAAACGTGATGCTTGCGTTGTATAACACGCATTCATTAAGAATTTGTGCCTTTTTTCTAACTGGGGATAAGAAAAGAGTACTGTAATTGCCTGAAATATTTTCTTGTTCATAAAGCACCTTAACTCTGGTCTTTCAGTCAGTAATTTGCATTTTGTATATTCTTGTTTGTATGTGTAAACATAGCATTTAGAAAATCTGTATTTTATATAAGGCTGGACTTCAAATCTTCTGAAAATCTTCAAAAATGTTGATAGAGGGTATGCAAAATGATTCTGATGCTGATTCTTTAGATATTTCAAGGGAACAGCAATTTCAGAAAATAATATTTCTTTTCATTCCATTATGTCAAATCAAATTGTATTGTGATGGAACTCATCTAACACTGATGAATTTGTTATTGCTTAAAGAAATAAAAATTGCTGGACGCATACCTTAGCCCATTTAACTTTCTCTAATAAATCACTCAGATTTCTTTTAATTGGAACATAATGCTTCCAAGGTTCTAGTGCCATGTAGAAATGTTCATAATATGGCGAGTCCTGCTTTAAAACCAGACTGTCGCCCAGCATGAGATATGGATATCTGTAAGCAGCCACGGTCCCATCCACATTTACTTGATACTTGTACTGGAAGATGAAAAACAAACATAAACAAACTTTCAGTAGTCATTTGCTTCACTTCTGCTCCTCATCAACACTGTAATACCAACTACAGAGGAATTATTTTCCATTTTCCAACTTTTTTGTGTTTAAAAGTTTTATTTTATAACTTACATCTTCTCTTTGTATAAAAATCACAAGCAGCATTTCTCAGATTAATTTTAAGAAATACATTGTTTAAAGGTAAGGTGCTAAATTTTTGGAAATAGGAGTGAAGACCTATTTCAATCATGTCTCTGTAATAATGGAATCCAGATTTCTGTAACAAGGTAGGAAAACTATTTTCTTTTTAAGTTTTAATTAATTATTATTATTATTTTTTTGAGACAGTGTATTGCTCTGTCACCCAGGCTGGAGTGTAGCGGCGTGATCTTGGCTCACTGCAACCTCCACCTCCTGGGTTCATACAATTCTGGTGCCTCAGCCTCCTGAGTAGCTGGGATTACAGGCACCCACCACTGCAGCCAGCTAACTTTTTCCTATTTTTAGTAGAGACAGGGTTTCCCCATGTTGGCCAGGCTGGCCTCAAACTCCTGACCTCAGGTGATTCGCCCGCCTCAGCCTCCCAAAGTGCTGGGATTACAGGCGTGAACCACTACGCCCAGCCAGGAAAACTATTTTCAAAATTCTTAAAGCTCAATACTGATAACAATGAACACTTTCATTTATTCATTATTTCATTTGTTCCTTATACGCAGTCTATGAAACAGGCAGGCATTGTCTCTATTTTACAGTTTTAGAGCTGAGGAGATAGAAACCTGGAGACATTTAAGGACTTGGGCAATGCTGGCAACATAGTAGGTAAGCTGTCTGCATATTTGTTGGGTTAATATACTTTGTTTTCCATTTCAAATGTAGTTTTCATAGGCATTAAACCTCATTCAATTAGAATAATCTGAAGCAGGTATTATTAACCCCTTCTTTTTGTTTTTACAAATGAGAAAACTGGTATTCAGAGAAATGTATAAACCTCATTCTCTGAGTCCAAATCCCCTGTTCTACTCATTGTATCACTCTGGGATGAAGAGGACACACTCCCAGATTTGGTAAATAAATTTTTCTTAAATAATTGGTACAAGGGAGTTTTTGAGCCCATCAGGTTTTGTCACATTGTTCACATCTCTCCTCTGGGCCTCGTGATAATGCTCTGAAGGAGTAGGCAGGCATCACACGGGTTTAAAGACCAAGGCACCAAGACAGGAAGGTCCCATAGTTGGTGGCAGAGGCAGGATTAGAAGCAGGCCTTGAACCCTAATCCCAACTCCCACTTTACATATATGGAATTTATGCTTTTTCTATTTATAAAAGACATTTGAGATCACTTTATGTAAAAGGTATTTATATTCCCAGTTTATGAAAGCAAATACAAAAAAAAAAAAGAAAGAAAAACGAGACATAAATATACCAAAATCCCAGGTTAATCCTTGTACTATATTTTGAGAATTAAGTACAGTTCTGAGCTATTTGGTAAACTTAACAATGAAAGAAGGAAACCACAATGGGTTTTGTAATTCCTGATATCTAATAAGAAAGTGTGAACATGTGTGTCAGTTCACAAGCCAGGTGAAATTTGCTGAAGCCCACCTATTTTGGTAGACTTTTAATACAATTTTATCGCTTCATATCCATAGAAGAAGACTCAAATGCATACCTTAAAGAAATCAAAGAAACCCATCAACTTGGCTTTTCCAAGCTCCTTTTCTTTCTCTTGGAAAAAGAAATATCCTGTAATTCCTGCATCTAGTAGCTGAGGATTTTCTTTGGACAGCTGTACCAACTGGAGCCTCTCCTCTCGGCTGTCTCTACCTCTGAAGAAAGCTCTCTCTGTTTTATTGATCCAGGAAGGCCCTACAAGTTTGAAGCCATAAAAAAATTAGGATTATGAATTTGACATTTTAATATGGCAAGCATAATCCTCTTTAATCTACCATTGTCATTTAAGATGCTAAAGCTCTTTTATCAACTCATCTTCTAAAGTAGATGTTATTTCAACGAAAATATGGGATTGAGTCTCAATTTGCCAGAAGCACTTTCAAGTTTAGAGTTTAAAAAAAACAGTCTTTTTATTTGCTGTATTATGTAAAAGAATGCTCTAATTTCATCCATTTGTCTGCTAGTGAAAGCTCACGCAAGTATTCGTGTATTCTGTTGTATAATACTAGGAAATACCTGAAATAATGTCGGACCGTGTTCAAAGCAAAAAAGAGATTCAGTGACTGGGTCCACTCACCAAGGCATTAGCTTCTTCCATTTTCTGTGTTTCACAATAAAACGTGAGCTAGCCCTTTGTTCTTACAAAGGGTGACCAGAAAAAACTATATAACTGAGGAACATCCACAAATCTTTAATCCCTAGGTTGGTCAGAATTTTCAGTACAAGACTTTTTCTAATATGCTACTGAATGCAAACATATATGTATAACCCACTCTGTCTCTAAGCTTTTTCTTCATTAATTAGCCTTGCATTTCCCTGAATACCTGTATTTCCCTGAATAGAGAGGAGATCATTTGTAACACCCCGCATGGCTTCAAGCATGGAGTGGGTGATGTCATACGTTGGAAGGACAACATCTCTTGAATCCAGAGAGCCACACCATGAAATGATAGGTATGGGGCTAGGGGTTCCATTGACTTTTCGATGCTCCAAGGGCCAATCTCCAAGATTAACATAAAATTCTAAATCTGGGAGAAGGACCTAAATAAACATATAAACAAACATCAGTGCTGGGAAGATCTCAGTCTTTGGTACTAAGTACAACAGTTCTTTGGTTTTCTTACATATTTTTGACAGGGCTAACCATTCAAAAACAGAGAAGAGAGAAGAATGCCTGTCATTGACAGGATGGCTGTGAATTTGTCACCTGTGAGGATCCTGCATGACAAATTCACTTAACCAGGAGTCAGCTACCTCTGTCCAGAGATGCATGTAAAATTCAGTGTTTGAGGCTGGGCGTGGTGGCTCACACCTGTAATCCCAGCACTTTGGGAGGTTGAGGCGAGTGGATCGTCAGGAGTTCAAGACCAGTCTGGCCAACATGGTGAAACCCTGTCTCTACTAAACTTACAAAAATTAGCTGGGCTGGTGGCAGGCACTTGTAATCCCAGCTACTCAGGAGGCTGAGGCAGGAGAATCGCTTGAACCTGGGAGGCAGAGGTTGCAGTGAGCCAAGATCGCGCCACTGCACTCCAGCCTGGGCGACAGAGCAAGACTCTGTCTCCAAAAAAATAGAAAAAGAAATAAAATAAAATAAAATGTAGTGTTAGAGAAGTGAAAATTGTGTAGAGAGGTAAGAATGAATAGCTTCGATAACCCTCTGCCAGCTGCCTAAGCAAGAGAATCTACAAAGTTAGAACCAAACCCTTGTTTTCCTTCACTGTCCCCATCTTTGCCTCATGTGCCCTTGCCTCTGGAACCTGCCAGTCCATTTCCATCTCCACGGTCAATGTCTCAGTTTAGACTCTCATCATTTCTTGCCTAGATTGCTGCAATAACTTCCTTACTAGGTGTTCTGATTCTGGGCTCTCCATACTGTAATCTGCTCTCCACAAGGCTGCTCAGATTTCCAAAACTAAAATTAATTCTAAAACTAAAATTTCTAAAATAACTTTGTTAATGTCACTACCAAGCTTAACAGAACCTTAAGCCTATGGCACAAGATCTCAACTCTCTGGCTGGCATTCAAGGCCTCACAATCTTGTCCCAGCTTGGCTATAAGCCTCATCTTTCATCTGCCCACCTACCAGGAAACCTTAGGCTACTCTCTGAAAATGCCATCCACCTCAACATGTAATTCCATTCACTTGGAATGTTTTACTTATTTAACTTGGCAGTCTCCTTTCTCATCCTCCAAGCCCAGATCTAACACCACCTCTTCTATGACTCACCCTCCTCAGGCACTTAAACCCTAGGTACTTAATTCTCTTGAGGCCTATCATCATATTGGGATATAATTATTTGTTTGTATTCACATCCCACCCCCACTTCCAAACAACAAAAACAAATCCCACTACAGTGGGCTACTCAGAGACTAGGACTGAGTCTCACTTATCTTAGATTTATTTCTTCCCCAGCCACTGGGCAAAGAACAAAAGGAAAGGGCAAGAGATGTGAATATTCACCCTCTTGCTTCCCTGTCATTATTATTATTATTATTATTTTGAGACAGTGTTTCACTCTGCCACCCAGGCTGGAGTGCAGTGGCGTGATCTTGGCTCACCACAACCTCTGCCTCTCAGGTTCAAGTGATTCTTGTGCCTCAGCCTCCCAAGTAGCTGAGACTACAGGCACGCACCACCACACCCGGCTAATTTTTGTATTTTTAGTAGAGATGGGATTTCATCTTGTTGGCCAGGCTGGTCTCAAACTCCTGACCTCAAATGATTCATCTGCCTCAGCCTCCCAGAGTGCTAGGATGACAGGTGTGAGCCACCGTGCCCAGCCTCCCTGCTATTATTTATAAACTCTTTAATAAACTCCACATTGGAAGTGCTCACTGTGGAGTAGGGTTTCTCAAGCTCATATTATTGACATTTGGGGCTGGATAATTCTTTGCGATGGGGTTGGGGGGTGCTATCCTTTGCACTGTAGGATGCTTACCCACTAGATGATAATAGCAACCCCTGAGTTGTGACAACCAAAAATGTCTCTAGACATTGGCAAATGTCCTCTGAGGGGCAAAATCATCCCTGGTTGAAATCTACTGCTATGAAGCCAGCAACATGGATTAAAGAGGCAAGAATACAGGGCACAGTTGACTAGTTGTAGCCCGGGAAGAGAGCACTACCTTTAGGAGCAGATGCCCATCACATGCTTGTATCCTCACATTGTGGGCTGGTGGTGGAGGGGTTGGGGACTGCTATTTAAAGTAAGAACTGACTGCAGCCACACAGTCAGCATACTTGGGGAATTGTATAACATATCAGGAAAACTGTGTTTTTTTTGGTTTATAAAACTCCCTTGGCCAGGCGCAGTGGCTCATGCTGAGCACTTTGGGAGGCCAAGGCGGGCAGATTACGAGGTCAGGAGTTTGAGACCACCCTGACCAACATGGTGAAACCCCTTCTCTACTAAAAAAACAAAAATTAGCCAGGCATGGCGTGCATCTGTAATCCCAGCTACTCAGAAGGCTGAGGCAGGAGAATCGCTTGAACCCAGGAGACAGAGGTTGCAGTGAGCCGAGATCGTGCCACTGCACTCCAGCCAGGGTGGCAGAGTGAGACTCCATCTCAAAGCAAACAAACAAACAAACAAACAAAAAAACTCCCTTTATGGTCTCTCTAAGTAAGAAAGATAAATATTGCCCACCTCCATCCTTCACCCTGTATGATCAGAAACAAGAACAAAAGGTGGTTTAAGTTGCTCTGCTTAAGAGGAATTTAGAGTTCTGCAAATGTGGAAAGAGAGGCTGAATAGTGAGATAAGGGGGCGCTATTGGGGGATGTGGGGAGCCTGAAAAACAGAGGGCCTAACCACATTAGTGAGAGGCTAAGAACTTAAGGTCAAGGACAGCCCTGAGAAATTCCCAGAGGCAAGTATGACTGAGAGTCTGATTAGTGCAGAGATGTCTATTTTTAAATATCAGGGTTTTTGTTTGTTTGTTTTTTAGTATGCACTGGTGAAAAAAAAAACAACCTGTTTCTGGTAGCCCAAGCTTTGACAAAATGTCCCATGCACGCTATCTTCTAGGTATGCTTAGGGTAAAACAAGGAAAATGTGTTCTAAGTTCAAGTCATTTTGAGGTGAAGAGAAGAAAACAGCTGCAGAAGGTGAAATCTAAGCAGGAGTAGTATTCAGCGGAACAGAGAACTTAAAGCGGCCTCTTGACATGGTTGTGCATGCCTATAGTCCCAGCTAGGATCAAGGCTGAGGCAGGAGGATGGCTTGAGCCCAAGAATTTGAGACCAGCCTGCTCAACACAGCAAGACCCCATCCCTATTTAAAAATAAATAAATAAATGAGACTGTTCTGTTTGGATATTGTAAATATAGACTATTTGAAAAAAAGAATAAGAAGTAACCTTGTTATAAATCTCTGGAAGCTCAAAGAAAGCTTGGGAGTGTCCTGTATGGCATACCTACCTGGGATGGGGGCTCAGCCACTTTATTCTATTTTATTTATTTATTTATTTATTTATTTATTTATTTATTTGAGATGGAGTCTCACTCTGTCACCCAGGTTGGAGTGCAGTGGCGCAATCTTGGCCCACTGCAGCCTCCACCTCCTGGGTTCAAGGGATTCTCCTACCTCAGCCTCCTGAGTAGCTGTGATTACAGGCGCCCACCACCACGCCCAGCTAATTTTTGTATTTTTAGTAGAGATGGGGTTTTGCCATGTTGGCCAGGCTGGCCTTGAACTGCTGACCTCAGATGATCCACCCGCCTCAGCCTCCCAAAGTGCTGTGATTGCAGGTATGAGCCACCATGCCTGGCCTCAAGCCACTTAATTTTAAATCTTACAGGAAAGTAAGATCCACAAAGATGGAGAACATGATGAACACTCAGGTTGCAAATATCTTAGATGCCCATTTCTCAGCCTGAAATCTGTTTCATCCTTTGTCATTATAATTCTAAACATTTAAATGTTATACCTAAATAATTAAACTGTATTATCAATTCATTCATTCTCCTACCTTTCTTGTCAATGATAACAAAATCTCATCAGAGAACATCTTGAAGTCTGTGTATTTCCCTAAAGATCTCCGGTAAACATGGTTATTGAGAATCGTGTAATGAACAATGGCACCTCTCTCATCCCCAAACCTTTTGGGGACTTCTTTTAGCATTTGCTGGAGATTGATGCTGGGAAAGGAAGCAAAATCTTTTGCAATCTGTGGTTCCTTGGTTGGACAAGAAAGAGTCTTCTGCCAGGCCTGAGGATCTTCCGGACACTCACAGTACTCATGGTACACTGGTCCTAGGGAAGGAAAACATGAAAAAGGCCGCACTCCATTAGCAAGCACCACAACACAGGGAGTCACTTCTGTCTCTGCTTCTTGGTGAATTCTAAGATTATCCAGAGATAATCTGCCCTAGACAAATCAGTGGTGTAAGTGATTATGTTAGAGTCCTACACTTTTACTTTCCTTTTCACACCACCTTGGATAAACAGTTTAGTATATGCCCTCTCCCAATCTAACCTACTCTCGGTCACTTAGCTCATAAATTCATCTCTAATAAGGTATAAATGGCTGGCAAACATGAAACAACTTACCTTTTAGCAAGGAGAAAAAGAACGTATTAATTTTTAGACATTATGTAAACCAAAAATAAAATTCTAAGCCTCCTAGACCGTCCAAATGGATCCCTCCTTTTGGCCAAGGGCATTCCAAAGTTAATCTGAAAAACTAGTTCGGCCACGAAGGGAAAGGGGAACCAGGCATGCCTCATTATACCCTCCTCCCTTTTGGAATTCAGGCCTAGCTGACCAGCATTAACATCAACACAAACTTTGTTGAACTGACTCTTTAAGTCTGATAAGAAACATTTGCAATCTCCTCTGTCGCCTGCTACCTGGAAGCCTCATCTGCATGATAAAATCTTGGTTTCCACAAACCCTTATCATAAGCCCAGACATTCCTTTCTATTGATTCTAAGTCTTTACACAATAACTTAATTCTTTCAACCAACTGCCAATCAGAAAACCTCTGAATCTACCTATGACCTGGAAGCTACCCCCAACCCCTCCCAACCACCCCCACCCCTTCCAGTTGTCCCTCCTTTCCAAACCAAACCAATGTACATCTTAAATGTATTGATTAATGTCTTATGTCTTACTAAAATGTATAAAACCAAGTTGTAGCCTGATCACCTTGAGCACAGGTTCTCAGGATGTCCTGAGGGTTGTGTCATGGGCCATTGGTCATTGAGTCTGAGAGATGGGGGAACAATAAGGTAAGCCCTACAATTCCTACAGCTTACTGCTTAAGGGAGCTTCGAGGCTGTAGTGCAGGGAGGGAAACTGTAGGCAAAAACAGGTAGTCTCACTGAATTGAATATTTGGCTCAGAATAAAGCTCTTCAAATATTTTAGAGTTGGACTCTCTTCTTTTTTCTTTCTTTCTTTTATTTTTGTTTTTTGGTGGCAGGGGGACAGAGTCTCACACTGGCTGAGACTCTGGCAGAGTCGCCCAGGCTGGAGTGTAGTGGCGTGATCTCGGCTCACTGCAACCTCCTCCTCCCATGCTCAAGTGATTCTCCTGCCTCAGCCTCCCGAGTAACTGGGATTACAGGTGTGCACCACCATGTTTGGCTAATTTTTGTATTTTTAGTAGAGACGGGGTTTCACCATGTTGGCCAGGCTGGTCTCAAACTTCTGACCTCAGGTGATCCACCTGCCTCGGCCTCCCAAAGTGCTGGGATTACAGGCGTGAGCCACCATGCCTGGCCATAAGTTTGACTCTTTTCATTGACAACAAGTAACAGGGACTGATGTACCACCCCACCTGAAACAACCAGAAAACACTCCCACAAAACATATGAAACAATAGTTTTTTGTTGTTTTTGTTGTTGTTTTTTTGAGATGGAGTCTCACTGTGTTGCCTAGGCTGGAGTGCAGTGGTGTGATCTCAGCTCACTGCAACCTCCGCCTCCTGGGTTCAAGTGATTCTCCTGCCTCAGCCTCCTGAATAGCTAGGATTACAGGCACTCACCACCACGCCCAACTAATTTTTTGTATTTTTAGTAGAGACGGAGTTTTGCCATATTGGCCAGGTTGGTCTCGAACTCCTGACCTCAAGTGATCCACCTGCTTCGGTCTCCCAAAGTGCTGGGATTACAGGCGTGAGTCACCGCACCTGGCCTTAAACAATAGTTTTTAAGGCACTAGGTATTAGGCAATGAAGGACAGTGAGTCTGAGAGATGGGGAACAAATAAGGTAAGCCCTACAATTCCTACAGCCTACTGCTTAAGGGAGCTTTGAGGTTGTAGTACAGGGAGGGGGACTGTAGGCAAAGCCAGGCAGCCTCACTGAGTTGAGGAGACAGAGCTGGCAGTCCAGGGAGACCAAGGCAGCTCTAGACTTTGTAGGACAGAGTATCTAAAAAGGAAGCACTGCACAGAGAGAACGTTAGAGATCTATAGAAGGTCCTCTTCACATATTGAGCAGAGCATATGATCAGTGCATTTTGGATGGGTTCTTCCCCTGTATTGATTCTAAAAATAATACAGTTTAATTATTTAGGTATAACATTTAAATATTTAGAATGATAATGACAAAGGATGAAAACAGATTTCAGGCTGAGAAATGGACATCTAAGATATTTGCCACCTGAGTGTTCATATGTTCTTGGGGAAGACAGGGGAAGAACCCATCCAAAATGACCAGAGAGAACAGTACTTATCGGTGGGTACCAGCCAGATTGGAAAGCCTCCTAATTCACAGGGCTTGGGTAAAGTATGCAGAAGGGTATTACCTCAGTAGCGGGGAATAATTAGCCCTAGACTACACATGGCTCTAGTCCCACCTAACAAACTGTAAAAGCAAAACTTGGAAGGATTAAACTATTTCCCAGTGATTTAACTGCACCCCAGAAAAGAGCTCAAGAAGATGAAAAAGCATCAAGAGGTGAAAACTACACTGTATAGGATTGACAACAGATCGTACATTGCAGAAGAAAAGAGAACTTAGAGACAGTAATAGAAACTATACGAAATGAAACAAAGAGAAAAAAGAATTTAAAAAATGAAAAGGGTATCGATGAACCACAGGATAGTTTCAAGCCCAATATATGGGTAATTAGTATCCTTGAAGGTAAGGTGGAATGGAACAGAAAACATATTTGAAGCAATAATGGCCATAATTTTTCTAAATTTGATGAAATTTAAATCACTTGGATGGTTTAAATTCCAAGAAGTTCCACAAATCCAAAACACAGGAAACATTAAGGAAACTGCACCAAGGCACATAATAATCAAACTTCTCAAAAGAACTGATAAAGAGAAAACCTTAAAAGCAACACAGATGAACAAAGATAAGGAAAATGCTAGATTTATTGTTAGAAGCAATGCAAGTGAGAAGACAGTGGAACCACATCTTTAAAGTATCAAAAGAAAAAAAACCCATCAACCTATAACTATAACTAGAGACAATGTCTTTTAAAAACAAAGGCAAACTAGGCCGGGCATGGTGGCTCATGCCTGTAATCCCAGCACTTTGGGGAGCCGAGGCAGGGGGATCACTTGAGTGCAGGAGTTTGAGATTAGCCTAGGTAACATAAAAAGACCCTGTAGAAACAAAAAAATGTTTTGTAGAAACAAAAAAATATTTTTTAATTAGCTGGGCATGGTGGTATGTGCCTGCAGTCCTAGCTACTTGAGAGGCTGAGGCGGGAGGTTTGCTTTAAACTAGCAGTTTTTGTTTCTGTTTTATTTCGTTTTGAGACAGGGGGTCTCACTCTGTCCCCCAGGCCAGAGTGCAGTGGCACGATCACAGCTTACCGCAGCCTCGATCTCCCTGAGCTCAGGTGATCCTCTTACCTCAGCCCCCTGAGTAGCTGGGACTACAGGTATGTGCCGCCACACCCAGCTAATTTTTTGTAGAGATGGGTTTTTGCCATGTTGCTCAGCGTGGTCTTGAATTCCTGGGCTCAAGTGATCCTCTGGCCTTGGCCTCCCAAAGTGCTGGGATTATAGGTGTGAGCCACTGCACATGGCCTAGCCCAGCAGTTTAAGGTTGCAGTGAGCTTTTTTTTGAGATGGAATCTCGCTCTGTCACCCAGGCTGGAGTGCAGTGATGTGATCTTGGCTCACTGCAACCTCCACCTCCCGGGTTCAAGCGATTCTCCAGCCTCAGCCTCCCGAGTAGCTGGGACTTCAGGCATGCGCCGCCACCATGCCTGGCTAATTTTTGTATTTTTAGTAGAGACGGGGTTTCACCATGTTGCCCAGGCTGGTCTTGAATGCCTAAGCTCAAGCCATCCACTCGCCTCAGCCTCCCAAATTGTTGGGATTACAGATGTGAGCCACCACGCCCAGCCTGCAGTGAGCTTTGACTGTGCCACTGTACTCCAGCCTGGGCCATAGAGCAAGACCCTGTCTCAAAGTAAACAAAAAACAAATCAAACAAACAAAAGGCAAAATAAAGTTTTTTCAGACATTCAAAAGCTGGAAGAATTCATCACCAGCATTCTCACAGTAAAATAAATATTAATAAAAATCCTTTAAGCAGAAGGCAAATGTTACTAGATGGAAATATGGATCTACACAAAGGAATGAAGAGTTTCGCAAATAGTAACTACATGGATGTAAATACACAAGATTTTTTTCTTATCATTTAAATCTCTTTACTTAATTTTCTTTCCCTTAAAATTTAAATTGAGCTCCAGGAGGTATGTATACAATGTTTACTTTACTGCACATGACTTTGAGGTCATCAGGTTTAGGCCATTCTGAAAGGCATGGGACCTACACACAAGGCTGACTCTGGAGTATATAATAATCACTTACCTTTCAAAATATAGGGAGACTGAGCCACATGTTCATCACCATAAAGGACCTCTATCTTCAGGCCTTCATCGACAGTTTCATACATCCTATATCTCATCAAAAATGTTCCATCATTCCTGTCCAAAGGTTTAGGGACATGTATCCGGACCAACTCTTTAGGTGAAAGAGATTTGACTACGACTTTGAATGGTGTTTCACCTAAAAGGAAAAGAAATATAAACAACTCTACCATGTCATGATAATGATTTACAATTATTGGATAGGTGTTATTGGATAACTTAAATATGTTGCTTTTTCCTGCAGCATTGGTGGTTAAAAAAAAATCATTTCCTTTGGAAGATCTTTGAGGCCAGGAACTGTCATGTCTGGTTCATGCATTCTTTTTTTTTTTTTTTTCTTTTTTGAGACAGGGTCTTGCTCTGTCATCCAGCTAGGAGTGCAGAGGCAGAATCCTAGCTCATTACAGCTCCAACCTCCTGGGCTCATGAACCTCCTGCCTCAACCTGCATCAGCCCCATGAGTAGCTGGGACTATAGGAGTGTGCCACCATGCCCAGCTAATTTTTGAAATTTTTTGTAGAGATGGTGGGGGGCGGGATGGGTTGGAGGGGGTCTTGCTGTGTTGCCCAGGCTGATCTCAAACTCCTGACTTCAAGCGATCCCCACTGCCTCAGCCTCCCAAAGTGTTGGGATTACAGGCTTGAGCCACAGAGCTTGGTCTGGTTCATGTATTCAAACCACGGATCAGACTCAACATTTGAATCATTAGTCATTCAATAAAGATTTACTGCATGAACAAAAGCAAATCATTTTTTAAAAGCAAATAAAAAATAAACTTTTTGCTTATTTGGTCTTTCCTCCTTTGGGTAGGATTAAAGCCCAAATAGTTAAAAATCCATGGACTCTAAGCATGACAGATCTCTCTAGTAATCGAACTTCCTCCTTATAAAACACACACAAGCTTTCTTTGTATACCATTTCAGTATCTAATAACCTTCATTTCTGTGAAAATTTCCCCGTTTATTAAGCCCAAATTTCAAGTGGTACTTCTAAGGCCATTTCCTTACGTAGAGAGAGATTACAGCTAGTTACCAGACTCTTGTACAAGCTCACACACACACACACACACACAAACACACACATACACATCTTTGTAAATACTAGAGATTACTTCTGAGTCTGTTTCCTCAGCTTGAAATGAAACAGTTACACTGTAATAATCCATTCCACCTTCAAAGTTTTGTGGGGTTTCTGTTCTACGTAAATAATAACTATTCAACAAACTTTCCCTTTCCTATTAGCTGACATTTAGGCTTTGAAATGATACTGTTGTGATTAGTGTTACTGTGGCCAGGAATAAACTTTGAAACTTCTTCCTTCAGAGAGTGCAGAGGATATACCATTTAGATCACCATATCAAAGGAAAATGCTAAAAAAGTAATGAATCCTTGGAAATCCACAGTCCTAGCAAAAGGAAAATTGTGACCAAAGTTGTTTTTCACTTCGCATATTATAAAATTTAGAATATTTAAAATATATCTTTTGAAATTACTAAACACGTTTGTGAAATTCTTAGTTTCTAAATCGAGTGAGTGTAATATCTACTTTCTTTTGATCTTTAAGGGTTTTTTTTCTTGTGAGTCTGCAGAAATGTTTCTCAGTCTCTTCAATTTAGTAATAACAATGTGGTATCTGACATCTTGCTATTAAATATTAATAATCGAGTACCAAACATATACATTTTAGGATCCTTGAAACAAGTATGATAAAATTACGAAATAAATCTGCTAACCTAAATGAAGTATAATAAACATGGAAGATGCTATAAAGTGGTAATAATTTAATAGGAAATTATTAGAAATGTTGGCCAGTTACCTGAACTGCACAAATGAAACACATAAATTATTGCTTTGCATTATTTCCCACATGGTTTCAGAAAGGCAACATGGCACAGCAGATCGAAATCTGAAGAGGAAAGTCTGGGAATTGGAAAGCCATTTTCATTGCTCCCTCCCCAAACTGGAAATGTACAAAAAGGTTTTCTTATTTCCTGATCAAACAGTCTTATTCTCCATATATTATTATTTTAAATAAACAAAACAGTTATAAGACAAGAATATTATTGACTATGTGACTTTTGGGAAAGACAGAAAAAAACAACTAGCTTCAAAATGCGTCAATTATTTGTAAATTGAAAGTATCAGACTAAAGAATTATGGTCGCTTCCAGTTGTAATATTTTTTGTCGCTGAAATATCATTTAAAAGTTACATTTCAAAATGTATGTATACAACTATAATATAGCCATTGGAAATATATATTTTAAATGTTCAGTTATTTTTTACAGTAATCTGTCATGCCTGTGTCATTGTTGACATGAAATTAATGTTAGAATCAATGCAAGATAATATGGATCAGGACTGAAACAGAAATAAGAATTCTAACCTCATAAAAGAGAAAATGAGAAGAGTGAAATTTCAAATTCCTTCAAATGGAAGGCATGAAAATTCTCATTAGCTCTGGGTACTAATATAGTGGGATAGAATTGAGGCTCAACGGCAGGCGTGGTGGCTCACGCCTGTAATCCGAGCACTTTGGTAGGCCAAGGCAGGTGGATCACAAGGTCAGGATTTTGAGACCAGCCTGACCAACATGGTGAAACCCCTTCTCTACTAAAAATACAAAAATTAGCCGGGCATGATGATGCGCACCTGTAATCCCAGCTACTCAGGAGGCTGAGGCAGGAGACTCACTTGAACCCAGGAGGCGGAGGTTGCAGTGAGCCGAGATCGCGCCACTGCACTCAAGCCTGGGCAACAAAGCTAGACTCTGTCTCAAAAAAAAAAAAAAAAAAAAAGAATTGAGGCTCAGCTTGAGTTTTCTACTCAATAAATTCAAACTTAAGAAAAATAGCTAACTGGATGAGAATGCAGTGACTATGTAGACAAAAGGAGGTTGGCAGCATCAAAGTGTTACATCATTAGAATCAGAAATCTTGAACACGTTTGATTTGGTAAGAAATCAAAAGCATATTTAGAAATTCACTTAGCACTTTTTATGGGCTTGAGACTTTCATATGTATTTTCTATGTCATTTATTTCCTACAAGAAATTTGAGGTAGGTATCTGTCACTCCCATTTTATAGATCAAGAAACCAATGCTCCAAGAAATAAAGTAACTTGCCCAAGGTCACATACATAATGAGCAGCAGAGCCAATATTTGAATGTAGCTTTGCAGCAGTCACAGTTGGAGGAATACTTCTGGCACTTCGGATACAATGGAGTCATCTCCTCCTCTGTTGTTTAGGAAGCTCATTAAGGCCCTCTACAGCTGCAGCAAAAGTGTTGACCCCACACGGTCAAGGGAAACAAAATCCCAGAAGGCTAAGGTGTTGTACCATGAGGCTAAATGGAAATCCTCCAAAAATATCTGGCTAGCTGCCAACGACGAACACCCTCCAAGATCTTATTGTAAACTGACGTACGACAATCATATTAAGGATGATTTGATAAAACAGAAAGAGCAATGAAGTAGAAGTTCAAAGGGCTGTTCCTGCCTTGGCTCTGACACATTCACTGTGGAGCCCACTGGGCAAGGCATTTTAGCTTCACTGAGCCCAGTTTCTTATGTGTAAAGACAGTAATATCTATCCTTCCTACCTTACAAGACTATTTTGGAGGACAAATTAAGCAAGCCATAGTATAAAACACTAAAGTACTACACAGCCAGGAGGTAAGATTATTTTATGAAGATATTATTACTGATGAAGGTAGAAGACTGAGTAGAAAATAAGTATTTATATCCTTCCATCTTGACATATTTCAATCATCCCTCCCTCCACCCCTTATTTCTTTTCATCTACAATAGTTACTCAGCATCTCTAGCAAGCATTGTGCTAGAGACTGGGAATATAATAGTATCAACAGGTACTGCCTACATTCATAATTGAAGGAAATGTTCAATTTAAGCAGGAGTTTACTGAAAATAAAGATACAGTTCTTCCCCCCACCCAAGGACAAAGACCCTATAATTTCTGTTTGTGAACCCCAGTTTGAGATGTCCTGCTTTAGATCACTGAAGTTCACAATATTTTTGTTATCTGGGTACTTGGATATATGTAGCATAATAGTGGCATTCAGGGAAATTCTACACTGTCGAATGGGAGTGATAATAAGGGAAACTTTCTAAGTTGTGTACAACAGGCTACAGCTTGAGAAGATTTTTCCTCTTTTCCAATTAGTTCTTTTGTGTGTGTGCAGTGGCACAATCTCAGCTCAATGCAACTGCAGCCTCCCAGGCTCAAGAGATCCTCCCACCTCAGCCTCCCCAGTAGCTGGGACCACAGCTGTGCACTACCACGCCTGGCTGATATTTTGGATTTTTTTGGTAGATGGGTTTTGCCATGTTGCCCAGACTGGTCTCAAACTTCTGAGTTCAGGCAGTCTACCAGCCTTGGCCTCCCAAAGTGCTGAGATTACAAGGCATGAATAACCAGCTATTCAGTTGGTTCTTGAAGAGGGAAAGACTTCAGGACTTGGAAGTGAATGTTGGTGGCAGAAATGTAAGAAACTAGTTGGGTGAGTTTTCAGAACTATACGGCACCTTTTTAACTGGAAGCCAGAAATCAAGAGGCCTGAAAGGAAACAAAGGGAATCCAAAGGAATGAAAGTAAGGTTGTCCAAAAAGTTCCATTTTATTTATTTATTTAGAGAAAGGGTCTTGCTATGTTGCCCGGGCTGGAGTGCAGTGGCACAATCATAATGCACTGCAACCTTGAGCTCCTGGGCTCAACTGATCCTTCTGCCTCAGCCTCCCAAGTAGGTAATTTTTAAAATTTTTATTTTAAGTAGAGATGGAATCTTGCTATGTTGCCCAGGCTGAGAAGTCTTTCTAAGACTAAAAAAGGTAAAAAAAGAAAAGTCACAGATCACAGGGGTAAACCATGCAGAATCATAAATGTAACTTTCCTTCTGTTAAGATATTTAATAGAAACTGTCTGTAAACTTTTTCGTTTGTTTAAATATATTTATGTATATATAATATATGTACATATAAAACATATACACAACTTTAAGTCATGTATCATTTGGATTTTAACTGAGAGTCTTTAACATACATTAGAGATTGACAAACTAGCTAATCCAGCTCAGTGCCTGTTTTTGTAAATCCTGTAAGCTAACAATGATTCTTATATTTTTAAAATGGGGATGGGCATGGTGGATTATGCCTGTAATCCCAGCATTTGGGGAGACTGAGGCAAGAGGATCCCTTGAGGCCAGGAATTTGAGGCTGCAGTAGCTATGACTGTACCACTGCACTGCATCCTGGGTGACAAAGACCTTGTCTCTTAAAAAAAAAAAAGGAGGAGGGGGGTTGGAGAAAAATCAAAATAATAATATTCTGTGACTTATGGAAAACTATATGAAATTGAAATTTCAGTGGCCATAAAAAGTTTTATTGTAACATAAACGGGTTTGTTATATGTCCATGGCTACAAAGCACAGCTGAATAAATGTGAGAGATGATATCACCTACAAAGCCTAAATTATTTACTATCTGGCCCTTTAAAGAAAAAGTTTGTGAAACCCTGATATACACACATGCGTTTCTGTCAATAGAGTCGGAATTATTTTACCTAAATGCATATCATGCATATGAAACCAGTTGTCTGAGTATTTAGGGTCTAACTGGTAGACACGTTATCAAAGCAATGCCCAAAGACAACTTCAGGAGTGGTGTTCTGAATCAAATGTAGAAAACAAGCCACTGAGGTAGTTAAGGGAGAGGCAGATTCTTGCCTCAGCTCAAATTTCTCCAGTGGCTCTCTTTTATCTAGTTATAAAGTCATTTGCTTGGCATTCAAGGCGCTTGAAGACCAGAGGCTACAATCAACCAGGCTTTTCCGCTCAGTATCATTAAATTACAGTACTTATTTTCCCGAACACCACGGTCTCCTACGCCTCTGTGCTTCTGCACATGCCATGGCGTCCTTCTATATGCCTGCCCAGCAAACCTTCTCATCCTTCAAGTCTCTGCTCCTGAAATCTTCCTGGATTTCTCCAGTCTCTGGCAGTGCTTCAATGTTGCCACTGCACTCTGTACATACCTTCAATTATCTTGTACAGTGATCAGTTATTTGCATGTCTTTGACCAACAGACTGTAAGTTCCTTGATGGTCAGGCATTGTCTTTTCATCCTTAGATTCCCAGCAGAATTACCAAACACAGAAGTAGACATCAAAGAAGTATTTCTTGAATGAATGAAATTTTAAAAATCATTAAATCTAAAAGTGAATTATGTTTGGTTCCTAAATTCTCTGCTTTGCCCAGCTGTCAAGACCCCCTTACCCCTTTCCCAAGTTGGGACACACTTCTGGCAGCTATGTTCCCAGCTGGACTAGCAGGGGCAGAGGCACTGGTTTATTCTAATTGTCTCTTCGCTGATACAACAAGGTGCTAGTTGGCCAGAGCCCCAAATTATACATTAGCAAATCCTGACTGACAACAGCGTGAAACCAGCAGGACAAGTTTTAAGAAGTTGCAAAGGTTAAGACGTGAAGGACAACGTGGGAGGAGGACCGGGCAGAAAGGGATTCAGGACGAGATCCATCTCACCCTCCGTGGAGGGAAAACCGAATGATTTCTACTGAGTTTCCCTAGTTCCTGTAATCTGCTTTCAAAAACTCAGAACTAAAAAGGAAACAAAAAACTAACACGTAAACCCCTCCTCCTTCCTACGGCTCTGACATTTCCTCTGCGTAGGATTTCGTTGCTCCAAACCCACCAGGCCTAAGCCATGTAATCCGACGCGATCCGTCGGCTTGATGACTCACCACTGGAAAGCGCTCCCTGCAATCCCTCACAGTTCAGACAACTAAGTCCGAGATGGAAGGCAACGTGTGACTCACGGCACACTCCTTGTAACGCCCGGGCGCCGTCCATTCGCAACATCAGTCCCTGCACATTAAATGCGGAAGGGCCCTTCAAGTTCATTCATTCATTCATTCCACAAACTTTCGTGGTGATTTTTGCCCGCTTTGAGTATGGGCGGGAGGAGGGAAGAGGAGCTGACCAGACCCAAAAAGGGGCGACACACGCCGGGGAGGGACGCCACGCAGGCCGCGGGCGGACTCCCGGGCGGCGGGGACGCGCGGGGACCCGGCCGCGGGACGAGGGAGGCCGGCGGCTGGACACTACCTGCGGGAGAGCGAGTGAGGTTCTGGCCCTCCGAGTTGACCGCCTGCAGGTAGAAATAGCGGACCGGCAGGACGACGGCCGCCTGCAGCCCGGGCCCCCACACCAGGCTCCGCGGCGCGCTGACCAGCACCTCCGGGGCCCCCGCGGCCACCAGCAGGGCGAGGCGCAGCTGCAGCAGCAGGGCCCGCGGGAGGCGGCGCATGGTCGGCGGGGCACAACTGCGGTCCAGCTCCGCGGCGGCGAGGAGGGGCCGGCAGCGCCGCGGACCGGGCGGGGACTGGGGCCCACCGCGGGGCGGGTCTTTCGGGCGGGAAAGATTGCGGCGCAGGCTCCCTTTCCCGCCCGCTGTCCCGCCTCGTCTCCCTCGGGCGGGAACGCGAGCCAGTGCCGCAATCACCCACTGCGCGCCCTGTAGGGGTCGACGATGGGTGCGCCCCTTCCTCCCCGCAGCCCCATAGGCCCCGTGGAGGAAAGGGGTGGAGAGGCCCGCCCAGAGACCGAGGCTGCGAGTGTGCGCTGGCTGTTGATTGCCAAGGCTTCAGGCACGCCTGGCCTCCACTTCCAGTGGTCTTTCCCTTTCTTTTTCTTCCTTCCTTTCCTTCTTTCTTCTCTTTTCTTTCTCTGTTTTTATACAGACAAGGGGGCTGGCTCTGTCGCCTAGGCTGGAGTGCAATGGCGCGACCACAGCTCACTGCAGCCTGGAACTCGTGGGCTCAGGAGATCCTCCCGCCTCAGCCTCCCGAGTAGCTGGGACTGACTGTAGGCACACGACACCACGCTGGCTAATTTAATTTATTATTATTATTATTATTATTATTATTATTATTATTATTACTATTACTATTTGTAGAGACGGGGTCTCCCTATGTTGCCCAAGGTGGTCTTGAACTCCTGGTTTCAAGCAATCCGCCCGCCTCGGCTTCCCAAAGTGCCGGGATTACAGGCATGAGCCACCGGGTCCGCCGCTCAGGTGTTTTTAAAGGACGTAGACCCGGTGGTGATTGTTGTGGGACGATGAAAGGGTCCGGCCCCAAGATCGATGTAGTTTAGGGAAATATCTTTTCCCAAGGAATGTCTCCGAGTTTACAAGATGAGCGCCAAGGTCACGCCCCCCGCCCTCCCTCACAGCCCTCTGTTCACAGCAGCACCGTTCTCTTGTGGCCGGTTTTGTTGCTTTTCTGCTTAGCAGCCTCCCTCACAGAACCGTGATCCCCCCACCCCACACATCCCTTTCCCCGCTTCCTCCCGCACTCCTCTTCTTCCAGCAGGTGTTTACAGAACATCCACGGAGTTTGGGCCAAGCCCAGAGTGAGGAGCTGGGCACTGGGGTGGCAGAAGACCAGGCCTTGCCTTGAGCCCTTGTGCGAGCTTTACCTCAAAGCCTCTGTAATCGAAGTGGGAGAAGGGGTGGTGGTGCGTGGTTGGTCTCAGCCACCTCCACCACTCCTCAGAAGATGAACGCTGGATCCAGGAAGAGATTGTCAAGGTTACTATCTGCCTCTCTTTTTTGATCATTTTATCCAATTTGTTAATGGATACAAATTTGTTAATGGATTGTTAATAGATCTGAATTTATTTAAAGCCAATAAAGATTCTCCTCTGGCTGAATGATCCAGAAGGAACTCACACCCCAGAATGGACACAGGATTTCTGCACCCTCTTGGGGGAACTTAATGCCCAAAACATCAGAGCCAGGCACTGGACAAGCCTTTGTCCGCCTCACGGCTTTAACCGTGCTACTCAGCATTCTTGCTGTGACCAAGTTTTACCAGGGCAAAATCTTTCCCACATTTTCACACTTCTCTTGACCTATTTTAGTAATGCTAAGCAGTGGTTATGGACAGTATTCTTTGTACTTTGGAAAGGTTTCAGGAACTGGTAGTCAGTTGCCGGTAAATTTTAGGGCTAAAGTGTAACATTACTTGGTATTACTTTCACTGATAAATTTTATTTTGTGGGGATGTCTCCTTGCTTTAAATAGAAAGCTTTGCTCTGTTCCAACTATCGCTTAAAAAAATTGTATGGAACACATTTTGCTCACACTCTTTCAAAATCTGACTTAAAACAATTTCCAGAGAAATAATCTGAGGTTTAGCCGGTACTGGATTATAGTAAAACATGGCCTAATAAATTACATAACATTTGGGTTAACACCCAGTATTTTTTTTTTTTTGAGAACACGTCAGGGAAGCCATATAATTGTACCTGAACACACTAGCGTTTAGCAATACTAAGCCTGCACCAACCTGTTTTCTTTCTCATCTTAACCTGTCTCCAAAGAGTATATCTCTTCAGAGCAACCAGTGCTTTGACCAGACTCTTTATCATTAATCAAATTTCATTCATTCAACACATATTTATTAAATGCCCACCATATTTTAGATATTGTATTTTGACTTCAAAGTGCCTGTAGTTTAGTGGAGAAGAAAGACTAAGAGGCAATGTAAATAGCGTATAGGTGTTAAAATATGGGCCTCAAGAACTGCATGGTCTAGGATTTTATCCCACTTACAAACTAACAAGTTGGCCTGTTACTGTTTCATGGATGCTGTCAAAAGATACAACACTCCTGTATCAAAGAACTTTATTATTCACTGCAAAAGCAGTAGCCAGAGCTTTATGTTGGTTTGCTTTTTGTTCCTAAGCCTCCCAAGCCCTGTGGGGACAGTGCACACAGACTATGATGGATGCCTGAAGTGGGTTGCATTACAAGAGAGGAGCACTGAGCTAAAGGAATTTGCCTCTTTTAGGCTACACAGAATTAAGCCTGCTCTTTGAAGGTGGGGAGATGTTATCTCATCCCTCAAACGTTGCTTGCTACAAACACCGCCCAGAGAAATGGACTGATAAAGAGCTGGACATTGGAGTGGCAGAACAGCAAGAATGATCAGAGAAGTTCAAGGGCCATGGCAGAGAGCCTTTTCCAACATAGTACAGTGTACTTATACACTACATATGAAGGCCAGCTAATCTAGTCTTGGGAGAACCAAGAGAGGCTTCTGAAAGAGATGACATCTATGCCGAACCTTGAAGGTCAAACAGGAATCAGCCACATAAAGAGAAGGAGGAGAGCATTCTGGATAGCAGGAACATCATGTATAAAACTTTGAAGTAAACGATACACTCCGAGAAGTTTTTCATTCCCTTTCACATTCATCTCCATATTGAACTCCAATCTCAAACACCTATAATTAAAGTCAGTGTGTGACTCTGGAAGGTCTAGATTCAATACACTTCTGTGAATTGCAGTGGCCTCTGGAATCTTTACATTAATGTCACATAAAATTCACAGCTAATTATTGTCGACTCAGTTCATAACATTTCCACCTTTTCGGTAACTCTTCTTTTTTTACTCCACAGTCCGCCTGGTTAACAGTGAGGCTTTGTAACAGCATAACTTTAACTATGGCTACAGTTTATTGGCTCCTATTTTGGAAACTGACTCATGCTGAACTAATCCCCTTTCCCTGGGAGTTTAAAATCAAGGTTAGGAGATTTTTAACGTACCGACTGCTCTCCAACAGCAGCATTATAACCTTTGCTATTTTTTTCCCTTGTATTCTGAAAATAGAAGAGAAATACAGAAAACTCTCTGGGTTATGTATAGTGCACTAGAGTCTGGTACAGTTCATGAGCAGCGTCTCTATCTCTGGTTTCTGAGACATCCTTGCATCCTTATAATAAATTCCTCTTTAACTTTAGAAATTGTGTAATTTTCTTTCTTTAATTTTTATTTATTCATTTATTTTATTTTATTTTGATGGACTCTCGCTCTGTCAGCCAGGCTGGAGTGGCACCCAGCCACTCTCGATCTGTCACCCATATCTACAATGGCGAGATCTTGGCTCATTGAACCTCTGTCTCCCAGGTTCAAGCGATTCTCCTGCCTCAGCCTCCTGCCGAGCCTGCAGGTGCACCCCACCACACCTGGCTAATTTTTGTAGAAATTGTCTAATTTTCCATGTCACCAATGAATAAAAAAACGTACATAGGGTTAGACAAGATTAGATCCTATAAAATGCACAAAACTTTATTTTAATAATTTCAATAATATTTATTCAACCCACCCTTTATATCATGACTTTATGGCATGCATTATGCAAGGTATTGGGTATATAAACTCAGTCCCTGCCCTTCCATGTATTACAGTCTATAGGGTACATTTTAGACTGTGAGACTATTGGTTTAAATATTAACTTCCATCCAGAACCAATTTCCTCCAAAACATTCCACCTTGAAACAATCAATTGTGCCCAGATTCTTAGGGTTGTATAAGAACATTGATTCTTCCACAGTCAACATATGGCCTGAAGGGAGGGGATGTCAGTTTCCAGAGCAAAGAAAAAGGGTCTGCTGGGCAATCATATCAGTACCTACTACATCTCTTCAAAACATTTCTAGAATGGAATTGTAGTTTCCAGACTGGAAAGATGACATAATCTAGAAAGGATGATTGGGGAAAAGAACATGGGCCTAGAGGGAAACTTAGTGCTGGCATTTATATTATTAAAACACAATGTTTTGTAGAATCAAGTATGATCATCAATTTTTTTTTTTTGAAACAGATTCTCACTCTGTCACCCAGACTAGAGGGCAGTGGCACAATCTCAGCTCACTGCAACCTCCGCCTCCTGGGTTCAAGAGATTCTCCTGCCTCAGCCTCCCAAGTAGCTGGAACTATAGGCGTGCACCCTGATGCCGGGTAATTTTTTATTTTTAGTAGAGACAGGTTTTCACCATGTTGGCTAGGCTGGTCTTGAACTCCTGACCTCAAGTGATCCACCTGCCTCGGGCTCCCAAAGTGCTGAGATTACAGGTGTGAGCCACTGCGCCCAGCCAAATCATCAATTTTTTAAGAAAGAAAAGTAATTTATTAAATATTCTCCTGTACAGAAATCCTTTAAAAACGTATATTTAGTTTTTAATCTGTACACCCCCGATAAATAGTTGCACTTAAGTACATGAATAATAATAATTATTCTCATTTATTTATATTTTTCTATATATATGTATATGTGTGTATATTTACAGTTTCTTCTTTGGAGGAAAGAAACTTCTCTCTCTTTTCTCCTGTTCTTGAACATCCTCTCCCCCAACACCTGTCTACAAAACAACCAACATTAATAACCAATGTGTCCCTCCATGTGTACACATGCATATGCAGGTTTCTTGGTGAATGCTTTACAAAAATGGAATTTTACATTTCTCCCTCAACAGTACCTCATGGAAATTCTTCTAAGTCAACTTAGTGACATTGAAAATTAGACAATTTCTAAAGCAAAAGAGGAATTTTCAATGGCTTTTCAATATTACATATGTAAATGTTCTATAATATATTCAGTCATTTCTTAATCAGGTATTAACTTTGTTTCCAGGTTTTGCCACAACAAACATTGTAGCAATAAAAATCCTACATGCAAGTCTATACATACTAGTGTTTTTATTTCTATAGGAGCAATTTCTGGACCAAATGAAGGTAGTGATTCAGGATATCGGCCCACTTGATGTCTTGATTCAGCATCTTCCTGGTCATAACAGAGACAGCAGCCCCCTTGGCAGGTCCAATTCTGTGGCATGGTTTTTAGAATTGGTCCTGGAATTTCAGCTCAAAATCTATCTCCTTATCCCTATTAATGAGTTTGTGAGCAAAATTTACAATTTAATGGATCTTTTCCTTCTTTCTTTCCTTCCTTTCTCTCTCTCTCTTTCTTTTTCGTCCTTCTTCTTTCTTTTTTTTTTTTTTTTTGAGATGGAGTCTCACTTTGTCATCCAGGCTGAAGTGTGGTGGCATGATCTCCACTCACTGCAGCCTCTGCCTCCTGGTTTCAAGCGATTCTCCTGCCTCAATTTCCCCAGTAGCTGGGATTACAGGTACCCACTACCACAGCTGGTTAATTTTTGTATTTTTAGTAGAGATGGGGTTTTGCCATGTTGGCCAGTCTGGTCTTGAACTCCTGACCTCAAGTGATCTGCCTGCCTTGGCCAAAGTGCTGGGATTACAGGCATGAGCCACTGCACCCAGCCTCCAACAGATCTTTTTCTATTTGAACCAGCTAGAGAGGATTCTATTGTCTATCACTAAAAATCCTAGCTGATCCACTGTATTTTAAATTTTAATAAAGGACAGTAAAACTATTTTGAATAAAATGCTGTTGACATTCTCCTGTCCTTGATAGAAAAAGGGCTTTGGGTTGCTTTTCCAGAAAAGGTAAAAGATTAGTACAAATCTATTAATTAATTTGCTTGGGGGAAATTAACATTGCATGACTTATATTCAACTAGAGAGACCTGCTTATCTTTCATCAGTGCTACTGGACAGTAGATGCCCCAGCTCCATGTAGCTCCCTCTTCCTGAGACAGAGTCTCACTCTGTTGCCTAGGCTGGAGTGCAGCTGTGCGATCTTGGCTCACTGCAACCTCTGCCTTCCGAGTTCGAGTGATTCTCCTGCTTCAGCCTCCAAGTAACTGGGATTACAGGTGTATGCCACCATGCCCGGCTAATTTTTGTATTTTAGTAGAGGCGGGGTTTCACCATATTGGCCAGGCTAGGCTGGTCTCGAACTCCTGAGCTCAGGTGATTTACCCGCCTTGGCCTCCCAAAGTGCTGGGATTACAGGTGTCAGCCATAACACCTGGCCCCTCTTCCTTTATAAATGTGTGAATCTCCAGAAAGAAATGTCAGACCTTCTTCATTCCTCTCCTATTATGCAACAAAGCACATTGATTTCCTGATGTTGGTTCGTTGCTTTTTGGGTACAAATAAGAAAGAAGCAAGCCACTGTTTTTTTAAAAACCACCTATATGGCAGATCTCATTCAACAGCCATAAGAGAGACTGGTTTGAAAACTTATGCCTCCCCTGAGCCCCCTACATTTTATATTTTTCCTGAAACTTTCACACTTAAAAATAATCATTTGGGCTGGGCACGGTGGCTCACGCCTGTAATCCCAGCACTTTGGGGGGCCAAGGTGGGTGGATCATGAGGTCAGGAGTTCGAGACCAGACTGACCAACATGGTGAAACCCCATCTCTACTAAAAATACAAAGATTAGCTGTGAGTGGTGGTGCATGCCTATAATCCCTGCTACTCAGGATGTTGAGGCAGGAGAATTGCTTGAACCTGGGAGGCAGAGGTTGCAGTGAGCCAAGATCATGCCACTGCACTCCAGCCTGGGCAATAGAGCAAGACTCCATCTCAATAAATAAATAAATAAATAAATAAATAAATAATCATTTGAGGATATGAATAAAAACCAAATCAAATAGTGCATCTGTTTAAGTCATTTATTTCAATACAGGCATTGTTTTAAATTTGCACCTTGTCTTTAACACATTTCATAACCAGAGAACAGGTCTGAGAACAAGTACATAAAAGGATTATTTGACAAAGTTTTAACAAAAGTGCTTACAGCTTATTTGTTTCAGATATACAGAACTGCCAGTCACAAAGAGCCACTAAGTGGCAATACAGCCACAAACTTGCCTGGGAAGTAAAATATTTTACATATTTACACTGTACATTTAAATGGGATATTCTGAAGCATTATTATTATCAATAAACTCTAAGCAAGAAGTTCTCTTAAACCCTCTGGCACTTAACAAAGAATATTAATTTTATGGGGCTATGAGTTTTACAGTTTGATTCCCATCTTTGCCATAACCTAAATGGATTTTTACCCCCTCCAGTACACATATTTACCTCCTACACAAAGTAGCTGTTATTAGCTTATCACCAACCAAACCTTTGTTAGTAGCAGTTGGAATTTTGTTGGCATCAATGTATTTACAATGTAGGAGTAAATTATTTAGAGGGGAGTCTCTAAAAATTAAAATAACTTCATTAAACCCTATTTTAAACAGACTTTACAGTATAAAATTTATGGTTATAGAAATCTAGTATCTAAACAAGTTTATAATTTATAAGGTATTTATTACGATTGATTCCCCTATGATTTACTCCATTTACATGAATGTTTATTTTAATAATGACTATATCTTTCAGAAAACAAGTTATGAATATAAAAATGACTATTATAAGTTACCATAGCTATACCAAAAATGAACATTAAAATGCAGCGACTTGTATGTTAAAATACATAGAAATTTGCTATACTTCTTTAACAAGTGCTTTATAAAAGTATAAAATTATAAAAGGTGCTATTTTCATGAATTTTGTGTTTTCCTGATACTTCAGCCAGACCAACATGCAAACGTTACAAATAGAGCAACTGAACACTGGCCATCAATTACCTTTGAATTTAAACAGTACATTCCAGCGCAGTCTGGGCCCCAAAGCAGTTTCACCCTTACCTAACTTACCTAACTCTTAATATAGCCTAAACTCACTGAAAAATAAGCTAACTTCATTTCACCTTTTGTAGCATACACGTAGACTCAGAGTATATACTGAAATATAATTTGAAAGCTGATCATTAAAAAAATCAAGAACCTCAATATTAAAATATTAACTCTGAGTATCTTAAAATTGCATAGAAAATGTAGGTCATGGTTTATTAAAGTTTTACTTAAATAATCAGATAAATAGGGCTGGCGAGGTGGCTCATGCCTATAATCCCAGCAGTTTGGGAGGCTGAGGCAGGCGGATCACCTGAGGTCAGGAGTTCGAAACCAGCCTGGCCAACATGGCGAAACCCCGTCTCTGCTAAAAATACAAAAATTAGCTGGGCGTGGTGGTGGGCACCTGTAATCCCAGCTACTCGGGAAGCTGAGGCAGGAGAATCGCTTGAACCTGGGAGGCGGAGGTTGCAGTGAGCCGAGATTGCGCCATTGCACTCCAGCCTGGGCAACAGAGTGAGACTCTGTCTCAAAGAAAATAATAATAATAATAATAATAATCAGATAAATAGAAAAAGAGGAAAGGCAGAATTTACAAACATATATTAACCAAGAAATAGTGTTATTTATTCTTTACCATACAAATTTGCATTGAAAAGTTCACAATATTTGATTTTTGAGCTTTCTGAGCTCAGGATTGGTCAGAGCTTGAAGTTTAAAATAGTTGACAGATTTAGGGAATAGCTTTCATGTTAGTTACCGCATGTTCATTAGCTTTGAGTTGCATGGGAACCATGTAAAGTAACCCACGCATTTTGCGTCTATGTAAGGGAATGATTAGAAGGATAACAACAACATAGTTCTTTCTTAACTCTCTATCAGTTCCAGATCTCTATACACTTCACCAACATCTATCATTATTCTTAGTTTATAATGATGAAACAGACTAGGTATAAAAAATGGAAAATTAGATTAGGTCGCGAAGCAAATATAAACCAAGCAAGATAAAATCCACTCATGTTGACTATCATAGTATTGAGATCCAGGAATCCATGCTGTCTGTAGTTAAAGCAGATTATCTTCACTGCCATCTATTGGTCTTTATCCTGAATTAGGAGAGAAATCCCCCGAGGTTCTGCATGGCAAATAAAGAGTTAGGAAAGCCAAAATATCAGTGGGTATCATAAGTGATTTACTCTAGATAAATCACTGAATCATAGTGACAAGCCCTTAGGAGCTCTGCCTTAGAATTTCCCAAGGGTTTCGTAGATGATCCTGCAGCAAAGAATGAATTCCAGGGTGTCAGATCTGACTTGATGGCATTTTAGGGACTTGGCCAAGGTTCCCACTTGATATTTGGGACTAAAATGCCCCACCTGAAAAGAAGCGTTCTACCTTGCAATTAAAGAAAATGTGGGCCAGGCACGGTGGCTCATGCCTGTAATCCCAGCAGTTTGGGAGGCCGAGGTGGGCAGATCACCTGAGGTCAGAAGTTTGAGACCAGCCTGGCCAACCTGGTGAAACTCCAACTCTACTAAAAATACCAAAAAAAAAAAAAAAAAAAAAAAAATTAGCCAGGTGTGGTGGTGGGTGCCTGTAGTCCCAGCTACTTGGGAGGCTGAGGCAGGAGAATTGCCTGAACTTGGGAGGAGGAGGTTGCAGTAAGCTGAGATCATGCCATTGCACTCTAGCCTGAGCAACAAGAACAAGACTCCACCTCAAAACAAAAACAAAAACAAAACAAAACAAAAAAAGACTGGGCATGGTAGCTCATGCCTGTAATCCTAGCACTCTGGGAGGCTGAAGTGGGCGGATTGCCTGAGCTCAGGAGTTCGAGACCAGCCTGGGCAACACGGTGAAACCCCGTCTCTACTAAAATACAAAAATATTAGCTGGGCGTGGCAGCGTGCGCCTGGGTGCGCCTGTGATCCCAGCTACTCTGGAGGCTGAGGCAGGAGAATCGCTTGAACCCGGGAGGCGGAGGTTGCAGTGAGCCCAGATCATGCCACTGCACTCCAGCCTGGGTGACAGAGCAAAACTCCGTCTCCAAAAAACAAAAACAAAACAAAACCAAACAAAAAACAAAAACAAAAAAAAGAAAATGTGAAAATGGATAGTTCTGAGGAAATGGGAAAAGCCAGTTGCTGAGAGAACTGCAGTAAAGGTAAGTCGGTCCCATGAAGGGATACCTACTTCCTACCTCTGCTCCTCAGCTATGTTCTCTTCATAAGCAGAAATTCTGTGACCAGGCAACTTTCTGTATGGTCAGGTTGCCTGGCCTAAGTCCTTGGCTTGACTAAAAGCCCTTAATAATCCAGCCAGTCCCCCACGGTTTCAGAGGAATTTCTAGGACTGCTAACCTTCTATTGGCTTACTAGGGATTCAGGTCCTAATCTATAACCTCAACATGTGCTTTGACCATGTGCCTCCCAGGCTCCACTACGGATATAACAGGAAGTACTTACAAAATTCCTTTATCTTTTTTTTTTCCTTTTTGCAATCAGTTTCTCAGGTTAAAAAATAAATTCCTTTATCTTTGTTTGAAAGAGAAGATCACCACCTTAAACTTCCTAAATGTTCATGAGTCAAACAGGATGATAATATTTACCCCACTGTTATCATCCCTACCTTTTATTTAATGTCATGAGTATAGGGTGTGGACCGGAAGAAGCAATACAGAGTTTCACAGTTGTGCTGGGTAATTCATAAGTTTTGTATGTGCCTGGGATATTAGGGTTGTAAATCACAATTAAAGATGAAAAATGTTAGGAGGGAAGTAAAGCAGAAAGCCCAAATCAGACAGTGAATCAGGGATTAAGTGGGAGTGGTGGAAAGGCAGGCTAAGAACATTTACAGAGATAGAAAATAGCAGAGACTCTCTCAAAACAAGAATTCATTGTTCTAGCATTCAGGAAGTGTCTATATAGGGTGTGGAGGAAAAAAAAGGAGATGTGGGACATTTCAGAGCAGACACTGCCCAGACTAGATCTTTTATCCTTCCATGCACATGCACATGTACACCTTAGTTCCATTATAAGCTTTTGGTGAAAAAAGTAAAGCATTTTATTGAAAAAGCCTCACAGTTCTGACTCTTTGTCATTTTCATCCAGGTAGTATTCATCATCTGTGGTTGTGTCTGTGTCACAATCTGAGTCCACTGGGTCATCCTCATAGATATTAAGCGGTTCACTTGGAGATAAGCCATCTTCTGGCACCTGACTACTGGGAGAATTTGAGCTTAATGACTCTGAGGGGTTGGGAGGGTTCCTCAAATCATCTTTTAGGAAGCCAGGGTTCTTAAGAAAACTTGGTTTCCATAATCTTCCTTGTGTAAGTGACCTCTTTACATTTTCTAAGAAAGCTAACTGTTGTTCTTTCCCAAAGATCCCATAGTCGATAGGTCTGTATATAGATATTGCAGACCTGGGACCTGTTTTTGTCCCGCTGCGATAAGCCCAACTTTCATTTCCATCACAGGAGGGGAGTTCAGAAAAAGATCTGAATCTTCGACTGTACCCATTGTTGACAGAGAATTCATTCCCAAGGGTCAGTCGACTCAGGGCATTGTCAATAGAAGTGCTTTCAGAAAAATGGCGCTCCCTGACTTTTGGAGGATGGCTTTTTCGTAGTAGATCGCCATGAACATTAATGCTTTTTAAACTCTTTGAACGATAGAGGTGTGGCTCAGGTTCCCACTCCAGAGATGAAGCACTCCTTTGTTGCTGCAGAAAACTGGCCAGTGGACTGCTTACTCTAGATTTCTGTGCAGGCTCCAGTGGAAAAGGAGGGCTCAGCCTCCTCTGATTGTCAGAGAATTCTGCTTCCCTGAGGCTGGTGAATGTGATGGGTGATGGGGCTCCTGATTCTCTTACTAAATTCTGAGCTGCTGTGACGTCTTTAGAATTCTCATGCTTTGATGGTGATTCTGAGACGTTTTTAAACTCATTCTGATGTCGTTGTGAAATGCTGTTAGACTTCTGGTTGCTGACGTGTGTAGAAGGTTCTCTGTTGGGTAGTACAGTAATGGGGAGAAGGTTCTCGGATTTCTTCACATGCTTTCCGTTCTCACTCAACCTGCTTTCGCCAATGGACTCTGCAGATTTTGGAGTAGGCTCAGGGAACAGTGGGTTGCACTCCACTGTGCCAAGAGATAAATGGTCAAAGCCAGATCTGCTTCCACTTTGGGGGAAGATAGTAGCTACATGTCTTCTGGGGCTTACATCTTTAGCTGGGAATTTTCTGCTGGCTTTAGACATGGCTGCCAATCTGTGTTTAACTGAAGATCTATTTTCCCCCTTTACTAGGTCATCCAAGTTGGTTTTATTTTTGTTTCCTTCAGGAAGTGAAGGTTGATCCCAAGCTGACTTCTGCATTTCATCTTCAGCCTTCCTGCTCTCTGTCATATTTGCCTCCTGACTTCTTTGAGGTAATTCTCTTGGTTCAGACTGCAGACTCTCTAAGTTTGGTTCATCTGACTGAGTCTCCTCACCAAGCTGTAGTTTATGCAATGCTGGAGTAAGGGCAAAGACTTGACTCTCTGAGTGAGAAAGTGTTTTATTAGTCATTTTTTGGCAGTTGGTTCCAATGTCCCCTCTGCCTTCCCTAGGCTGTGATCCACTGGAGCCATCACCTACAGCTGTGGATGTGTGATCTTTCTGGGGACACTTGCCACTTCCAGTAAATGGAATGGCTCTACCACTCCCTGTACACTCCCAAGAACTTCTTCTAGTTTGGGAATTTCCAATATTAACTTCTGAAAGAGCTGGAAGACTAGAGGGACCACTGTTACTTGAATTAATGGATTGTTGACAATTTTCAGATTTTTCTTCGGATACATTTTTTCTCTGAAGCATCAATGAAGTATGCAGGGTTTCACTTTGCAACTTTTTGCCTCTTTCCTTCTTGTTTTCTGAATCACCTAGAGGTGTTTTAGCTAAATTATCTGAAAAAATCTCTCTAGCTTTAGATTCCTCTTCAGGAAGAGAAACAGCTGCCTCAACAGAAGCCATTTCCTGTAATGTAGGAGCTAGGGGCCCCCTATTTGATAATCGGAAGGCAGTCATATTTTCAGTGGTGAGCGTCTGATCAGAGTTGACGGACATCTTTAGATTTTCACATGAAGGTGTTCCTGACTGCTCTCGTGTAGAATAATTCTGTTTGTCTTTTTCTAAAGCGTTAGGAAATGTTTCAGTCTCCACTTGAGGTGATTCTATAAGTAAATTAGTATTTTGTGTATACTGTTGAAGGAGGTTACAGAATTTTTTGCTGGGTTTCCTCGGTAGAGTGTAATATATTGAGACCACCTCCAGACATTTTACATTATCTTCATCACCAGAAACAGAAAACGTACTAGTCGTCTTAACTTTATGTAATGTTTTCCCACGTTCTTTTCCTGACAAGTCTGAGCAAAAAGGTAAAGGGTCTTCATTTGAAAGAGCAAATACACTTCTCCTGGAGGCAGCCATTTTACCCTCTTTCTCAGTGTATTCTTGGAAGTTTTCCTTTTGGTGTTGTCTTTTGGTTAAAGAACAATCTCTAACAGATGAGTCACTTTCCACAGGGCTAATGATTCTCTCCCAAGCCCTTGGTGTTAGCTCAGAAGCATCCATGCCTGAGGTCAATGGCTTTTTTCTTCCTTCTCTTCCAGTTGAGGCATGTGGCTCCCCTGAGGGACATGACATAGCCCTGTTGATGAGGAATGGAAGTGGTCCTTTTCTAACGGAAGTAGATCCACTGCTTTTTACATTTGTCATTCTCTCTGTGGCTTCAGGTGCTTCCAGGGCTGAGTCTGAAAGGACTTTGGAACATTCATTCGCTGACTCAGGAGAACTGGGACTAAATTTGTTTAACATATAGTTCCCCATTGCATCTTCCACATTATTTTTGATTTGGAAGGGAGGTGGCCCATTCCTCAATGAAGCAGCCATTATTTTACTTCCTGACTGCCTGCCATGTATGAGAAAACTGCTTGATTTTCTTGGCAAGGTACAATAAATTGTGTCAAGTTCAGAAACTTTGGAATTGCTTTGATTTGCTTCAATGAGGCTCCTGTGATCACTGGTGGGTACTGATATACTTTCTGTTTTGCTTAACTTTTCAATACAGGATATATGATGCCTTATTTTTCCTTTTCCTCTTTCATTCCTAAAAGGAGAGTGTGAATGGCATTTGACATCAACCACTTCATCATGTGTAGGCACAGGACTATCATTTCTCTCTTGGTTTTCTGAGTGGCTTACAATAAACTGATTCTTTTGGTTCTTCCCAGCATTGTCTTTTTCTTCTCTTTCTCCTAGCGATGGATCTTTGTCTGAAGGACTTCTCCTGGAGAACACTGTAGTAGATGGAACCACAGGAGCATCAAGGGAAGAATTCTTTGATGGTGAGGAATCTGGTAGTGCAGCTGATGACAGATCTAAAGAATCACACGAGGTCTTGTGGCCAGGAGTTAACTTGCATTTTGAGTATTGTGCATTTTGAGTATCAGTCAGTGCAGAGCTCCAGTGGTTATTTGTAATAATTCTTGAAATATCTTCATTATTTACAGTTAATTCCTGGTGACAACCTTGGTCTGTCCTGGGGAAAGATGGTGGTGTTCTGTGTTCCTGAATGAAAGGAAGGGAAGCTGTTGAGCCAAGTTTTCTGTTTTCAGTAAACCTCTTATCTTGTTTAATGTCATTGGATTTATCTGTGTGCGGTATATACATTTTGGAGGTATCTTTCCTGGAAAAGACTCTGGGTGACTTTTTTGAACTTATTATGGTAGATGCATTAAAACCAAACCCGTTGCTCTTGGCTGAGTCCTGGGATAAGGGATTTTGAAAATCAGGTAAAGAGTTTGAGATCCCTGTCTGTGAAACAGGTTGGGGTATTTCACCTGCCTTGTTTGTCTGGTCCATCTTGCTTAGCTGTTTGTCTTCTTCTGAAATAGATTCATTTAAGTCTTTCTCATTATTTACTTCTGTGACCAAGATATTGGGCTGGCTTTTGGCAAGAGGCAGAGAGTCAACTGAATTGCTGCTGGTCACAGTGACTTCTGTATGGCTTCTCATTGGATGAGAGGCAGGCTTATTTGGAAAAATTTTCTGCAAAGTGACTGTGGGATTCTGCAAGTTGGGACTCTGAGGATTCCTTCTGTCATCAGAAATCTGGGAAAAGGAAGTTTTGAATGAGGATGCTAGAGTCTGAGCAATTCCAAATGAGGAAGCTTCTTTGTTTATATGTACTTCTACAGGAGAACTGTCCTGTTGACTTACCAACTCACTAGATTTGACGTGATAGCTTGAACCAGTCATGGAGCAAACATTTGGTGTGCCAAAATGAGGAGTCAACTGGGTCTCATTACCATGTGATACCACCATGCTATCCAGTGTGGATCTCTGAAAATCAAACTGCCAAGGATGTGGCTCTTCTTGGCCTCTGGAAACATCTGTTCCATAACCAGAAGAAAATGATTCCCAGTGTTCAGAAGAAACATTATGGCCATGAATGGCTGATACACTATTTGCTTCCATGGAAATCATTTCAAAGTCTCTGTCAGAAGAACTGAATGATTTCCTGCTTCGATGAAAGTCAGACCAGAAAGAATGTCCTTTCTCTTGGCCCCAAAAAGGACCTTGTCCAAATCTCCTCTGTTCTCCGCTTCGTCCAAAGGTATTGCTGAAGAAAGATCTGGTAAATGTGTTGCTTTGATGGTAGAATGGCATGTTCTCTGAGTTCTCAAAAGTGTCGGGACTCATTGCATTCTCCATGGGAGCATTTAAACTAACACGTTGGTAAACATTCTGTGAATGGTACGATTCATATCTCTTATTCTCCTGAAAACCCCTGGGATACACATACTTGTCAGCGGGATCAATTTCCATTGGTGATGGTGCCCTCAGGAACTCTTCCTGGTTCTCCCTGTCTCTAGAGGAATCTGATCTGTTCCATATGATGGATGATAAAGGAGTTCTCTTTGGACTCTGCTGGTGCCTTGGTGGTATAAACCCACTCTTGCTCTGAGTTGTGGCTGGAAAATGTAAGCTTCTTGCTGTGAAATGCCCTGTGGCTGGTAAGGCCGACCGTTGCCTGCTGTCAAAACACAGCGAAGTACTGCCAAAAGTATTCTTTTGCACATAATCTTCTTTAAAGACTCTGGGCTCCCTTGTCCTATACATATCATAAATTGTGCTTGTCCTAGGAGAAAAGGTTTTAAAACCTTCCCTAGGAGTTCCTGGTCTTAGGATGTCATAGATAGACATATTGGAAGTTTCATTATAGTGTTTTTTGTGCCTTTCTGTGATATTACCATGTCTGTTACCACTGGAATAAAAGTGACCGAACTGTGTTCTTGATCCATAGTTGAGGGGTGTTCTGGTATTCACTGAGCTTGCAGACTGTTCCTGAGCCAATTTGCTATCCAAGTCATCTAAAACTGAAAAGAGAATGTGAATCAACCTTTTTCTGTATGTTTTTACAGTTTAATAATAATTTGAGTTATTGAAGGCTCCTTTTCAAGAAACATAATCATTTATAATTTTATTTTTATCATATTATCATGTTATAACATTAATTTTGATTATATTTTTAAGATAGCCTGACTTTTATAAGACTATAGTGAAAATTTCTTTCCTACTTTTTCAAATCACTTTTTTTCAAAGTAAACCTTCCATTAACGCCGTAAGGAAATTGAACTATATTCTTCTAACAATGAATTTTAATCATGTTTTTTTTTAGTGCATCTAAAGTGTATTGAGTTTTTCTAAGATATGGACCAGTAATAAAATGGAATTAATAATGCAGACATTGAATAACTAGACAATTGTTAGTATTATTAAGCCTTGTCTTTCTGTTTCTTTCATGTCACTAGGTTGCTACAATAATTCCAGCTGTGTATACCTCCTGGGATCATAATAGAAATGAACCTCTGTAAGTAGCATATGATTTCTAGGTTGTACTGTTAAGAAAACAGTATTACCACTAAAAGCTTAGCACCTAATTTATGAACATACTTAGTTGGATATATAATATTATTAAATGATATGCCAATGGTAGATTTTTTTTTCTGGAAAAATTAATACCCATTAACACTCCTATAAAACAGCACTTTCTATGTGTCAGGCAGAGTCCTAAACGCTTAATATATTAACTCACTAAGTCGTCACACAAACTTAGAAGGTTGGTCCTATTACTATTCTCATTCTATAATGAGGAAACTGATGCAAGAAGAGATTAAGCAAATTCCTAAGATCACACAGCACTGGGATTTGAACCCAGACAGTCTGTTTCCTGAATCCATGCATACAACCACTGTACAATGCAACCTCTGTGCCATAAAAGCTCACTTTTGGGCCGGGCACGGTGGCTCATGCCTGTAATCCCAGCACTTTGGGAGGCCGAGGCGGGCGGATCACGAGGTCAGGAGATTGAGACCATCCTGGCTAACATGGTGAAACCCCGTCTCCACTAAAAATACAAAAAATTAGCCGGGCGTGGTGGCGGGCGCCTGTAGTCTCAGCTACTCGGGAGGCTGAGGCAGGAGAATGGCGTGAACCCGGGAGGCAGAGCTTGCAGTGAGCCAAGATGGCGCCACTGCACTCCAGCCTGGGCGAAAGAGCGAGACTCCGTCTCAAAAAAAAAAAAAAAAAACCAGAAAAAAAAACTCACTTTTCATATTTTGCTCTTTATGAACCATACAGATGATTTTACTGTGAGACGAGCTCATAGTTTTACAAAGACGTGAAGTTGCTGTTGTCAAATAATGATGACTTTTCTCTCGGTAGCAAAGTCAGGGAGTGGTGTCAAAGTCAGTGCCCAGGGGCCCCCTTACGATAACTGAAGACCTAGACCAAGCCCAGACCCAGGGCTCATGCTCTCTAGGACCACAGCCTCTGTGATCTTAGACAAGCCACAGCATCCTTTTGGTGACACAGTTGGCTTTTCTTTGAATTGTATCCATTTAATTGTACTTGACATGTTTTCCTCAATAAAAACCCATTAGATTTTGAATAGAATCATAATCTTTTGAGGTGTGTAGACTCTCTAAGACCCACTCTATAATAGATATAGTTTACTATATTCATGTTCAATAAATACAAATAAATTACAAATTTTATTTCAACTGTATAATGACAGGAAATGTAAGTGTCTGAGCACACATAAGTGAAATGTACATGCAACATGCCAATTAAGTTAGGGCAGATGCTAAAGGGATTTAAAAAAATCTGTTCTGGATTTTTCCCTATCCTATTTTATTTGCAAGTTGGTGTTATTAAGTTTGTACAACCAAAAGAAAAACTGATCTTGAACATTAAGGATATGTAATTAAGGAATTCTTTTAGGGAATTATCTGTGAATGTTTTAGTGAAAAATATTTATTTACCCCTAGGACCTGAAGTAATTTGTTCCCTATAGCCACAATAAAATAATCAAGCAATGCTGAAGTATAAGGTGGGGCAAAAAACAAAACAAAACAACTGCATAATGAATAAAAATCTATCTTTAAAACAAATTATAATGAAAATCTCTTTGATACCCATTCTCCCTTTCAAGCTGTTTATGTTTT
Organism: Homo sapiens; assembly: GCF_000001405.40. Lineage (NCBI taxonomy): Eukaryota > Metazoa > Chordata > Mammalia > Primates > Hominidae > Homo > Homo sapiens. Next base: position 108,517,006 of record NC_000011.10, read on the forward strand.
TCTTTCCCCTTAAAGTCTTGGTTGACTACAAGAGCAGAATGTATTTAGAACAGAAAATACAGAAAAGTATAACAATATAAGTAAAATCGCCAGGAATTCTACCTAGAGGTAACCATTCTTAACATCCCCATGACAAGATTTTAAATTAAAGCCACTTAGAATCCCAGATTAACAATGCTGTTTACTCATCACTCCTGACATCAGAAAAATTCCTGTTCTGCTTCTCTACATTAGTTTCAGAAAGGCCACATTATTATTATTTTTTCATTATTTTTTCATTCCATAAACAGTAGCTCTCCTCTTTCAACAAAACCTTCATTTTGGAACAAAGATTTTCCTCTGTTCTCTGCCAGGAAGCATCTTACTGAAGAAGGCCCCTACGTTGACTGTCCAGCTGACTGTCTCTACCCGACTGCTGTCCCACACAATATGGGCCAGGCGATGGTATTGCCTTTGCAAACTAAATGAAGTTCCTCAAAGTGAAGCTGGTGGCGACTTCAGAGTTAACTTTTCAAATGGCCGGGCTTATATAGAATAACCTTTGTAAAAGTAAACTATGATCATATAATAAGATACATGTGCATTTGGAACGCCACTGCTTTTGGAACCTGTCTCAGTTTTTATCATCATACAAGGTTAATTGTCTAATGTCAATTAGATTTTATCACAGTGCATTTGGGTCCTAATCTGGAACAATAAAAGTCTATTAAACAGCAAACTTTGTAGATGTATTTCCTAAAGATGTATTTCCTTTTTACCTGAGGTTAATTTTTTTTTTCTGCTTGCTCTGTCACCCAGGCTGGAGTGCAGTGGCATGATCTCGGCTCATTGCAACCTCCGCCTCCCAGGTTCAAGCACTTCTCCTGCCTCAGCCTCCCAAGTAGCTGAGATTACAGGTGCGTGCCACCATGCCTAGCTAATTTTTGTATTTTCAGTAGAGATGGGGTCTCAAACTCCTGACCCCTAAGGTTAAATATTAAACATTATTACTACTCCATATATTTATCAGTCCATGATTCAAGAATATTTGCTTAGATTATATTTAATCATAAGATTCTTAATACTTGTGTTAATAACATATCAGCATCCTCTTCAAATAAGCTAAACATGAGGATGTAAAAAATAAAGTACAGTGTTTCATATGTTTTGAGTAGTTTGATACAAACTAGTTATTGTTTACTTCCTTTAGTTATCAGTAGTTGCAAAGGCAATTTAATGCATGAACTTACCTTGGAAAAACTCATTCTCCAGCAGTGAAGCATCCCACGGTGGAGGCATGCCACTCTCCTCCCTCATGACTGCTGGCTTTGGGACAAATGTACTGTCAACTAGATGATTTTCCAGAGGTGAATTGTATATTTTTGCCTGCTAATTTTAAAGCAGAGAACACAATATTATTTCTGAGCCTTCACCAGTCAAAATACTCACACGCTCCCACCAAACTGTCCCAAGCTTAAAAGTATTAGTCTAAGGACTGCAAATCCATTTTTCTAATATTTATTTCTCAATTTATAATGTGTTGTTTTTGCCATTTGTAACTGACCTGCAACTTCTCTATACCTACATTAATTATTTCAGTGATAAGCCTTCAGGCAAGGTACTGAGCCTCTCTCTGCCAAGTTTCCTACGAACTTACACAGCACTGTCAGAGGCGTTTGAATCAGGGCAACTCCATCTCGAATAGGGGCTGGGTAAAATAAGGCTGAGACCTACTGGGCTGCATTCCCAGCCGGTTAAGGCATTCTAAGTCACAGGATGAGACTGGAGGTCGGCACGAGGTACAGGTCATAAAGATCTTGCTGATAAAACACGTTGCACTAACGAAGCCGGCTAAAACCCACCAATACCAAGATGGCAACAAGACTGACCTCTCTGGTCGTCCTAACTGCTACACTCCTGCCAGCACCATGACAGTTTCAAATGGCATGGCAACATCAGGAAGTTACTCTATATGGGCTAAAAAGGGGAGGCATGAATAACCCACCCCTTGTTTAGCATAATACCATCAAAAAATAATCATAAAAATGGGCAACCAGCAACCCTTGGGGCTGCTCTATGAAGTAGCCATTCTTTTATTCCTTTACTTTCTTAATAAACTTGCTTTCACTTTACGGACTCGCCCTGAATTCTTTCTTGTGCGAGATCCAAGAACCCTCTCTTGGGGTCTGGATCCAGTATTACTTTTCTGGTAATATCTTCCTGGCGACCACGGAAGGGCCAATACTAAGGAAACCTTCCAACCAAAGGCTAACTTTGGGTAAGTGGTGGGGTGTGGTAACAGCATTACACAGATCTTAGTGGGGGTTCCTTGCAGAGAGGAAAGAAATCGACCCCTCTTGAGTTTGGAGTGCTGTCTCCATGGCTCCAATGGCTTGGATTTTGGATTTCCTAACGTTGTACCTATTTTTTCAAGACCCTGTTAGCTAGAACTCGTAGTGGACCTTAAGATTTGTGAACTTGGCCGCGTGCAGTGGCGCACACCTGTAATCCCCGCACTTTGAGAGGCTGAGGTAGGCAGATCACTTGAGGCCAGGAGTTCGAAACCAGCCTGGCCAAAATGGTGAAACCACTGTCTCTACTAAAAATACAAAAATTAGCTGGGTGTGGTGGCGAGTGCCTGTAATCCCAGCTACTCCAGAGGCTGGGCCAGGAGAATAGCTTGAACTCGGAAGGCGGAAGTTGTAGTGAGCTAAAATCATGCCACTGCACACCAGCCTGGGCGACAGAGTGAGACTCTGTCTTGGAAAAAAAGAAAAAAAGAAAAAAAAACCCACAAAAAACCAAAAATACAAAAATTAGCTGGACATGGTGGCAGATGTCTGTAATCCCAGCTACCTGGGAGGGCTGAGGCAGGAGAATCGCTTGAACCCGGGAGGCGGAGGTTGTAGTGAGCTAAGATCGTGCCACTGCACTCCAGGCTGGGAGACAGAGGGAGACTCTGTCTCAAAAAAAAAAAAAAAAAAAAAAAAAAATTGCGAACCTGAGGATTTAGGGGGAAAAATGTGTTTCTATTAGAGGTCATCTAGAATAGGGGTCCCTGACCCCTGGGCCACAGACCGGTACTGGTCTGTGGTATGTTAGAAATCAGGCTGCACAGTGTGGGGTAAAGGGCGAGCATTACCGCCTGAGCTCCGCCTCCAGTCAGATCAGCCCTGGGATTAGGCGTTAGATTCTCACAGGATTGCGAACCCTATTGTGAACTGCACATGCGAGGGATCTAGGTTGTGCTTTCCTTATGAGAATCCAACTAATGCCTGATGATCAGAGGTGGAACAGTTTCATTCCCAAACCATCCACCACCACTTTCTGTGGAAAAGTTCTTTTCCACGAAGTGGGTCCCTGGTGCCAAAAACGGTGGGGACTGCTGATCTAGAATGGTAGAACCCCTCAGATGCCCATAATAAGCTGATCTGGTAGTTCTGCAACAAAGGCACTCAAAAGTTTGATTGTATAAATAATAAATGGCTTTAAAAAAACCTATTGCTAGTTTTTCAATGAAAGGATTTAGGAGAATGATATAGAACTAAATTTGTTTTCCTTTATTATTGTTTTATTTATTCATTTATTTATTTATTTATTTTGAGGCGGAGTCTCCCTCTGTGGCCCAGGCTGGAGTGCAGTGGCGCGATCTGGGCTCTGCACCATCCACCTCCCTGGCTCAAGCAATTCCCCTGCCTCAGCCTCCCGAGTAGCTGGGATTACAGGCGCACGCCACCATGCCTGGCTAATTTTTTTGTATTTTTAGTAGAGATGGGGTTCCACCCTATTGGCCAGACAGGTCTTGAACTCCTGACCTCAGGCAATCCTCCTGCCTCAGCCCCCCAAAGTGCTGGGATTACAGGCATGAGCCACCTCGCCCAGCTATTATTATTATCTTTGTTTACTAACAAATGTTTATCTTTATTTCATAAAATCTAATCACTGCCCTACTTTCAAGCTTTTGTCTTCATAACCTTGCAAACATTATCCACCCCATGCCTTCACTTTCTTGTGCCAAAACTCCATTTGCGTTTCCTCTGTCAAACTGGCTCTGTCACTCATGACTCCACTTTAGCTCATCCTGCACTCATCCACTTCCCTTTCCAGTCTTTATTTTCAGCTCACTCTGCTACCCAGTCCTTGCCTCTTGAATCCCTCTCCCCACCTCAAAATTTCCCTTTCTATTTGACCTTCACCACTATGTTTTGTCTCATCTTTCATGCCTAAGACCACATGTCGATCCTTTCCAAAGCTCCAACTTCTTAATTTCTCCATAACAGGTCTGTCTGATTCCACGGCGCTGGTTCTCTTAACCCCTACATTCCTTACGACCTTGTGTTTTCACTCCTGCTTGTTTTCTTTCTCAAGGTCTAGGTCAGTTATTTCCTACAGAAACCTGCCCAAATTTCATTGACCTATGGTTTTCAGTTCTATGAGCAAGCCACAATTGACTACTCACAAAGGAGATTTATTAATACGGAAGGAGTGCTCCCATGATAACTTATTGGTCACTGAATATGATTTAGCATACTAATATAAAATTCGGAAGTAAACAAATGTTAAAAGCAAAACACAACTATAATGGGATACTGATTAGAGGTAATAAAACCTCAAACTAATCATTTGAGAAATCAGATCAGTTAAAGTTAATTCTTTTTACCCTACATCAAAGTGTTCCCTTTTGTCTGTCCAACTCAGAGGTTACCCTACATCAATAATTGTTAGTATTAGTGATAATAACAATTAGTTACAGATCTTATAAGTCCTTTCTTCTCAAATCTGCAATTTTGGTAGTTGGTGCAAAGTAGATATATCTGATTAAGAGAACAGTAGGCATAATTCTCTCTCGACCATTTAACACCAAACAATCTTTTCTCTATGTATGTAGACCAGTACATTTCTTGTGGCCCCCAGGATCACATTCCTTTGTAATGATAATATACAGTGAAATGAAAAGTACATGAACAGAGGGGTCACGTGAAGAGATGACCCTCTCTAGATTGGGAAGAATCACTACCCTCTAGAGACCCTGAGTATAATTTCCTCTGGTTTTATTTCTGCCCAGACCCTCTACTTCAAGACCTATCCTACTCAACGTGTTCAGGATGCTTTCAACACACAGAGATGTAAATTATATACCTAGCAAGAGAAAATACCGAGGTTTCATTTACACTCAACTGTAACTCTGCAAGGGTGAGGTTAGTGATTTTTTTTTTTTTTAAAAAAGGAACTGTTAGTCAATAGTAGGTATCAGACCTAAAGATTGAAAATTATCACTACCCTATAGACTTCTAATTTTTATTTAAGCTATGTGTGAGATATTATTATTATTGTTGTTAGCAGCAGCAACTAAACATTGATTATTCTAGGCAATGTGTTAAGGGCTTTATGTGGGTTACTTTAGTTCATTTAGTTTTAACTACCCTATGGAGTTGGTACTCTTATTATCCCTACTTTGAGAAAACTGAGGTTTCAAGAGGTCAGGTCATTTGCGTTTGGTCACACTGGTGGAGGGAGGAGTTTCATTTCCAGTTTGTCAGATTCCAGAGCCAATGCTGAAATACCTCATTCTACTCATGATCAAGTTTTGCAGCTCTTGGCTTATTAGTGCATTAAATCCTTGTAGCAGGCATTCTCTGAAGCCAAACACAGGTCATAGAGCTTCTGGGAAGCACCTGAAGTTTCTTGTGACCTAGAAGAGAAGTAAATCTCTCCAGGACCCAGAGCAGACACTGACTGATCCTAATTAGGGCTCAGTTTTGGACTCAGAAGCCCCTCAAAATAATGCTCCGTGCTTTGGAGTTGCCATAAAAGGTGAAGCCTATTTCCCAGCCCTGGCCTAGAGGATAAGGATGTTCAAACACCTTTTTTGCAGCACAATTGTGTCAAAATCCTTTCCAATTTTTTTTTTTTTAAGAGACAGGGACTTGCTCCATCACCCAGGCTGGAGTGCAGTGGTGCAATCACAGCTCACTGTAACCCCGAACTACTGGCTCAAGCAATCCTCCCACCTCAGCCTCTTGAGTAACTGGGGCTATAGATGTGTGCCACCATGCCTAATTTTTTAATTTTTTGTAGAAATGGGTTTGCTATGTTGCCCAGGCTGGTCTCAAACTCCTGGGTGCAAGCAACCCTTTCACCTTGGCATCCTAAAGTGCTGGGATTACAGGCATGAACCACCACGCCCAGCCTCCAACTTTCTTGTATTTGAACAAAATTACTCATTTATTTTTAATATACTTAAAAATATCCTCTCTTACTGAATCCTTATAACAAATTTGTGAATTAAGTAGGAATTATCATTCCCATTTTTTCAGATGAGGAAACTGTATCTCATGCAAGTGCCTTACTGAAGTCACATGAATAATCTATATGGTGGCACTGGCTACTCATACTCATATGATCTGATCCCAAACCCTCTTCTTTCCATTATTTTTTTTTACCGTTATTTCACTAATGTACATATCTTCAGTTAGATGGTAAACTCTCTGAAGAAAGGAAACTTGTCTTAGACATTCCATGCCTTTCATTGTATATGGCATGACACTTTGCACATAGTTATGAATTGATTTATGATATACCAAGGTGGAAAACTAACTATATAAGGCTGTGTGTGGTGGCTCATGTCTGTAATCTCAGCATTTTGGGAGGCCAAGGCGGGCAGATTGCTTGAGCTCCAGAGTTCAAGACCAGCCTGGGCAACATGGTGAAGCCCTGTCTCTACCAAAAATACAAAAACTTAGCAGGCTTGATGGAACATGTCTGTAGTCTCAGCTACTTGGGAGGCTGAGGTGGGAGGATCGCTTAAGCCCTGGGGGCAGATGTTGCAGCAAGCAAAGATTGTGCCACTGCACTCCAGCCTGGGTGACAGAGTGAGACTCCATCTCAAAAAATAGAAAACTAATTATATAAGATTACTAGTATATATTATTAACAGACATTGAGACACTGAAGATTTGTAATATTAGGATTCAGAAAAGCACTTTGGAGGCAGGACAGTATAGTGGTTAAGCACATGAGCTCTACATAGGTTCCAATCCTGGCTCTGCCCATTAATATTTACATGACTTTGGGATTACTAATATATATTATTACAGAAATTGAGACACTGAAGATTTGTAATATTAGGACTCAGAAAAGCATGTTGGAGGCAGGACAGTGTAGTGGTTAAGCACATGAGCTCTACATAGGTTCCAATCCTGGCTCTGCCCATTAATATTTATATGACTTTGGGCAAGTTATCTAATCTCTTTGTACCTTAGTTTCTTTCTTGGTAAAAGGAAAATAACAGCAACAATAACAATACCCATTGCCTAGGGTTGCTGTAAGAATTAGGTGAATTAATATTAATAGTTGTGATGCATTTAGAATGATGTCTAGCACTTAGTAATCCTTATTGTTGCTGCTACTATTCTTTTGTGGTTATAGAGAATTTCCTGGAAGACTCCTGTTGATGCTGGTAGCCAAATGAGGTAGAAAAGTATCCCACAGGATGAGAGGCCATTGCAAAATGCTGGCTTTCAGGATCTCAGTTACATGGTACATAAAATAGGCTGAAGAAAATGAGGTCTTTTACACAACTCCAATTCACTCCACTGATACTGTCTGTGATTCTGACCTGACTAGACAAACAAACCTCTGTCATAGAGTAGCCTTAGAGTACTTGAGAACTTCCTAGGGCAGCCAAACCTGTAGAACAGCTGTCAGAGCTGAAGCCTAAACTCACTGATGTTATCAAATGCCTTGGTAAAATCAACAAATTAAATTTTCAAGGTGTTCCTGAATTTGTTCCATGTCTGTTCTCCTGCACAGGTCATATCCACCAATGTAGCTGCAACTTAAAACCACTCATTCATTTCTTCTTTCAATTACTGAGTGTTCAGTTTGTGCCAGGCAGTGGGGATACACAGCCTGATATGGTTCGGTTGTGTCCCCAACCAAATCTCATCTTGAACTGTAGCTCCTATAATTCCCACGTGTTGTGGGAGGGACCCAGTGGGCGATGACTGAATCACGGGGGCGGTTTCCCCCATACTGTTCTCGTGGTAGTGAATAAGTCTCATGAGATCTGATGGTTTTATAAGAGGTTTTCCCTTTAGCTTGGCTCTCATTCTCTCTTGCTTGCCACCATGTAAGATGTGACTTTCACCTTCCGCCATGATTGTGAGGCCTCCCCAGCCACATGGGACTGTGAGTCCATTAAGCCCCTTTTTCTTTAAATTACCCAGTCTTGGGTATCTCTTTATCAGCAGCATGAAAACAAACTAATACACAGGCCCTGCCTGAGGAGCCCACACCAATCTGGACAAAAAGCCCAGTGTAAGAAGTGCCACATTGGAGGTGTGTTCCTAAGGGTACAGAGCTGGCAGTATCACTGGACAGTAGCCAGAGTTTGTTCAGAGATAAGGAGTAGTCAAGTGGCCCAGGCATGCTCCTAAACATCCTGCAATACGCAGGAGTCCAAAATGTCAATGGTGCTGAGATTGAGAGAAACCCTGGGCTAGATGATCTCTAAGTGTTTCTCTAGCTCTAAAATTTCTATGTTTTCTGAAATTTCTATGTGTCTTTTGCTTCTTTTAAGCTTATGCAAATGTTTAAGTAGCAGCTTCCTTCTTTTTTAAGTGGAAGATCATCTAATAATATAGTACAACTTCCCATGAAATAGTGGAATCTGCTTGTACCATTCCTGCCTGGCTGCCAACCAAGTGATGAGAAGTTCATCACCTCAAATCTTGGGGAGAATCGCTATGGCATCCATGGTCAATTTCCAGCTCTCTGTGGGGTTGAGGGGATAGAACTTCCTTGAATAAGTAAGAGAAATCTACACGTCATGCAGAAGTCTTATTTTAGATATTACTTTAAAAATTTAGAGATAGTGCTTTCATTATTTTTTTCTTTCTCTCTCTCCTTTTTTAAATTTTTCTTTTTCTTTTCTTTTTTTTTTTTTTGAGACAGGATATCTCTCTGTTGCCCAGGCTGTAGTACAGTGATGCAATCGTAGCTCACTGCAGCCTCCAACTCCTGGGCTCAAGTGATCCTTCCACCTCAGCTTCCTGATTAGCTGGTACTACAAGTGTGTGCCACCACACCTGTCTAATTAAAAAAAATTTTTTTTTTTTGTAGAGACAGGGTCTCACTATGTTGCCCAAGCTGGTCTCAAACTCCTGGCCTCAATCAATCCTCCCACCTTGGCCTCCCAAAGTGTTGAGATTATAGGCATGAACCACTCTTCCCAGCCTCTCTCTTACTTTTCATAATAGCTATTCATGGGGAGCAACAGTCACTGGGTTCCATTTCCCTTATTTGCCCAGCTCTTGCCTTTTAGACTGACATGCTCCAAGCAGTGAAATGGTTTCGTGCAAGTGGGAATCAGGACTGTCAAAGTAAGATGTCTATTAATCCCTAGACTGGATTTTCAAATCCCCAAAACTTCAAATTAGCTCCACTTCTTTCAGGCATTTGCCTTTCTTTTTACATTCCTTTTCTGCCTCAGACCCCGTGGCTCTCAAACGGCAGAGGATGGTCAGTCTGAATACTTCCCCTAGGAAAACCGAGAGTACAGAAGCATCCTGGAGCAGGGCTCTGTCCTCTCAGAGGGCAAAGCTGGATGGGGAGGTCATGCCACTTCAGTCCACTGCTTAGTTAAAGCAGAGTCTCCGCAGGTGGCGAGCAACTGGGGTCCATGTGCAAACAGCACATCAGAGCTGAGGAGCTGCTGGCATTACTGACTTCATGCTGTGGAGTTCCAAAAACCCAGGCTTTCTAATCCTCAGTCTGCTATTTACCAGGGTGACCTTGAGCATGATCTTTAACTCGTTAAACCTCACTTTCTTCATCTTTAAATTGGGGAGAATAATAGTACCTCTTTTATAGAGTTTCTCTGGGGATTAAACGAAATGATCTGTGTCAAGTGCCTGGAGGACAGTAAGTTCTCCATTAGAGTGTAGCAATTTTTAGTGCTGGTGTCATGGTTGGGGCTGAGGCATATATAGGAGAAAAATAGGGCTCAGTGTTATCACCCAGAAAGAAGTAGTGTAAAGAACCTCTGTTTCCAGTTGGGCATGGTGACTCACGCCTGTAATCCCAGCACTTTGGGAAGCTGAGGCGGGAGGATCTCTTGAGGCCAGGAGTTCAAAACCAGCCTGGCCAATATGGTGAAACCCTGTGTCTACTAAAAATATAAAAATTAGCTGGGTGTGGTGGTGAGGGCCTGCAATCCCAGCTAATTGGGAGGTTAAAGCAGGGGAATCGCTTGAACTCTGGAGGCAGAGGTTGCAGTGAGCCAAGATCATACCACTGTACTCCAGCCTGGGTGACAGAGTGAGAAACTGTCTCAAAAAAAAAGAACCTCTGTTTATATGCACTCCTCCTCACCAGAATTTTACCTCATGCTTTTTGCAAAGAGAGAGGGAGGGAGAGAGAGAGAGAGAGAGAAAGAAAAAGGGAGGACCCAGTACTAAGGCTTCGATCCACTGATAAATATACTTGCTCTCCTCCTGCCCGCTTTCAAAACCTTCCTAAAGGTCCCTTCCAAAACTCTCCATTTCTTTTATCTCCAAACCATACGAGTTACACAGGAAGACACAGGAATGTGTAGATCAAAGTTATGACCATGAAAAAGCAGAAACAGAACACTTAAGCTTCTTTATCTTGTCAGCATCCGAACATGGTGACAAATTTAAATTTTAGCCTCTGAGGAAGCATCTCGCTGGGTCAACCCTCATGCGAACTTTTTCCTGCATCTCACCTATGAGAGGCTTCCTCTTTGAGTACAAATGATAACCACACTCAGAAAGGATCTGGTGCAAACCCATCCTGGCTGGCAAACGTGGCTGTGGCTGCCTCTGGCCGCCTCCTCTGCCCAACACCTCAGGGCTGTACAGGGGCAACACGTGGCAAAATATCAGAGATGCCACTGATGGCATAAGTGGAAACATGATGGCCTCACTCCTTCCTGGCAGAGAATTCCAGTATCAAAGTCAACTGGAAGCCAAATATAATTGGGAAAATTTGAACTCTTAGGGAGAAATCCAAGCTTCTAAAATAAATTTAAAACTGAGCCGAGGGGAATACTACTGAAATAGGTAGCCACCCTGGGATTACATAAATTCTGAATTTCTTAGAGTAACCTGTAGTTATCTGGTTACTTACCACAGCAGCTCCCCTCACAGGCATAGGAGGTCCTGCATGGCCATCACATCTGTGGAAATAATTTGAAATGATTTCTTTGAAGAAGAGCCTAACTTTTACCAGGCGGAAAAATCAACAGCACATTTGCCATAAGATTTTGACACCTTGAGAAGATCTATTTCTAATTCACTGTAGAAAGATGTTTCTTCGTTAGTGCATTATTGAAAAAAATTAGAAACTGTTTCCTATGATTACCCAGAATCAATACTTTACATCTTTGTCCCTCAGGTAGCCAAGAAAAAATTACATATTAGTGGATTTGCATTTGAGCACAACATGACACATAAAATATAATAGCTATGTTTGTTGCACTGTTTATTCTGTGTCAGGCCTGATCTTTGTGCGTGTTAATTCATTTAGATACATCACTCTCCTGAGATGGATATTATGGCTACTCCCATTTTACGGATGAGAAGATGGAGGTACAGAGAAGTCAGAATACATAGTTAGTTGCTGAGCTAGGAGTTGGGCAAAGTCTGTCTGGATCTAGAGCCCTCTTTCTTTTCTTTTTTTTCTTTCCCTTTTTTTTTTTTTTTTTTTTTTTGAGATGGAGTTTTGCTCTTTGTCGCCCAGGCTGGAGTGCAGTGGCATAATCTCGGCTCACTGCAACCTCCGCCTCCTGGGTTCAAGCAATTCTCCTGCCTCAGCCTCCCGAATGGCTGGGATTACAGGCGCCTGCCACCATGCCTGGCTAATTTTTGTATTTTTAGTAGAGATGGGTTTTCATCATGTTGACCAGGCTGGTCTCGAACTCCTGACCTCAGGTGATCTGCCTGCCTCGGCCTCCTAAAGTGCTGGGATTACAGGTGTGAGCCGTGGTGCCTGGCCAGAGCCCTCTTTCTTAACCAGTAGAGCATGCTGACTTTTTCTCCTAATAGGAAACAAATTTTCTGTTTCTTTGCATTTTTATTTTAAAGAGCAATTAAGTAACGACCAGATTTAACAGTACATAATTTAAAGTAAAAAAAAAAAGAGAGAAAAAAACCACTACAACAACAAAGATTGCTTTAGGATGCTGACTTCTATAAAGATGGCTGACTTACTAGGAAACCATTTTGGAAGTGAACAAGTATTCTTTTACTATTTGTGTTGCTTTCTCAGATTCAACGAGAAGGTGACAAATTTAAGGCCTAGGCCCAGAATTGAGATAAATTTTAATCTTTTATTTATTTATTTGAGACAGGATCTCACTCTGACACCCAGGCTGGAGTGTAGTGGTATGATCTCAGTACACTGTGGCCTCGACCTCCTGGGCTCAGGTCATCCTCCTACCTCAGCCTCTCAAAGTGCTGTGATTACAGGCATGAGCCACTGCGTCTGGCATAATCTTTTAAATCTACAGTCTCATGCCAAGGGGTTCTCTGTCTGAATTCATGATTTAATAGACTGTCCAGGTGTGGTGGCTCCTGCCTATAATCCCAGCACTTTGGGAGGCCGAGGTGGGTGGATCACTTGAGGCCAGGAGTTCGAGACCAGCCTGACCAACATGGTGAAACCGTGTCTCTACTAAAAATACAAAATTAGCCAGGTGCAGTGGCAGGTGCCTGTAATCCTAGCTACAAAGGAGGCTGAGGCAGGAGAATTGCTTGAACCTGGGAGGCAGAGGTTGCAGTGAGCTGAGATCACACCATTGCACTCCAGCCTGGGTGAAAAGAGCAAAACTCTGTCTCAAAAAAAAAAAAAAAAGATTTAATAGACCATAATGACTGAGAGCTCTGTATGAAATCAGGCCCTTTCCTCCACTGACAGAACAGTAATGGGGATCAAGAGCTAAAGAAACTGGGTCTCTAGATCAGATCAATTAAAAGTGGCAAGGCACAGTTGTCCATTCAAACTTCCAGCAGCTTCATGGTTCATAAAAGTTGAACATAAAACCTGGGAGACCAAATACTCTTATACCCTTAAGATAACCACATGTATTTTATAGTTTAGCTCAGATTTTAGCAGAAATTGAAATGAAAACTATGGATTTTTCCATATAACTCTGAAATACTGGATCTACTAATAATATCTAGGAGTTAAATACTGCTTTTATTTTTATTCTTCTTTTCCATACACATTTATTGAGCCTGTTTTCCTCCTACACTCTACATACTATGTTGAGCTCTTTGGAGGAAACAAATATGACTCAGATAGGGACCCTGTTCTCTGAGAGCTTTTAGGAAACAGCAGATATGTAAAGAGCCAAAACCTAAGTCAAGACTTGATAAGGACGATGAAGAGGTATAAGTAAAATGCATGGGAAATGCATAGGGGCCAGCAAGCACTTCCTGGGACAAACAGGGAAGGCAATAGGAAGATGGCAGTGGAAGTGGTACAAGAGGCTAAAGAATAGCCTGAGCAAAAGCTTGGGCACAGCAAGGGAGGCCGGGGACTGGCAAGTAATCCAATATGCCTGGAGCCAGGACTACATGCCAGACTGTGAAGGTTCTTTCTGGAATCCTGCTGGGCTACAGCCCTCATGGTGCATCCCCACAGTCCGACACTCACCAGCTCACCAGGTACCCCTTCTGATTTGGAGTGATGGCAGCAGGAGCAGGTTTCTGAGAATGGCAGGTGTGTGGGAGATGCAGCTAAAGGGCCAGAGGGTGCCTGGAGCACAGCTGGGATGCTACCACCAAGCGTGAGGGCGTGCCGCTAGTGGAAGGACACATAATTGCCTAAGGGTGCCATGGTTGTGTGTGCTCCTGTGGACTTGGGTAGAAGAGTATAGGACTCAGCAGTTTTGGGGGCCCAGAGTCTCTGCACCCACTCCCAGGCCTTCCCACAAGTTAATTTATGTTTCTCATGTGAAGAGTTTCCACTTAGAGAGTGAATAAAAGCAACAGTGGTATCATGAAAACTATGCTGGTAAAAGGCCCCTGGACTTGGTCATTTCAAGGGATACTAAGTTACCTCATCTTTTGCATTTACCCACAAGTTCTATTGATGCTGTATCTGAGAGATTTCACATATATCCCCACTTCACCACCTCCAGTCATTCTGCCTGACAGTCAACTTTCACAATTTCTCTTCTGGACTCCTCTCCATCCTTCACATCACCAATAGAAAGATATGTCTAAAATGCAAATTTGATCTTATCAACTTCCTGCCTAAAAATCTTACAATAAGGTGTTATCCAAAATCTTAACATGAGGCCCGGCGCAGTGGCTCACGCCTGTAATCCCAGCTGAGGTGGGCAGATCATTTGAGGTCAGGTGTTTGAGACCAGCCTGGCCAATATGGTGAAACTCTGTCTCTACTAAAAATACAAAAAATTAAGAAAATTTTTAAAAATCAAAATCTTAATATGACATAAGGCTTTTCTTTAATCTGGCAAACTTCCCTGGATAATCCAGAACCCTTTAAGTCTCATCTGCTCACATTCCACTCTTCCACAGGTACTCTAGACTTGTCAAATTAATTCCACCTCCATTAAATATTCTCTCATTTCCATACCTTTATAGATACCATTCAGAAATTCTCACTCAATAGAGTAGGATGGGGCTCAAGAATATCCTTTTCTAACTGGAACCCTGGGTGATTTCCCCCCAAGTGTTGGTGGGGCACACTTTACCCACTGAGGAGGACCTCCACCTGGATGGCCACAGGCCATTGAGATCCTACTTGTCCAAAACGGAATCTATGTCCTCCTTCCCTCGCAGTCCTTCCTATCCACCTAATCAACAAATCCTGTTGATTCAAACTCAGAAATCCCTCTCAAACCCATCCACATCTCTACATCTCCCTGCATTTACCCTAGTTAAGACATTTATCATCTTTTGGCTTTTTTGCTGTAATAGCCTCTTAACTATCTTCTGTGTCCAAGTTTTTGTCCCAATCCAATCAATCCTTTATACTTTATTCAGAGTGATCAATATAAACTGAATCACGCCACTTCCCTGCAGTCTTCCATTTGTTCTCAGGTGAAAGTTGAAACTTTTTTCTGCATTCATAAAGCCCTGTATGATCTAGTTCCTACATACTTTCCAGCCTCATAAGTCCTAGATCCCTTCTGCCATAGAGAATTTTTTTTTTTTTTGAGACAGGGTCTTGCCTAGTTGCCCAGGCTGGAGTAGAGTGGCATGATCATGGCTCACTGCAGCCTCTACTTCCTGGGATCTAGCAATCCTCCTACCTAAGCCTCCTGAGTAGCTAGGACTACTGGTGTGCACCACCACACTGGATATATATATATATATATATATATATATTTTTTTTTTTTTTTTTTTTTTTTTTTTTGTAGAGATGGGGTTTCACTACGTTGGCCAGGCTGGTCTTGAACTCCTGCGCTCAAGTGATCTGCCTGCCTTGACCTCCTAAAGTGTTGGGATTACAGGCGTGAGCCATCATGCTTGATCTGGGATTTTTACTTGTAACCCAATGACACAGGACTGTAATGAAACTATTAATAGATAATGATCAACCTCATCATTTGGCCAGTTTCTCTTGAAGCAAGGCTAGCCAATAAAAACTTTGTATGACCATTTAAACAAAACGAAACGAAAAACAAAAACAAACAAAGCTTCCTTCACTCAGACCATCCTCTCTGCCGATGAAAGCCCAGCCTGCCATAGAAAATCAGATAGGCCTCTGAGCCTATGCACATTTTGTTGTTTTGCCTAAAACACTTTTCTACCATCTCTTTGCCTGGATGACTATCTCATACTTGAAGAATCACTAGAAATGTCACTTTCTCCGGGAGCCCTACCTGGACTTTGTCTGTATGTGCTCCCGCAGCGTATGGAGTTTCCCCATCTTAGCATTGTTCTTGTGTGTTTCTCTACTTCCTTCTTGTTGTCCTCACAAGAGTACAGCCTGGGAATGCAAGCCCTGTTTTGTCCCGCAGTGCTGCACATGGTATTCTTCAGGCAGTTTTGCTGAATAAATTAATGAATGCATTCATTCTTACCTGTACGACTTCTGCTCTTCCTCAGATTCTTCATGATCATCTATCTACCTAGTTTCCCCAGTCAGAGTGGAAATTTCATCTCTACTTCTTTCTCTTCCTTACCCACCACATTCATTTGTTAGGTTCTCATGAGTCTACATTCTATTTTTTTTTTTGGAGATGGAGTCTTGCTCTGTCATTCAGGCTGGAGTGCAGTGGTGCGATCTCAGCTCACTGCAACCTCTGCCTCCCGGGTTCGAGTGATTCTCCTGCCTCAGCCTCCCAAGTATCAGGGATTACAGGCACCTGCCACCACACCTGGCTAATTTTTCTAATTTTTAGTAGAGACAGGGTTTCACCATGTTGGCCAGACTAGTCTCGAACTTCTGACCTCGTGATCCACCTGCCTCGGCTTCCCAAAGTGCTGGGATTACAGGCGTGAGCCACCTCGCCCGGCCTACATTCTAAATCTTGCACAAATCTGCCCCTTTTTTTGTTTTCCTTCTTGCCTCTACCTTAGTTTAGGCCACCATTATCTCAGCAATCTCTACTTGGTCTCCCTGACCCTAATTTTGCCCCCTCAAATCTATTCTTTGCACTACAGCTAGAGGAAAGTTTCTCAGTCTCTACACTGTTGACGTTTCTTTGTCGTGGTGATCTGTTGTGAGCATTGTAGGATGTTTAGCAGCACCCCTGGCCTCTACCCACTGGATCCCAATTGCACCCTCCCCTCTTCAGTTGTGGAAACCAAAAATGTTTTCTTTTTATTGAGATAGGGTCTTGCTCTGTTGCCCAGGCTGGAGTGCAGTGGCACAATCACAGCTCACTGAAGCTTGACCTTCTGGGCTTAAGCAATCCTCCTGCCTCAGCCTCCTAAGTAGCTAGTACTACAAGTGTGTACCACCATGCCTGGCTAATTTTTTAATGTTTTGTAGAGGTGCAGCCTGACTATGTTGACCAGGCTAATTTCAAACTCTTGGCCTCAAGTGAGTCTCCCGCCTCAGCCTCCCAAAGTGTTGAGATTACAGGCGGCCACCACATCTGACCCAAAAATGTTTTCAAATGTTGCCAAATGTCCTTTGGGTAACAAAATCACCGTTGGTTGAAAACCATTGAGGTACAGTAATCTCTCTAAAATGAAGACCCAATTATGTCACTTCTCTGTTTAAAAATCATCAATGGATGCATGTACACACATGGAAATATGCCAAAGGGTAGTGTTTGTCCAGATGAACTGGCTTTGGGTGATTTTATCTGTCATGTGTATAAAACAAGGAGAAGAGTGGTATTATTTTAAAAGTATTAATGGTTCCCCACTGTCTACAGGAATGAGTCCAAGCTCCTTAGTATGGCATTGCTCATATAAGGCCCGTGTGTTGTGGCCTCTGCCAACCTCTCCTGCCCCATCCCTTAACAGCCCTCACCTTGTACTGGGTCATTGAACCTCAGTGACCTAGATGAATTCCTGCCTTCTCCACTCTCTGCACCTTGGTTTATGTCATTTCTTTTGCTGAGTGCAGCGTCTGGATTCTTAATTGCCTGGCTTAGTCTTATTTGTTTTTCAAAAATTAGCTCTCTTCTTCCAGGAAGGGATCTTGATCCTCTAGTCTGAGTTAAGTGGTTCTACATGTTTTCCTGGCAGGAACATCATGTGTCACCATAGTACTCACCACCTTCTACTGTAATTGTCACTGTACCCAGCTGTTACCTATGCAGCTAGGCCACATGGCATCCCTGTGTGAATTCTAAAGGGCACTCCTTTCTCAAGACCCCTTCTTGTCATTTGCTGGAAATTGCCATAAGATGTGTACAAATCCATGATGGTCATGATGCAGGTGGCACATCCTAAAGTTCTGTGGCGTGCTGCCTGCCTGACCTATGCAGCAATATGGTGTTCCCTACCAGAATATAAAATCCTCCAGGCAGGGACTTTGCTTTCATTTCACTGTTTTGTTTCCAGCACTTAACATAGGGTCTGATCCAGAGTGGGACAGAAGCTTGATAAATAAATGAAAGGAAAGCTATCACCTGGCTTTTATCCCCCATGCCAAAAATTCTGACAGCCCTTACCAGAGTGGGAGGAAGCTAAGCTGCAGCAGTTCCGAAATTTGAATGAGCACCCAAATATTCTGGAGAATTAAAAATAAATAAGTAAAGCTCCCTGTGCCTTACTTCAAAAGCACCAGGTTGGAGCCTGATTATGTGTCTTCATTTAACAATTGTTGATGAGATTCTAATAATGATCGGTCAGACCAGCTGGGAACCATAAGCCACCCAGGATAAAACTTAAAACCACTCCCCTCGTCTTGTTTCTCCCTCTTGCCACCACAATGCTGCCTTTTATCTGTGGACACCATGCCTGGAATCACAGAAGGAGCATTTCCAAAGAAGGAGCTTGCTTTCTCTGACTTCTCCTGCAATCTAGGTGTCTTAGATTCCCATGTCTTCCAACTCAGACATAGGCACTCAACTAGCAACGAGCAAGAGTACACAGTGGGGCATTTGGAAGGAGGAGGGAGGCAGGTGGAGAGAAGGCGGGTAACAGAGAGAGATCAAGAGACAGAGAGAACAGGAAAAAAAAAGTGATCTGCCCTTTTAATTTTCCAAAATAGAATTTGACCTTTTTACTTATGTAATCTAGAGGTTGCAGCTGGACTGTCTGAGCCGTGTACGACCTATGGGTCAGGCAAATTTGGACATGCCTGAGAGTAGCTAGGTGGATCCACCAAGGCTCTTTGCATCTGAAGGGCAACGCATATCACTTATTCATAGTAGGGAGGGCATCACTGGAATAACTGGGGGTCTGGAACAAGAAAGGAACAACTATAGATTCTGCTTGGCAGCTGAGAAGACTGCATGTATAAGCTGATGACGTACACCATTGGATGCCCTGTGGAAGGCATTTGTGAGATTACGAAGTTACTGAAATTCTATGTTAGGGGCTGAGCACATGTTACATGCACTAGATACCCTAGAACAAGATCCGTGCAAACATGACTTGCAGGAAGATGTTGAGGGAAAGCTACATGTACATATGTATACTTTTCTTGGATTTATTGGCTAGGAATGTATACATTAAAACATGAATGGAAAATATTTTTCTTTTTTCCTGTGGTTGGAATGGAGCCAATCATTTACAAATAGGATTAAAATCATAACGGGACAGTTTGGGAAGTGTATATGTTTGAGAAGAGGAGCAAATCATATTTGAGGCAGAAGTGGTAAATCTTTTTGCCTTTTTTTTTTTTTTGAAACAGGGTTTCACTCTGTCACCCAGGCTGGAGTGCAGCGGCTCACCGTACCCTCCACCTCCCAGGCTCAAGTGATCCTCCTACCTCACCCTCCCAAGTTGCTGGGACTACAGGCTCGCACCACCATGTCCAGATAATTTATCTTTTTGGTAGAGATGGGGTTTCACCATGTTGCTCAAGCTGGTCTCAAAATTCCTGGGCTCAAGTGATCCTTCTGCCTTGCCCTCCCAAAGTGCCGGGATTACAGGCGTGAGCCGTCATGACTGGCCTTTCTTTTTGGATTTTTACAAATTCACCAAGTCTCTGCGTTCCCATGGCTTTTTATCTCTGATATTAGGAAATCAGAGCTTGAAGATACCATATACTTTTATTGGCTGGGCCTTAAAGGGAACAAGTGAATCTGGTGAAATGATGAAGTCCATGTTCTTCTGGGGAGGGTTACCTATTATCCAGTGCATTTCTCAGTTAGAACCAAAGCTTAAAAGAGAGAAGAAAAGTTTCTGATAAGCACGTTTTAAAGTGCTGATCAGAATTCTTTCGCCTTGTATTGATTCTTTTTCTCTGATTTGCAAAAGATCCTCTAAATTGCTTTACTGATTTGTTTTCCAGAACACTGAGTGTGACAGTCAAGCCCTTGACGGCTTCAGCAAGTAGAAGCCTGACTGTTGCCTGCAGAGGATGACTGTGTGTCCCTGGGCCATTAGTCAGTCCCTCCCAGGGTGCTCGTAGGTAAGGAGGAGGTCCTGAATCACAGTCCATTTTGCAGATTGATTTTCTATTTCAGATCAACACTGCCAAAGAAAGTTAGGTTCTACCTGAGATTATAGAGCCCTTCAGAATGTATGACCTGATTTATATCACCTGTCGTAATACAATGCCCCCTTTAATAAACACTTCTTTTCCCACATATAGGATTCATATCCAAATATTTAGGTCACATTCAAATTTAAAAATAAAAACGACATGCTTTTATATTTCATCTTCTGAAACCTCTTAGGAGCAAAACCCAGTGCCTTTAATTATATTCTGCACCAGCAGAATTAATAAATACTTATCAATATCAATAATAACAAGATAAATGTTAAATATTCCCATTTATGTTTTGAAAGTAAAACGTATTTGAAGATGACAAGTTCTGAAAACTGCTAAACACACATAAATATATTTAAATGATGAAATTTATTTTATTTCTGCATGTTGTGTCTATGTTTCAATTCTTCCTGTTAAAAGAGAGCTGCAAGTATTTTGATATCTAAGAAGGACATTTGCTAAACAGAATGTTGCAAGAGTTTTAATTTTTTCCAGTTTGGTCTATAACCGAAAAACATGATACCCAGAATGAAGATTATAGATCTATATCTTCTTTGATCCACCTTTGCAATAATTTGCAATATGAGCTTGGAAATAACTTGCCCATAGAATTAACAGTTTCCTCAACTTTTCCCAGTTTACTGATATTAGATGGTTCAGCTATACAACATTCTGCCTTAAAGAAAATCACCTAAGATACAAATGATATCACAAATCCTAGCTATACCACGCAGTGGAAATATTTTTTTCTCCCTCAAATAAATATTTACTGGGCAAGAAACACTTCTCAATTTTAAATCCCCCAAATGTGAGAATCACTAGTGTCTCAAAAATTTTTACAGAGAAAAACGACTCACCTATTTGAAGAGTATTTCCTTGCTAGTGACTCTGGTAGCTACAGTCACATAAATCTACATTGTGGTCTGCTCTTTCTTTCATCAGACAAAAACAGCCTCGGGTGAAAGCTGGAAGTGAAAAACCCTCCATTCACCCAAGAGGGGAGGACAGTGGTCTGTTAAATCCAGCAGCCTCATCACACAACCCACCAGCTGCTTGCTGCCTCTTGTTTCTCAGCGACAGTGACCTCCAACACCTTTTATTTAGTGCTGCAATACACCGTGTGGTTTGACGGCACGCGGAACATATCACGTGCCAAGCCAACACCTTAAGAGGGTGGGAAGCTTTGAAACCAGGAAGACATGCCGAAAATATTTAGCAGTCAGCTCAATTGCACTTAAGCATAGCCTTGCTTGTTTTTCACAAAGTAATCCAACAACATAATGAGTCAAGTGAACTGATTTGCACAGTTCTAAACTGGGAACCATCTGGAACTAAGTTTCCACTGCTCCTAAAGCTTCTCCTCCCTCACCTTATACATTCTGAGCAAACACATGGGAACAGCCTTCAGTATTTCTAGTAACAGTAATTACATTTCCTCCCTCTGTTTTAGAATTCTATTTTTCTCTAGTCTCTTTGTTCATCTCACATTTTCTCTCATCTAGTCGTTACCCCAACTCTCCTTATGACCAGGACGTGACCAGGACGTGACCAGGACACATACTCTGCAAAGAAGGAGTAGTTTTTATTTAAATATATCTTCCTGGACAGGACATAGGCCAGACTCTTGGAGCAGTGGAAAAACTGGCAATCATTATTTCCCAATATTTAACCCATCACTCACCAAATGCACCACCAATGCACTCTGCAGCTCGTTAGAAGTTGGATTTCAGGTGAGCCACATTTCATGGTTTCCTAAGAACTTTGTCACTATGCAAGTTAAGTCCCATTTCCTTTGTTCTTAATACCAATTGAATTGAAATTCTAAGAACAAACATTAAACATTTTGAACACAAAACAGGCTGCTGGCCTCTGATATCGGATAACAAATGGGCCGTAACATGACCTGAGTTTAACTCACCCTTTCTGTCCCAGTGATGGAAGCTTTGAAGTCTCCTTTCCAGATTTCCTGAATGAGAACAGGGAAGCAAATGACGATCTGAAGCTCATCCGGGAAGAAAAAGGTGTCGGCTTTTTTTGATTAGTTACATTTTTAGATCTTGATGTAGGTAATTCTATCGGATCTAGAAAAAAAAATTGTAAAAATTTTGCATCAATTACTTCCAAGTAAATATACTTGAAAGAATGAAGCCTTTGCTCTTGTGTCACTTTCTCCCTCTTATGCAGACTAGAAACAGGGCAGGCAACCTCACATGAAGACCTCAGGGATTAAGGCAGTCAGAGCAACCTCTCTCCTGCGCCTCTGATGGTTCTGCTGCATAGAGAAAACTCAAATTAGTAGGGAATCTTTCCATGTGTACTGTGAATCAGAGTTCCTAGAGTGTTCCTCCTCTCACCCAAGCTAGGAAATCAGGGACCCCATTCAATTCTCATGTTCCTTAACCATGCTGTCCTTCAGAAGTTTTTATTTCAGTACCTTAAAACCATGGTGATAGATACATACTACATAACTTCTTATACTGAAGAAAGTAAAGGAAAAGGAAATTAAGCCATTTAGATTTTTCTTCATTCCTTTCCAAAATCTCTCTCTGTGGATATGTATTTGCTACACACATGGTTTACATATGTGTTTGCATGTAACATATACAGGGTGAGCATCCTAAACCCGAAAAACTTGAAATCAAAAATTTCCCCAAAATCCAAAAAAATTTGAGCACCAACATGATGCTTAAAGAAAATGCTCATTGAAGCCTTTCAGATTTGGGATTTTTGGATTTGGGATGCTCAACTTTTCAGCTTATATAATGCAAATATTTCAGGATCTAAAAAGATCTGAAATTGGAAATACTTATAGTCCCAAACATGTCAGATAACGGATATTCAACCTGTTTATGTATAATATATATGTATAGATAATATATGGGTATCAAAAATTCAAAGGCAACATCAACATATACAAAATCCATAATATTGGCCAGGCACGGTAGCTCACGCCTGTAATCCCAGTACTTTGGGAGGCTGAGGTGGGCGGTGCATCACCTGAGATCAAGAGTTCGAGACCAGCCTGGCCAACATGGAGAAACCCCGTCTCTACTAAAAATACAAAAAAATTAGCCAGGTGTGGTGGCGCACGCCTGTAATCCCAGCTACTCAGGAGGCTGAGGCAGGAGAATTGCTTGAACCCGGGAGGTAGAGGTTGCAATGACCTGAGATCATGCCACTACACTGCAGCCTGTGTGACAGAGTGAGACTCCATCTCAAAATAAATAAATAAATAAAATTAAACAAAATCCATAATATTATAATGATTTGGGACATGCTGACTTTATAAATATTAGGGGAATTTAGGACAAGGGAAAAGTCATCAGGGTATGTATGGGGGTGATCTAAAAAATCTGAACTGTGAGTCTTTTTACGTAGATATGTTTATTATGAGAGTTGCAAGATATTATCAACATAGAAGTTTAGAAGTATTTTTACATGTTTCATGATGTTACTAATGTTAATAACATGCAAAAATGCAGTCAATGTGACTCCGCGTCAGTAAAAAGATATTTTATTTTAGTATTTTATAGTTTCTAGTGCACTTTGGTTATCTTCTCAATAGTCCTGTGAAAGCAAGTTTTAGTATCCTTTTAATCTATATAGAAGGCATTTATTAGAAGTCATTCATGGAGTTTACCAAAGTTCCAGAAGTGTGGCAGCTCCTCCACCACCTTCCCTCCCTTCTCCTCTGATCTCTGATTCTCCCTTCCTCCACCCCTCCCCTTTTTCTTCCTCCCCCTGCATCATAGTCATCCCATTTATTTAAGTGCTTACCCTGTTCCAGCTTAATATTCTATTATTTTTTTTTTATTTGAGGTGCAGTCTTACCGCTGTTGCCCAGGCTGGAGTGCAGTGGCATGATCTCAGCTCACTGCAACCTCTGCCTCCCAGGCTCAAATGATCCTCCTGCCTCAGCCTCCAGAGTAGCTGGGGCTACAGGTGGGCACCACTATGTCCAGCTAATCTTTTATTTTTCTGTAGAGATGAGGTTTCGCCATGTTGCCCAGGCTCGTCTCAAACTCCTGAGCTTAAGTGATCCTCCTGCCTCTGCCTCCCAAAGTGCTGGGATTGCAAGTGTGAGCCACCCCCGACCCCCTGCCCAGCTTAATACATTATAAACATAATTTTACTTAATTCTCGTAACCACCTTATGAGGTGTAGGTATCATTGCATTCATTTAAAGATGAAGCAACTGAGGTTTACAGAGAATAAATGACTTGGACAGACTCGCATGAATAGAGACAGAGTAGAGATTTGAATCCAGGCCTCTGTTGACATCAGTGTCTATATTCCTACCCACTATGCTATCTTGCCTGATTCAAAAAAACCCAAAAAACAAAAAAAAATCCAAGACATTATTACAGTAAAATTTCAGTTCACTTTTTTTTTTTAGTGTATATTGTATTATAAACTTTTGTGGCTTATGACTTTAAAATAGTTCTAAACATGGATTGGTTACATTGGAGATCCACTGGGCCATTATCTACAATACTATGCCACAGAAACAAAGAAATCAACTTTAAATCTAAAATCTTTTTCTTACCATTTTTTGCCATCTCCTTACTTAGCCTGTATGTAAGTGGTTGTTTTAACATTTGGCTAACATCTGTTTCATTGCAAAACTTTTTTCTTTGAATTTCTTCAAACCATTCACCAGTCACTCCCTGAAGCCATCTGATATCCCTCTTTGTCTTCTGAAGTTTGCTGAAATAAAATAAAACATTAATGTGGTCTTTATTTATTTTCTTAACATCAAGCTCATCCTTAAATCAATGTACTTTTTTTTTGATATGGGGGTCTCATTCTGTCACCAGGCTGGAGTGCAGTGGCACAACCTCGTCTCACTGCAACCTTCACCTCCTGGGCTCAAGCGATCCTCCCACCTCAGCTTCCCAAGTAGCTGAGACCACAGACGCATACCACCACACCCAGCTAATTTTTTTCTATTTTTAGTAGAGATGGGGTTTCACCATGTTGCCCAGGCTGGTCTCGAACTCCTGAGCTCAAGCGATCTGCATGCCTCAGCCTCCCAAAGTGCTGGGATTACAGGAGTGAGCCACCTGGCCCAGCCTCAATGCACTCTTTAAATTCATTCACATCTAAAGCCAATCCATGTGATGGGCTAAACTTGACTTAATGGAGGAGCAGCATAATCTGTAAGTCTAGAAAAAAAATGGCTCTAATCAGAATTTCCCTTTCAACTATGCATGTATTTTAGGTGTATTCTTTTTTTTTTTTCTTTTTTAGTATTCTTGTAAATATGATGGCAAACTAAAAGTTTTTGCCAGTAGTTAAAATAATCATCAGGCTGATGAGGACAACCTGGATTAAGCAATGTGCTAAAACCTGACCTAATAATGCAATTAAATGATAGATGTTCTAATGACACGCAGAAACTAGAATATTCTCGTTCTGATTACTCATTCATTCACTTGTTAATTCATTAAATGTTTGTTGAACAATGTTAATCAATTTAGTGTTTATGAGGGCCCAGGTAGGCAATGGATTCAACAGTGAATGTAAAAAATAGGATACTTGCTTGTCCATCCAGTGGTCAAAGATAAAAGCTAACATGCAGAAAAGAAATTATTGAATGTAACAATCTTATTAATATTATCATTATTTTTTGAGACAGAGTCTCTCTCTGTCACCCAGGCTGGAGCGCAGTGGTGTAATCTTGGCTCACTGCAACCTCCGCCTCCCGAGTTCAAGTGATTCTCCTGCCTCAGCCTCCTGAGTAGCTGGGATTACAGGAGCCCGCCACCACACCTGGCTAGTTTCTGTATTTTTAGTAGAGACGGGGTTTTGCCATGTTGACCAGGCTGGTCTTGAACTCCTGACCTCTAGTGATCCCCCTGCCTTGACCTCCCAAAGTGCTGGGACTACAGGCATCAGCCACCGCACCCTGCAGAATATAATGGTCTTAGATAATGAACTTCTTTACACACAAAAACACAAAAGCCCATGAGTGAGCCCAGGTCTAATGCAAAGGTAGTAAGGGATGGGGTAATTTGAGACGGACAGAAAAGCCATGCAGCGCACAAATGTGTCTGCCCCATAATGTCAGAACATGTGGCCTGAAATCCTATTACTTTTTTTTCTTCTCTCCTCCCCTTTCCTGCCCAATTCTCTTTCAAATGAAAATGCTGCTTTAAGTTCTTAATTAAATCACTGGTTGTTGTGATTTATTAATACTTTTTTCAAAGTAGATCATTTTGCTCTATTTAAGGAAGACCCTAGAACTGTTTGGAAATGAGAGGTGCCTAATCCAGAGGGAGATGTTCCTGG
The DNA here is from genome assembly GCF_000001405.40 of Homo sapiens. Taxonomy (NCBI): domain Eukaryota; kingdom Metazoa; phylum Chordata; class Mammalia; order Primates; family Hominidae; genus Homo; species Homo sapiens. The sequence goes on from NC_000011.10 coordinate 108,543,397, forward strand.
ATGGAGGCAAAATGAACAGAAAGTGGAGTTTGAAGAATGATGACAAGGCTTACAGTGTGGTTGTTTTTAGATACTGATGAAAAAGTTAGGCATGTTGTTGGGTTCCAACCTTGGGAGATTCTGCAGCTTGGAAAAGTATTCCGTGTGGCTCAGCAGCTGTTATCCTTTGTTCAGGGTCTGTCGTAAAGCACAAGTGTTAGGGTCTTTGTATTGCTAAGGGGGTGATGAGCAAGATATCTGTGAAGTGGCAGATTTGGAGTTAAAAGGCAATGAACTGAGATGGCTGCAACTCAGGCTCTTGCTTGGGGCTATGATACTGCTATTTTATAAAATATTCGAGAAAGAAGCCAGAGGTCACCCTGCCCAGACTTGCATTTTGCAAAGCACTAGACAGCAATCAACATGTTCAACTTACAGAATTTGCATTGGTGCCTCCTTTTTTGCCATTTCCACCCTCCGATGCGTGGTACTCCTGTCTTTGTTGCTACTTCATTTATTAACAGAGCAGACTCAGAGATCCTAAGTATCTGCTTCTAACCAATATTGGCTGCCTCTAACTTATGAATGCCTCACTTACTAATGCCCCACATTTGTACACAACCTCCACTTCCTTGGAGCCCTCGCTAATTGTCAGTTCCCCAAAAGCAGGCACCACCCTTTTCTGTTTCTGAAAACATCGGTCTCATTTCAGGAGACAGTCAAGCTACTTGACTTAGAAGTGTTCCATATAAACAACATTTTCCCCCGTACAGGCTTGATGTAATATTAACTCTCTTTTTACAATTTTTATTTATTTCTGCATTTATTTCTAGAGACAACGTCTCACTCTGTTGCCCAGACTGGAGTGCATTGGTTCAGTTATAGCTCACTGAAGCCTTGACCTCCTAGGCTCAAGTGATCCTCTGGCCTCAGCCTCCCCAGTAGCTGGGACCACCATCCCTGACTAATTTTTGTAAAGACAGAATCTCACTCTGTTGCCCAGGCTTGCCTTAAACTCCTGGCCTCAAGCGATCCTCCCACTTCAGCCCCTCAAATTGTTGAGATTACAAGCGTGAGCCACAATGCCGAGCCCTGACTCTCTTTTAAAAATAATCACAGTTCACTTAATCGTACCTCAAGCTTTCCTTCCACGGTTGTGTACATATCCACCACTGCCTGCTTCTTTTCTGTCTTCTGGCCAATGAAGCCAGAAATCTGTATTTCCCTGAAAGTACTCAAACACTTTGAATTCCACTCCAGGAAATTTATCTTACAGCAATAACCCCACCCCAAGAACATTAATTTAACTGAGCATCATGTAGTTGCTAACAATAATTATGTAGACAACATAGAATCCTGGGAAAATGCATATGACAAAACATGAAGCAGGAAAATGAAAATACAACATTTATCTATGATTATAGCTATGTAAAAATGATCCCCCTTTTGGGCACACACACACAAAAAATGGAAAACACCTGATGTTTTAGAGTAGAATAATTATAGGTATCATTTCTATTTTTAGCTTATTTTATTATTTTTCATTTCATTTTAGCTTTTTTATTATGTACAATATATGGAGCTATCTCTTCTTTTTGTTTGATTGTGAATTTTTATTTGTGTTGTCACTTTTCCATTATTTTTTTTTTGGAGACAGAAATCAGTAATATTATCATAATCTGAACACAGCCAATATTACTTTTTCAGTGTGATTTTTCTGCTGCATTTCTCACACAATTGTGATAAAATATATCCAGGCTGGGCATGGTGGCTCACACCAGTAATCCCAGCACTTCGGGAGGCCGAGGCAGGATGATTGCTTGAGTCCAGGAATTTGAGACCAACCTGGGCAACATGGTGAGACCCTGTCTCTACAAAAAATTTAAAAGTTAGCCAGGCGTGGTTGCTTGCACCTGTGGTCCTAGCTACGTGGGATGCTGAGGTATATATGTAATATTCAATATACGTTTGTGGAAGGCCGCCTATGGTGCAAATGCTGGCATACAATGGTAAGCAAAGCAGATAGGGCTCCCACCCTAGAGAGATTACAGTCTAGTGGGAGAGACAGATATGAATCCAATAACAATATTGATATAAGGTAACAAATAGTGATAAACATGACTTATTCACTCAGCACACATTTGAACCCTGGGCAAAGAGCAGTGAACAAGTCCCTGCCTTCATGGGATTTAAATTCTGCTGGGGTGGGAGTGTGTGTGGGGGGGAAACAATAAAAAAGTAAATAAGGCTGAGTGTGGTTGCTCTTGTCTGTAATCCCAGTGCTTTGGGAAGCAAGGTGGGAGGATCAATTGAGGCCAGGAGTGAGAGACCAGCCTGGCCAACATAGCGAAAACCCACTTCTACAAAAAATTTTAAAATTAGCCAGGTGTAGTGGTGTGCTCCTTTAGTCCCAACTGTTCAGGAGGCTGAGGCAGGAGGATCCCTTGAGCCCAGGAGTTGGAGGCTACAGTGACCTAGGATCATACCACTGCACTCCAGCCTGGGCAACAGAGTGAGATTTTGTCTAAAAAAAAAAACAACAGTAAATAGCTGCTAAGAGAGCATATAACAAGGGGACCTGGGCTGAGGCACCACCAGTGAAGATTTCTCTGAGATGACATAGGGCTGGAAGAATGAAGGATGAAGGATGAGGCCAAAGGGTCGTGGCAGAAGGGTCTGAGAGAGAGCTTTCCAGGCAGAGGGGTAGCCTCTGTAGAGCAACAAGTGCCCCAAGGGAAGAAGCAAGGAACAGAAATAAGGCCTGTGTAGCTGGAGTGTGGAGATGGAGAGAAAGCCCAAGACAAGCAGAGAGGCCACTGTTAGATAACGTAGCATTAGGCGTAGGGTTCTGCAATTTGGTGTTTGGTCATGGAGCAATGATTGATGGCTCAGCAGGGATAAGACCCGTTGGATTTGCATTTTAGAAGATCATCCTAGCTGCAGGTGGAGAGTAGATTCCAGTGCGGGGCAGGAGACCAGTCAGGACACTTGTAGGGTCTAAAGAAAGAGGTGTTTGCTGGACCAGGATGGTAGTGGGGAAGCTGGAGAAAAGTGGAAAGTGTTCAGGGTGACTTAAGGTGAAAAGTGACCCCCAGGTGATGTGTTTTGGGGAGTAGGGGTAGAGACACATCAAAGAAGATTCCAAGACTTCTGATTTACATAAGTGCCTAGAAGGTGCCACTTACAGATATCATGCATACATAATCTTTAAAAACCCAAAAGTTAGCACTGCAAAAACTTAACATTACCAAAACTTTAATAACACCTTTAACATCACTCATCTTCAGAGCAATCATTAAGTATTTGCATAATATTCAAGCTAGTATGTTTTTCTTCCTTTATTTATTACTCTCCTAATCCAGGACATTGAGATTTTTCTTTATAAATACTGCTTTAAAAATACTTTATAAATACTGCTGTAATAAATATCATTGTGCATTTTCTATTATTTTTTTTTTTTTCTGTCACCCAGGCTGGAGTACAGTGGCACAATCTCGGCTCACTGCAACCTCCGTCTCCCAGGTTCAAGTGATTCTCCTGCCTCAGCCTCCTGAGTAGCTGGGACTACAGGCACGTGCCACCACGCCCAGCTAATTTTTGTATTTTTAGTAGAGACGGGGTTTCACCATATTGGCCAGGCTAGTCTTGAACTCCTGACCTCGTGATCCACCTCCCTCGGCCTCCCAAAATGCTGGGATTATAGGTGTGAGCCACTGCGCCTGGCCATGCATTTTCTATTTTTACAGTGCCTCTGCCAGACACTAAAGTAGAATGATTGGGTCAAAGAGTCAAAACATTTTTGTGATTTTTTTTAAAGTTAAATTTTATTTTTTCTAGAGACAGGGTCTCACTCTGTTTTCCAGGCTGGAGTGCAGTGGTGCTATCATAGCTCACTGCAGCCTCAAACTCCTGGGTTCAAATGATCCTCCTGCCTCAGCCTCCTGAGTAGCTAGGACTACAGTTGCACGCTACTATGCCCAGCTAATATTTTTATTTTTTGTAGAGATGGAGATCTCTACAAAAGTAGAGAGGTCTCACTCTGTTGCCCAGGCTGGTCTCTCACTCTTGGCCTCAAGTGATCCTCCCACCTTGGCCTCCCAAAGTGCTGGGATTACAGGCATGAACCACGGAGCACAGCCCTTTTTGTCATTCTTTATACATACTACCAAAATAACTGTACCAATATCACTTATGCCAGCAATGTACAAGTCTGCCACTAGGCATCCTTGGAAGACAAGGTATTATTATTTCAAGTATTTTTATTTTTCTAATATTTTGGTGTTACTATTTATAATTGTTAGTAATTATTTTTAAGAATCTTTCTTTGTTTAATAAAATATGTTACATTTCTTTGATAAGAGGAAGGTTTGAACCCTTCCCTTATGTTTGTTTAGTAATTATACTTTGTGACTTGGCAATTGAGCGTTTCGTCAATTTTTAAATCAGTGTCTTGGCTGGGCGCAGTAGCTCATGCCTGTAATCCCAGCACTTTGGGAGGCCAAGGCAGGTGGATCACCTGAGGTCAGTAGTTCAAGACCAGCCTGGCCAACATGGCGAAACACCATCTCTACTAAAAATACAAAATTAGCTGGGCTTGGTGGCGGGTGCCTGTAATCCCAGCTACTGAGGAGGCTGAGGCAGAAGAATCACTTAAACCCAGGAGGCGGAGGTTGCAGTGAGCCGAGATTGCACCACTGCACTCCAGCCTGGGCGACAGAGTGACACTTCATCTTTAAAAAAAAAAAAAAAAAAAAAAAAAAATCAGTGTCTCAGAGTTCTTTACTGGAATAAGAAATGTTTAATTTAAAAACCAGCTCATTTTTCTTATGTGTTTTAAATAAGAAAGTTTTTGACTTTTTTTTCTTTTTTTTGTTATCTTATTGTGATGAGATTGACTTTCATTTTGATTAAATTTTGAATGCTGAGCTGTACAAACCTGACTCTGGCTAAGGCTGTTGGAAGTAAAACATAAATAATCCATGGATATGTTTATGTTAGTATTTGTTTCCTGAAGATAGTGAGAAATGAAATTCAGACAGTAGTGTCATGCAGATACATGAAGGGGGCAAGATTTTGAAGAAATTCAAATATTTTTAAAGCAGAAATATTTTAAGGATAACTCTGGAGATGGCTGTCAGGAAAGTGATGAACAGGTACAGTCATCAGCCAGAATATTCAAGGTTCAGGTAGTCGATAATGGCATTATGTTTACTATTACCAAGGAAGCAACACAGAAATAGTTTTGACCTTTGATGTAAGGGTGACCCAGGAAGGGAAACGATGACATAAAAGTCTAAATTCAAACTCTCTGGGTACGTGTAATTCATCTTCTTAACCCTACACACCCAAGAGCCCTATGAAGTATAGTTTGTACATTGACAATGGTTAACTGAGCTTCTGGTACTAAAAGGAGCAAAACAATTATAAAATCAGTGGTCTAGATTCATTCATTTACTTAAAAAAACTATCAAATACACTCAACATTAGCAAGTAAGAAAAAATTCTAAACATAAAGTGGAAGTGTGGTGACAAAACTTGAGGACAGTACTTTCTATTTCCACTAGCCTCAGTTTGACAAAGATAACATTTGTTTGTAAACAGAATTCAACCAACTTCATAACCAGCCTGCACAACGCTCTTCCTCTTCCATGTGGGCTTGTTATATGTTCAGCACCAACTGGGATGTACCATCCACTTTATGCCAATGAGAACCTCAGGGTTGAGAATGACATACATACAGGGAAATTACTAATACACAGCTTGCTTGCTTAATTAGTCCAGCTTGACTCAACATATCACAAGGGACTGTTGTCTACACTTCTAATTTGTTTTACCCTGAGGCTGATCAACTTGATTAAACTAAATCAGGTCTTTTCTTGCTAGGCCAGAGGCCCAGCCCTCTGTTCCAAGTCAAAATGTCCTTTCTTCATTCACATGAATCCGTCTGTGAAATGCTGCCTTGGATTTCATCCTAGCACCTCTGGAACACACCACTCCTCTTATGTTCCGATTCCTGAGTTAAACTTATTTTTCCTTTATTTCCAGCCTTGAGTTATGACACCCACCTCCCCCTCCTCTTCTTTGTCTTTCCCAACTTAGTCCTTGCTGACCTTTGCTTGTCACTTTTGTTTGACTTTATTCTGAGCAAGGCTTTGTGCCCATCTTTTCTCCAGGACAAATTAATTATGTACTAACCATTTAGAACGTGCTCAGTAAATGATAGCTGTCCATTTATCTCCCGGTCATTGTGTGTAAGTAATCCTTTGGCCCCACTTATCTGCTCCTTGTTAATGATACCCTCCCTGGCCCATTCTTGAGTTACTATCAGGTAGGAGACAGAGCCCAGGAGTAGTGTCAGGTTCTAGCTGGGTGATCTTGGCCAAATATTTAACTTTCTTGGTTTTTCTTTCCCCACTTGTCAAAGAGGAATAAATGATGTGTAGATTGTTTGCAAAGAATTCCTCCACAATTCCCATCATTCCTGGAGGTACACTCCTTGGCAATGTGACTTTTTGCCACTCTTAGGAGGTGGGGTCTCTTTTACCTCTTTCCTAGTGGTTGTAAGGAAAGTGGATGAACAGGTACAGTCAACAGCTGGAAAATTCAAGGTTCGGGTAGTCAGTGATGGCATTGTGTTTACTATTACCAAGGAAGCAAAACAGAAATAGTTCTGGCCTTTGAAGTAAGACTGAGCCAGGACAACTACTGTTAAGAGGCACCTCCTTTCACCTCCTCCTGGAATCTGGGCCAGACTTGCACTTGCTAAGACCAATAGAATATGGTGGAAGTGAAACTGAGACTTCTGAGTCCAGGCCTCAATGGATCTTATAGCTTCTGCTCTCTTCCTCTTGGGATCTTGAGACTTCTGTATAAGGAAGCTTGGGTTAGTCTCCTTGAGGATGAGACCATACACAGAAAGAGGCCTGGCAGAGAGCCATTGCCAACTACCCAACATGTGGGTGAAGGCATCTTAGACCATCCAGACCCAGCCAAGCTGTCATAGTGGTGCCCAATGAGTGATCCCCGGCAACCCACCCAGCTGAGCCCAGACCAAATGGCTAGCCCACGGAATGGTAAGCTAATAAACAGAAGTAGTTTTAAGCCTTTAAATTTTGGGGTGAGACTGGGAGCAGTGGCTCACATCTGAAATCCCATCACTTTGGGAGACCGAGGCAGACGGATCATTTGAGGCCAGGAGTTCGAGACCAGCCTAGCTAACATGGAGAAATGCTGTCTCTACTAAAAATATAAAAATTAGCTGGGCGTGGTGGTGCATGCTTGTAATCCCAGCTACTCGGGAGGCTGAGGCAGGAGAATTGCTTGAACCTGGGAGGCAGAGGTTGCAGTGAGCCAAGATTATGCCACTGCACTCCAGCCTGGGCAACAGAGTGAGACTTCGTCTCAAAAAATAAATAAATAAATAAATAAAAAATAAAAATAAAATTTGGGGTGGTTCGTTATGTACAAATTGAAAAAAACATGGATACAGATGAGGTTATCTTGAAGACATCTTCCAGTCTAAAATCTATGGTCAGAAAAGCCTCAACATTCCTACATCACATCCAAATCATTGGGAAATCTTATAAAGCCGAAAGAGGTCTCCAGATATAATCTGGCCAAACACCCTGTCTTCGGGTGAAATCATACCAATAAAAAATAATAACCGATGATATGAACTGAGCTCTTGCCATCTGCCGGATTTTGCAGTTCTTATTGCCAATCCTCACCCTAACACTGCTCCAGCATCGTCCTCATTTACAGAGAGGACATGGAAGTTCTGCTGGAGCTGCCGAACTGAGACGCGAACCCACACGCCTCTGAGTCTAAAACCCATGTTCTCCTAACCGTGTATCTCATTGTCTGTGGGTATTATTAACCCCACTAAGAAACAATGCAATTGATACAAACTTACAGTGACTTTTGCCAATTAAACAGGCAGTAATGAGAATTCAAATATGATTGAAGAGAGAGCAGTTATGCAAGTTTGAAAACAAACAATTCCCTAAGCCAGGAATAGCTTCCATTTTCTTGTCAGAAAAATCTCAAATGTTTCTCAGAATAGTTCCCTTTATCAGCTCCTCTTGCCAAAGGCATCCATTCCTCTTTTTGATGTTCTCACTTCTCTGTTTATCTCCTCTCTGACATCTCTGACATTTCTCCTTCACTTTTCTTACTCCCTTGCTTCTGTATACACATTGTTTTTTTTCTTTTACAGCTGATCTTCGCGGACCTGACCGTCTTGTTACACCTCGTTCTCCTTCCAGGCAGCTAAGCACCCCAATCTCTGTCAACCCTCCACTCCTTAAGGACATCTTGCCAAATAGTCCCTTGATCTCCTACAAGTTCAGCCATCAGCCAACCCCAGAATGAAGTTTCCAATTACATCAAATCCTGTGAAAGTGACTTTGTCCTTTGATTTGCAGATCAAAGCAGTATTAAAGTTTTCCTCCCACGCAGGAATCCAAACATAATTTTGTCATATTGCCCAGCAACCACAACACAAGGAAAAGCACAAATGGAGAGGATGGGGCAGGAACTGTATCCCGAGTCAGAGCTTAAACGTCGGGCCAGTGTCATAATGGAAGACGGATCAGGATGTCCAAGCAAGAGCCTTTTCCAAACCCTGAAGCCCCAAGAGACTCACCATCTGGGGAAAGTGTGGCCTTTTGTTCTCCTACTTTAGAAAGGCGATACTTCCAGGTAATAGGTTTCTTATCACTCACCCTCCAGGGAAAGCTTTAAAACAACTGTTGTGTGTTCCCAATCAGAAAGAGGCAGAGTGAAGGAAGAGAAAGCCCTGTGGTTCAGTGGCTGCACCAGTAGCTTTATCATCCGGGGCCTGGTCTCTCTCCCTGTTGATCTTCTGAAAAGATTGTTATTTGAGAGCCTTTGTCGCTGACATCAGAGCCTGCTCTTTGGTTCAGCCCACGGCCAAGACTCAGGGAGGGGCAAGGATTAGAAAAAGCAAGCAAGTATATTGAAAAATGTGTTCTTTTCATAAGGGTAAAGTTAAATCATACACGGAAGTCTGAAGGAAGGGAAGCTCAGATAAGGAAAAGTGGTAAACTTTATAAAGTAAGCAAGCAACAACAACAGTAACAGCAACAGCCCTTTAGGACTCAAAGAGAGGCAACAAAATAATGGCACCAGCTTTTAAGCCAAGCTGGATAATAAAGCCCACTTCAACTCCGTGAATGGCTGTGATAGAGACTGCCTACTCTACGATAAAAAGCAATATTTTCTGTATTTAAAAAATTGACCATTGTATGGTAGCTCATGTCTGTAATCCCAGAGCCTTTGGGAGGCCAAGGTGGAAGGATTACTTGAGCCCAGGAGTTTGAGACCAGCAACGTACTGAGACTCCGTCTCTACAAAAAACCCCAAACAAACAAAACTAGCTGGGCTTGCTAGTGTGTGCCTGTAATCCCAACTATTCAAGAGACTGAGGTGGGAGAATCTGAGCTCAGGAGGTCAAGGCTGCAGTGAGCTGAGATCCTGCCACTGCAATCCAGCCTGGGTGAAAGAAAAGAAGAAAAAAGGCCGGGTGCGGTGGCTCATGCCTGTAATCCTAGCACTTTGGGAGACCGAGGTGGGTGGATTACTTGAGGACAGGAGTTTGAAACCAGCCTGGCCAACATGGTGAAAGCCTGTCTCTACAAAAAATACAAAAAAATTAGCCATGTGTAATGGCAGGTGCCTGTAATCCCAGCTACCTGGGGAGGCTGAGGCAGGAGAATCGCTTGAACTGGGGAGGCAGAGGTTGCAGTGAGCCGAGATCATGCCACTGCACTCCAGCTTGGGCGACAGAGTGAGACTCTATCTAAAAAAAATAAAATAAAATAAATTGACCATTGTAACCCTTCTGGATGTTTCTTTTACAAAACACAAACTCACAACAGAAGGAAAAGGTAAGTTATCTAAGTAACAATAAGGATGTGTAATTACCATCTGGTTCAGATCACAGTGCCCTTGGTCTCTCACCAATAGTCACCCTTTACCAATAGTCACCCTCAAGAAGGTGCTGTAGAAAAGACTTGCTGTCCACCCTGAGGTCAGACTTAGGGTTTAAGTGTCAGTCCCTCTTGTAGCTCATCAGAGCTCTTCTGTTTTCCTAGGTTTACATGATCCCTTTTTGAATGTATACCTTTTACCTGAGCCAGCTTGGAAATCACCCACTGTAACTTCTGTATTTACCAAATTACACTGAATAACTTGTCATGTGCCTATTTGGTTGTGTCACCAGGCTGTCAGCTCCTTGAGGACAGGTGCTGTGTCTCATTTGTTTTGGTATCCCCAGGGCCTAGCATAGTCCCAGACTCATGGTCGATCAACATATATTTGCTCAATCTAGGGGATAATAAATGAGTTCTACCAACTTATTCTGCCATCATTGCGAAGCAGTTCAGTTGCTATTTGACATAAGTGCAAGATGTGATCCTGTACACAAATTAAAATCATGTGTGTAAAAAGTAATTTTTCCATAGGAATAATACTGGAAAGCTAATCATAGCTAACAGTTACAGAGTGCTTGCCCTGGGCCAGGCACGTTACACGTATTAACTAATTTAATCTTCACAAGAACCCTTATGAAGGTAGATAATATTATCCCTATTTTACCAATGAAGAAATTAAAATACTGAGAGGCTAAATTGAAATCAGACTTCCTGGGATGAATGTGGCCCCTGACCTTTTTTTTTTTTTTTTTGGTGACAGGGTCTTGCTCTGTTGCACAGGCTGGAGTGCAGTGGTGTGATCTCAGCTCACTGCAACCTCTGCCTCCTGGGTTCAAGTGATTCTCCTGCCTCAGCCTCCTGAGTAGCTGGGATTACAGGCATGTGCCACCACGCCCAGCTAATTTTTGTAGAGATGGTGTTTCGCCATGTTGGCCAGGCTGGTCTTGAACTCCTGGCCTCAAGTGATCCTCCCGCCTCAGCCTCCCAAAGTGCTGGGATTACAGATGTGAGCCACCATGCCCAGCCGCCCTGAACTTTATTAACTGGGTGTGATTTTAACCTCTCTGTGCCTTAGTTTGCACATTTGTAAAGTGGGGATAAGAGTAATAATATCTCCTGGAGCTTTTGTGAGGACTACTGGAGTTAATGCATGTAATGCATGTTCCTGGAACAAATGAAACACTGTCATTGTGACCTGTGAAATGTGCAGGATGGGTGGTAAAGGTGGTGGAGGGATAATGGGGTTGGGGGTGGGAATTATGTATCACCACTCCCAACACAAAAGAGATCTATGGTAGTAAAGAGAATCATGGCCAGGCACAGTGGCTCGGGCCTGTAATCCCAGCACTTAGGGAGGCCAAGGTAGGTGAATCACTTGATGTCAGGAGTTTGAGACTGGCTTGGCCAACATGGTGAAACCCCCTATCTACTAAAGATACAAAAAAATTAGCCGGGCGTGGTGGCGCACTCCTGTAGTCCCAGGTACTTGGCTGGCTGAGGCAGGAGAATCACTTGAAGCCAACAGGCAGAGGTTGCAGTGAGCCAAGATCGTGCCACTGCACTCCAGCCTTGGGTGACAGAGTGAGACCCTGTCTCCCCCCGGCCTCCAAAAAAGAGAGGGAATCATCCTCAGATTTCCTTATCCTGTAAAGAAACTCAAAAGCATCAGCTATTTGGCAAACGCCCAACAGATCCACTCCCAGATTTCTATGTCGTACTTAAATCACAGCATGATCATGAGAAAAGAAACTGCAGGGCAGATGTTCACAAACACAGCTTAGATGGCAAGCTCAAGACAAGAGGAGTGCACTGGGCAAGGCTCCGCCTGTCATCACCCGGCTAGCTCTCACACTGCACTGAATGCACTGGCTGATGCCATGGTTTAGGCCACATAATTGCAAGAATATTGCATGTACTTTATTAAAATGTCTAAAAACACATACTATTCCAAATCTGAATAAGGCATACTATTCCAGCATACATGAATAGCTTATACTTTTATTTATCTTAAACCTGGATTCTAGTCTAATTTCAGAAAATAACCATTTATTGATTCAACTAACATTTATTGAGCATTTACTATATATCATACACTGTTCTAGCAGCTTGGAATACATTAGTGTACAAAAGAGACAAAGATTCTCACCTTTCTGGAGCTTGCAGTCTAGCAAGTATCTCCATAGCCACCTCCCTGGCCCAAGTCACCACCATCTTTCACCTGGATGTCTGCAGGAGCCCTGACATGGTTTGGTTGTGTCCCCACCCAAAATCTCATCTTGAATTGTATTCTGAATTGTAATCCCCACGTGTTGGGGGTGGGACCTCGTGGGAGGTGATTAGATCATGGGGGCGGTTTCCCTATGCTGTTCTCATGATAGTGAATGAGTTCTCAGGAGATCTTATGGTTTTATAAGGGGTTTATCTCACTTCACTCGGCACTTCTCTCTCCTGCCGCCATGTGAAAAAGGATGTGTTTGCTTTCCCTTCCCATTATATTTGTAAGTTTCCTGAGGCCTCCCCAGCCATGCGTAACTGTGAGTCAATCAAATCTCTTTCCTTTATAAATTACCCAGTCTCAGGTATGCTTTCATAGCAGCGTGAGAACGGACGTATACAAGCCCCTATCTGTCTCCCTGCTTCACTCTGGCTCCCCTTCCATCCAGGCTCCATACAGGAGCAAGAGCGATGGCCAAAGAACAAAATTCCAACAAAATGAGTTTTAAAGATCTAATTGGCATTTATTAGTGATTCATGAATTGAGTAGCATCTTGCCTGGCAGAACAATGGGTTTTTACAAGATAGCTTGAGCAGGAACAATAAAGCAGCATAATACAAAAAAGTGGACTGATTAACATCAGGCTACCTCAGGATACTTTCCTTGTAAGGGTTAAAGCAGGGGAACCTTCCTTATCATGCGGGTGTTGCCTGGGCCCTTTGCGATTAGTTGTGAATCTGCTGTCTTTTTTTTTTTTGGAAAAGCTGGACTGTTTGGGGATTTGCCTGTTTTTGTTTTTTAAGTTTCAGTTTGATCATGTGGCACTTAAGAGTGTTTCCATTTTGGTGTGATCTATTGGGACCTACTACAGGAGAAGGTCAGTACCAGACAGTGGCATCCCATCAATTTTATTTTTTGTTTTGTTTTGTTTTGTTTTTGTTTGTTTTGAGATGGAGTCTTGCTCTGTCACCTAGACTGGAGTGCAGTGGCCCAATCTTGGCTCACCGCAACCTCTGCCTCCTAGGTTCAAGCGATTCTCCTGCCTCAGCCTCCCGAGTAGCTGGGATTACAGTAGGCATGCACAACCACGCCCAGCTAATTTTGTATTTTTAGTAGAGATGGGGTTTTGCCATGTTGGCCAGGCTGGTCTCGAACTCCTGGCCTCAAGTGATCTGCCTGCCTTGGCCTCCCAAAGTGCTGGGGTTACAGGCTGAGTCATCAGGCCTGGCCCCCATCAATTTTATTGAACATGATTTTTTGTAAATGTAAGATATATCATGCCATCCCCTGCTTAAATCCCTCCAGCAGCTTCTCATCATGCTTAGAATACAATGTTAAACTCTGTGGTCTTCAAGGCTGCATAGTGTCTGACCTTCTGCCTTTTCTACCACTTTTAATCACTCCTCTTTCCTCTCCACTCAGCATTTGGCTTCTTTTTTCCCTCTTAACAGGCCAAGCTGGCTCCCACTGGGCTTCAGACTTGTTCCCTCCATCTGAAATGCTCTTCCCTATTTTGTCACATGGCTATGCCTTTGTGCCATTTAGGCCTTAGCTAAAATGTCACATCTTTAGAGAGGCCCTCTGGCCCTCCAAAATAGATTATTCCTTCTCCCATATTCAGTTACTTTCTATCAAGTTACTTGGTTTACTTTTCTTTTTTTTGTTTGTTTGTTTGCTTGTTTTGAGATGGAGTCTTGTTCTGTCACCCAGGCTGGAGTGTTTCCAGAAAACAAGACAGACAATGTCCTCATGCTTGTAGATTGTATTTTAATGGGGTACAAGAGATATAATCAATAAGAAAGTAAATAAGTGAAGAAATTTCAAAAGAAGATTAACAAGATTAAGAAAAGAAAAGTAAACCATGATCTCGGCTGATTGCAACCTCCGCCTCCTGGGTTCAGGGAATTCTCGTGTCTCAGCCTCCCTAGCATAGCTGGGATTCCAGGCGCCTGCCACCACATCTGGCTAATTATTTTGTAATTTTAGTGGATACGGGGTTTTGGCATCTTGGCCAGGCTGGTCTTGAACTCCTGACCTCAAGTGATTCGTTCTCCTCAGCCTCCCGAAGTGCTGGGATTACAGGCACGAGCCACTGCGCCTGGCCCTGGTTTACTTTTCTTAATCCTGTTAATCTTCTTTTGAAATTATCCTCTTCACTTATTTACTTTCTTATTGATTATATCTCTTGTAGCCCATTAAAACATAAACTACAAGCATGAGGACGTTGCCTGTGTTGTTTTCTGGAAAGATGTCTGACTTAGGGTATGGACTCAGTTAGCTCTTGGTGAACAAGTTAATGAATATGAGTTTGGGAAATTCCCTTTTCTCTGGACCTGCATTTCTTCACCCACAAAATTAGGGGGTTGAACTAGAGGCTATCAAGGATGCTTTCCCACTTTTTATTTTTTATTTTTTTTGAGATGGAGTCTCACTCTGTCACCCAGGCTGGGGTGCAGTGGCATAATCTCAGCTCACTGCAACCTCTGCCTCCCAGGCTCAAGCAATTCTCCTGCTTCGGCCTCCTGAGTAGCTGGGAATACAGGTGCCCACCACCATATCCAGCTAATTTTTGTATTTTTAATAGAGATGGGGTTTCACCATGTTGTCCAGGCTGGTCTTGAACTCCTGACCTCAAGTGATCCCCTTGCCTCAGACTCTCAGAGTGCTTGGATTACAGGTGTCAGCCACTGCGCCCAGCTCCCACTTTTTAAACTTTATTTTATTTTATTACAGACAGGGTCTCACTATGTTGCCCTGGCTAGCCTTGAACCTCCAAGCTCAAGCTATCCTCTGCCTTAGCCTCCCAAGTAGCTGGGACTACAGGCACATGCCATCGCATCAGACTTCCCACTTTTTGTGATTCTAAGTACACTTTTGCTAAGGTTGCAAAGGGTATGCCCCACTATTTAAGAATGTGGTCAACAAGTCCATGTTTAGCTCAGATCTCATGGTTTCTAACTCTGTCTCCCTTGGGCCTCTGTATTTCAGCCTGGGAAGTCCCAGTCTGGTATATTGTCCTCTTGTGTCTGCTGTCCTTTCTTTCACTTTCTTTGAACTTTCTGTTGCTCCTGTCTGGATCCATTACATGATTAAAATGAAATGAACAGAAAAGGACACATGATTCCAGATTCCAACTGACAATAACTTTATAGAAAATGAAGGCAATATTTGGTATCATTTCTAGTACCTTCATGCTGCTGCTGAAGGTGATGGGAACCTGCACACTGTAAACATATATTGTTTCTGGAGGCGGAAAGTTTACACTGGTAAACACACTTCATGTGACAGCTATGATGCTGGGCGCTTCCACCTAGATTATTTCATTTAATCACTACAGGAATCCAGTGAAGTAGGTATTGTACTCATTTTACAGTAAAAGGAGCTGAAGTCACGAAAGGTGAAAACACTTGCCAGAGGTTGTAAAGTGGTGAGTGAAAGAATTAAGCTTGTACCTAGCTCAGACCCCCCTCACCCCACCAGCATGATGATAATCGTTGAGTAAGAACAGTTATTTCCAGATTATTTCCAGGAGCCTGATTTATTCAACCCATGCCTAGAATAAACCTCCTCTCTTGAGTCTCTGTACTTTTTTTGCATGCTGGTTGTCTCATCACTGGATTGTCAGCTCCCCAAGTCAAGTGTCGATTTCCTGAACACACAGCAAGCAGGGAAGAAATATTTGTTGAATAACCGAAAAAATGAATACAAGAGAATGAAAAACTAGATTTTAGCTTTTGCGTCCCTCTTATTCCCCTTTATACAGATGCTCAGACATCTTCCACTGAAACTTGTAGGACAAGGGTTAATGGCAAGTTGAGTGTCAGGATTCTAAAAGTGCAAGAAAGCTGCTCGGAGCTGCAGAATGGGGACATAAATGCCTCTTGCAAGTCTGGTATACTAGCACAGCTGCAAAGCAGGTTAGAACCATGAAGGTTTTCATCCATAGACAGAGTGTATGATCTCAACGTCTTGAATTTGTTAATTATATTGTTCATGGCTTCTTTCCAAAGACAACTACATCCTTAATTCTGACCACATCCTCTGCACTGCTAGTTATGTAGAGTTAGGTAACAAGATAGAATGGTACACATGAATATGCATCTCTCCTTCATTTTCATTAATAAGAATGCAGAACATCTTTTTTTCCCCTCATATTCAGGCAATTTAATTCTTATTCTTGGAATCTGTCTTGTTAGGAAAAGAAGACAGAAAGAGCAGCCTATGCTATTTCATAAAGTTAAAGGAAAGTGATGCTCCTATAGATCCCTTCTGTGTCTAAGCAAAAAGGTGACAAGATGACATTACTTTCACTTCTCATACTGTAATTAAAATCCACTATTATTGCATTCAACTTAATTCACCCTTTGTATCATGCAGTTTTAAGGGTGTTGGGAAACCAACTCAAATCCAACATTCTGGACTTTGCTTTAACTTTAAGGAATTTAATGTTGCAATATGAGACTCTCACCACCCTCCTTCCCACCCTACCCACACACACTAGTCAAATATGCAAGCCAGACGAAAGAACGATAGATCTCAAATAGCTATTCAATCTTTGTGTTAGGATGCAGAAAGCTGAGGAAATGCCTGGAGGTTTTCTAAATGTCAGCACCATGAATCTACTGCTCTTGGTTCCCATCAGGGATAGTGGAGGTTCAGAGAGTCCATGACTCTCAAACCACATCTGCTTCAGGATTCCCTCACTGGGTCAAAGGAAGCTTGTTGTTGACATCAGTTAAAGCTCATTGGTTTGGATTACAGTTTACTTATTTTCAAAGAGTTAACTTTTGAAATAACCCTTTTCCACATGATTGCTGCCTTTTCCAATTCCTCTCTGGCAAACAAACCCGCCTTACAAAGATGAGTGTGGCATTGAAACCCTTTTTATCCATCTACTGATAAACCAACTGACCTGACAAACCACTCCACCTCATCAGAAATTACTGCAGAATCACACGCCAAAGGGCTTTAACTTTGAGCATTCCTCTTGAATCCTTGCACTAAAGGTTATCATTAGAATGATTATTCTGCCTCGGTGATTCAAAACACACATATTGTTTTCATATGGTATTATCTCATCCAGAAGACCTTGTTAAGTTTTGTCTGTAGATGTAGTCACATTTATTTACCAAAACATACTCCTGAGAACCACTCCTGGAATAATTATAGAACAAAATCTGTACTTGGGGGTAAAATGAAATACTGCCAGCAGTACAAACGCAAGTGTCTACTCCAAATTATGTAACTTATTTATGGAAGTTTGATTTTGTGTAAAAGATATTTTTCTGGTAATGTCATTGTTATATGTTCTTATTATTCACTATCATTTTAACTTTCAGATTCTAGTATCTAAATTCCTCTTTCTCAATCTCAATAATAAAGTTTGTGATCATTCCCTATCATGTATTAAATAATTTATCATGAAATCTTAATGAGTTTTTGGAGAGAAGGCCTAAAAGAAGCTTTGTTACATGATATAAATAATAATATAACTAACATTGGAGGACATTATGCATTTTAAATAAATGTGTCTCAGTGCATCAAGAATAGGTACAAAATAATTGAACTCAGTCTGTAAACAATCAGCCTATTTCCCAAAAATGAAAAGACATGTCAATGCAAAGAAGCAGTAGTGCCAGGTGTGCTTTATAGAAGGAAAGAACTGTTTATTTGGTATATGTTTATGGTTGTAGCCTATTATTTATTAATAATGATCTTAGATTTTAAAAGACATCAACTATTTAGCTTTGATTCCCTTTGACATTATTGGCATAGAAAAAGAAATCTGGATATCTGATTCCCTCCATCTTGTTTTGTTTTGTTTTGTTTTGTTTTAAATCATTCTGGCATCTCTATTCTCTTTGCCAACACCCAAAAATAGCACTCGATCAAGCCACAGAAGTAATGAATTAAGCATGGTGGTAGATCTGTCTGAAAGATGTGGACCACTTTTCTAGCAAACAGGTATCCCATGAAGTGTTGGGAGTCTGTCCTACTCATAGTAAAGTGGTCATGGGTAGTTCCTGTGCTTTGCCTCGTGGGATCCAACATTTTTTGCATTCCTACCCTAATCACCCAAAAGCTAAACATGAGCAAGAATGCTGCCCAGTGAATTCTATTTGTTCTATTTTGGAGAGTGATTAACAACTTAATAACGTCTTTCCTCTTGGCATGTCTTAAAATCATAATGCCAAGTAAGACAAACTAAAGTGACATGGCTAAGAGACACATAGCGAGAAGGTATTGAGCAGTACCATGAAGAGAAGCCATCAGGCACCAGAGTCTTGAACAGGAGGAAGCTATGGGGCAGAGAGGAAACTTGCAAGAAGAAAATCAGCCCTGGCAATGGAAGTGAGTAGGGAGAAGCAGAACAGAGAAGCTGGACCACAAGCCTGTGGTTACTAGCCTGGTTGATTGATTGGCACCAGAATGCTGCAGTATTCTGATCAACATTCCGGTTCCTGAGGACTGGCCGTGCAGGGTTGAGGCCGTTTCCTGTGTTTCCTTACTTCTCCATTAGATCCTGACAATAAAGTGCCACCCATCCCTTGAGGAAACTGCTCTATGTTCCTTGTCACCTGAAAGAACATAATGAAAACATCCAGCCATAAGCAGCATGTAGGAATTTGTTCACAGAGGAATTCTCCAGCATTGATTGGGACAGGAAATTTCAAATGTCAATAAAACTGACTTTGCTTTGCCATTATACAATTTTTTCTGTGTTTTTTTTTTTTTTTTTTTGTAATTGTGAAAGTAAAATTACATCAGGCCGGGCTGGGTGGCTCACGCCTATAATCGCAGCACTTTGGGAGGTCGAGGTGGTGGATCACTTGAGGTCAGGAGTTTGAGACCAGCCTAGCCAACATGGAGAAACCCGTTCTCTACTAAACAACAACAAAAAAAAAGAATACAAAAATTAGCTGGGTATGCTGGTGCATACCTGTAGTCCCAGCTACTAGAGAGGCTGAGGTGGAAGAATTGCTTGAATCTGGGAGGGAGAGGTTGCAGTGAGCTGAGATCGCACCACTGCACTCCAGACTTGGCAGCAGAGCAAGACGCTGTTTCAAAAAAAGAAAGAAAGAAAGTAAAATTACATTCAATGCAAAAGACTTGGAAATTAAAGAAAAAACTTGAAGGGGCCGGGCATGGTGGCTCACACCTGTAATCCCAACACTTTGGGAGGCCGAGGCAGGAGGATCAAGTGAGCCCAGGAGTTCAAGGCCAGCCTGGGCAACATGGTGAGATCCTGTCTCCATTTAAAACAAACAAACAAACAAAAACTTGAATAAAAGAAATCACTCATAACTCCCACTGTCAGAGATACTGCTGTGTGTGTACATATGTTCATTCATGTGTTTTAAAGCAGTAGTCACAGGACTAGGACTCTGACTCAGTTTTAGCTAAAGCATGAAAGCAAGAGATTCAAGACATCTAAGGGAGTTGTGAGAAGACCAATCAGGAGAACTTGCTTTGTGGGATTTTTAAAAACAAACAAAAGCCAAATCTCTCTAGTTAGGGTTTAAGTCCCCTTACATGCATTGACTTGGAAGAGTGAAGACAGAGGGAGGATCTGTGAGGAGGCTTTCTCTAGAGCCAGGGAGCTTAACTGGTACGACTGGAAGAGCTTAATTTTGTCCCTTGTGGTTTGGAGGAAAGGTAGACTGGTATCTGCCTCCTGCCTGAGAAATTTGAGCTGGAGAAACTGGGGCCTGCCAGTTGCTTTGACTGCAGAATGAAGTGCATAGCTCAGCTGTCAATCAGCCCTCATTTCCAGGGTTTCTCAAGCAACCACAGTATGACTGTGTCCCGTGGAGAAGATGTGGGCCCCAGGAGAGGCTGAGGAGGCATGGGGTTCTCTTAGTTCATGCCTGCTAGAGTCAGCTCCAGGGGTGAATAAACCTGAGTAGAAAGAGGTTGTGGGTGAACCCCTGGATTCCTAGCACAGAGCAGGGGAGAGCACATTATCTGCATGGAAAGAGCTGCTGGGGAACAGTGCCGGGCCACGGGCCATCTCAGCAAACCCCAGACGAGCACACAAGAGAAGAGGCAGATTTAAACATCTGCCCTACCCAGAGAGAGTGATGCCACCTCACAACCATTCTAGTCAAGCAACAGCTTTTCTGCATGTGCCTTCCATCCAAACTTAAACCTGCCTCCCAGCCACCGTCCGGTTCAACCCTGGAACAGTAAAAAACCACCACTGAAGGGGTGGAGAGGCAGAGGTTGATGGGGAAAGGGAAAAGGATCAAATCCTCTTCACTGTCCTAGGCGTCGCTCTGCAGCAAGCGGTGGCTGTGTGAGGGGCTGCTCCTCTGAATAAAGCTGGGATTAATCTAGGACCGTATGTTCTAATTATCTCTGAATTGAGACTGTGTTTGTGTCTTAAAGTGACCAGAAAAGTCAAGGGACTGCCTTTGTTTGTATCCAGTGGCATTTAAAGGGATAGTAGGAGACGGCTGCACACGGTGGCTCATGCCTGTAATCCTAGAACTTTGGGAGGCTGAGGCGGACGGATCACTTGAGGTCAGGAGTTCGAGGTCAGCCTGGCCAACATGGTGAAACCCTGTCTCTACTAAAAATACAAAAAAAAATAAATTAGCTGGGCATGGTGGTGGGCATCTGTAACCCCAGTTATTCAGGAGGCTGAGGCAGGAGAATCGCTTGAACCCAGGAGGCAGAGGTTGCAGTGAGCTGAGATCGCACCACTACACTCCAGCCTGGGTGACAGAACAAGACGGTCTAAAAAAATAAAAAAGAAATAAAAGGATAGTAAGAGACAAAACTAAAGATGTTTTCTTGTTATATTCCATGATTCCTACTTGCTCCACATGTCAGTTATGTATGCCTGCATTTTCAAAAAATGCTCTTACCCTATGCATGCTTTGTGTAGTCTATGTTTCCCACTTAGCATTACATTAAGAATGCTATGCTATGTCAGTATTCCACCACTGCATCTCTGTACTGTAACATATGATCCTACTCCCCTCTCGTTGGAGTTATTTCTAATTTTTTAGAGTCATAATGTTGAAATAAACCCAGTTCAAAACTAGCATTGTGCCCATCTCTGATTAATTCCTTAGAATCAATTTCCTTGATGTGGAATTGCCAGGCCAAAGGATGAACATGTTTTAATGACTTATGAACTATATCACACCAAATTACCCTGGAAAAAGGTTGTATCAAATTTTCCCTTGTATGACGGTCCATTTCCCCATGTGCTTGCCAATGTTAGTTATGTCTATTCTTTTTGATCTTTGCTAATATGATAAGCCAAAAAAAGTTTTCTTTTTTTTTCTTTGTATTTCTTTGATTACTAGAGAGGTTGAACATTATTTATTATGTTTATTGGATATGTGTAGCTTTTTTTTTTTTTTTTTTAAGATGGAGTCTCACTCTGTCTCACTCAGGCTGGAGTGCAGTGGTGAGATCTCAGCTCACTGCAACCTCCGCCTCCCGGGTTGAAGCTATTCTCCTGCCTCGGCCTCCCGAGTAGCTGGGATCACAGGCACCCACCACCACGCCTGGCTAATTTTTGTATTTTTAGTAGAGATGGGGTTTCATCATGTTGGCCAGGCTGGTGTCAAACTCCTGACCTCAGGTGATCCGCCCACCTCCACCTCCCAAAGTGCCGGGATTACAAGCATGAGCCACCATGCCTGGCCTGTAGTTTTTGATAACTTATCTGCTCAATACCTTTGCTGATTATTTTAGCCCAGGTACCATTTAAAATATTGGTTCTATGAAATCCAAGGTAAAGAGCCAAGCAAATGGCAAAATTGGCAACTCTTGGCATTTGCTTCAGAGTGTAATTCACAGGCTAGTCTATTTCACACTAACTGGGGACTCAGATTGGCCACTACAGCACACCACAGATCAGTGCTGAATGTTGTCTTCAACACACCTAAGCTTCTTGGTTGTTTGCTTCCTATTGCTCTTGCCTTTCTTCAAGTTGCACGATCACTACAAAGAGAGGAATAATGTGGCCGAACCACACAGACATTAGTGTCATAGACACTCTCTGTCACTCTCTTCATCTTTTCCCAGCCAATTGCCCTGGGAATTGGCATGGTAGCATAAAATCACTGTCCGAGCTTACGTGAGGGTGCTGGGCCTGTGGTGTGGATAATCAGGTGAGGGGTTCTAATTCCTTTATTATTTGGGCTGATCAAATGACATCTATGTGTCTCATCTTCCTCATCTGTAAAGCTCAGTTCTTTGTCACCAGCCCCATGCTTACCTATCTGGACTTCTTTCCTATGACTCCGTCATTTAAACCCAGGGTGCCAACCATTCCAAGCACTTTGCCATGCTCTCTAGGCAACTTTCCAACTTTCTCTTTTGTTTACAATGCCCTTTCTACATATTCTTTGTCACACGATCTAACTTGTGCTGGCACTTAGCTAAAGGGTTGAAAAACGCCTTTTCAAGTGAGGAAAAAAAATCCAATTCAACCATAATGAGCACTTAAATGTGTAAGGATGATATGAAGACACTAGGAAATTCAGGATCTATTGGTGGAAAAAGATATGTACAAAGTAGCTATGATACAACACAGGACATGGTTGATAATATAATATTAATAGAAAATCAAGATTCTTGCTTTAGCATTATGAAGAAGGATAAGATTAATTCTAGCTAAAGGCTAGGAAAGAATTCATGAAGACAGGCCTTAAAAGACAATCGGAACTAGACTTGCTGGGGAATAAACTCCACTAAGGCTGGGTCTGAATCCATTATTGTTCATCATGAGTGATACTCATTCCCCAATGGATGAGTGGATAATATGGAAAGTAGGTAAGGTGTGCATGGAGGGGGGTGGTGGGGAATAAATGGGTGAAGGCTTTCATAGGCAGACTTTCCTTCTGAGTGAAGGAAGCTTTGTTTTTGTTTTGTTTGTTTTAAGTGGTTACAAAGTTTTTATTTGCTGGCCTTGCATCAAGAGAAACTGACCAAATGATGAGGTTGATTATTATCTATTAATAGTTTTATTACAGTCTTGTGTCACTGGGTTATAAATAAGAATTCCAGGCCGAGCATGGTGGCTCATGCCTATAATTCTAGCATTTTGGGAGGCCGAGGTGGGAGGATTGCCTGAGTCTAGGAGTTCAAGAATGGCCTGGGCAACATGGCAAAACCCCATCTCTAAAATAAATAAATAAATAAATAAATAATCCCAGCCCCTCTGAAATTCTCTCATTTTCTTTGATAGATGCATAGAAGAGGACTCAATACTAGGATCATGCAAGTCTTCTGGAGGCTTCCTATGCTCTCATGTAAAGAACAAGACTTGGAGGGGAAACTAAAGATTTCCTTTTGTGGTCTTTTGCCGGTCACTCAACACAGATAGCACCAACACACCACTGCGTTGTCACTCCCTGACACAACCTATTCAGCTGAGAGACAGAGCTAGGGAGAAAGGGGCCACAAAACCCTTTAACACAGATTTAACTTCTATTTTTATCAGAAATGATTTCATGCCTCTCTTCTATTTAACATTTACAGAATTCTAAAACAAAAACAGTTAACTTAAATCTCACTCTCTATGTGCAAGGTTGTTAAAAATTAGTGAACATTTAGTAGAAGTTACTGATGGTGAACAGACTGCTAAGGAAGGGAAGAGAAGGAAGTCAAGTGGGATGAAATCTGACAAGCCAGAGTTTACCCACAATAAACAAACACCAGCCTTCTTTAGGACTTTAGTTTCCAATATTGATATGAACAGTCTTTCTGAATTGAAGATTTACGTATTCCAACTCCTGATTATAGCACAATAAATGTGTTATGTAGAATTGGTTTAATGGAAGCATTAAGCCATAATTGGGAGTCATTCTCCTTTACCTACCTCCCACTTATCCACCTGCCACTTCAATGCCAGCCTCTATGAAGTTTTGCCTAATAATTTTAGCTCCAATCCATCTTTCTCTTCTCCAAAACCCTACCTCACTGCTGTCCATGCCACCCCTTAAGTACTTAGTCATGCGTAGCCTTATATTCTTGTTTGAATTCTCATGTCCTGTCCTCCCAAACAGATTATACATTTCTTGGGTCCCATACTTTGCATTTACCATAGCAGATTTCATAGCCCATACAAACATTAGGCCTTCAAAATATTTGTCAAGTATTTCTTCAATAAAAATGAAAACATCCCAAATCTTGATCCCCTAAATGTTAAATGGGACTTAGTTAAGCAAACTAACATCATGATATACTGGAAACAGGTATCTCTTTCCTTTACCCTTGTGCCTGCTGAAGATCTTATTCTCAGCCTTGCTGTTTTAAACTCAGGGGTGTGTGTACAACATATTTAAGCAAATTCTGGAATACCAAAGCCAAGCAGTCTTCCAGGGGCTTCATCCTGGCACACAGCAGCTTACCTGGTGGGTGTTGGGTAGCACACAGTAGAATGGCCGCTTTGTCTCTCTTGAGTGACTCTGGACAAGCTTCAAAACCAAAATCCACAGTGCCCTATCCTGGTGGGCAGAATACACTGAAGACAGGGGGTTTCCGACTCGCTGAAGACAAAACACCCTTCTGCTGACCCCGTACCAAAGGGGAGGGTGCCGGTGAAAGCCAGCTTGTTACTGCTTCAGGGAGGAGAAGCAGTTACTGAAATAAAGTGTCTTACTTTTTTTGGGAGGGGGGGAGGGCGTCTCAATAATCAGTTGGCCTTAATTATTTTTGCTTAGAATAGGAGAGATAAAGCTCCTGACTGAAGTCCAAAGCTGCAGGGGAGGAAATGACCAGGCACGCGGGTTCCTCTGGCTCGCTGGGCACCTGCTGCCTGGCAGGCTGCTCACCATGGCTGGCCGGCGTGGTGGTTCCTGAGAACCAATCGGTTCCCCCCTCTACTGTCAGGTGGCTGCTCTCAGCTTCTCTCCCAGAAGTCCTTCACCAGGCCATCTGGAGCCGAGGAACAAGTTCCAAGTTCTCTTGGCCAGAATTCTGCTTTGAAATCTGTCCACACCTCCCCCCAACCCCCAGTCTTGGTCACAGGCCTAAAATTTGACCTCAATCGCTGAGAAATAATGTACAACAAGAGATCTGCCTTTAAATATTTCAAAGTTGATGGAAGAGTTGATGTCCTTTAGTATTCAGATATATTACCTTACCCTGGAATCACAAAGTATAGAGTCCACTTGGACCCACTCGTTTCAGCAGTAGGTCAAATGCCATAAACTCATCAAAGCCAGAAACCTGAGTTCATATGAGCTCTCCTTTCTCCTTCCTCCTGCAGCCAGTCAGCCACCAAGCCCTGCTAATTCGACTTTCCAAATATTTATTAAATCACTTGCCTTCTCTTCCTCCCTAATCGAGGCCCCTAAACACAATTCTTCCCTAATCCAGGCTTCACTCACCACCCATGGCCATCCACCTAATTTGACCTGGTCATTCAGTGACTCTAAACATTTCAGTGGCTCCTCCTCCCCTCCAGTTTTGTCAAGCTCAGGGGCCTCGGCTCAGCACACAGGTCCACGTCCCACCCTGCCACCCCAGCTCACTCTTTTGCTTGTGGCTTCCTCTCACGTTGCACTCTGGTGACATTCACTACGATGGTGTCTGCATCTCCCTGTAGTCTTTCACATCTTTATGGCTTGCCTAATGTTGTTCACTCCACTTGCTGTTCACTTCACCTTTATTCACCTGTTACCTCCTTCAAGACTCAGTTCAGGCACCACCACCTCCAGCAAGTCTTCTTTGAGACTTCCCATGAAGTTAAATTACCTCTGCGGCCCTCTGTGTGACTATCTTATCATTCGTCACGTTATAGTGAATGTACTATTTCTATTTATTTATTATTATTTTCTTATTTTTTGGAGACAGAGCCTCTCTCTGTCACGCAAGCTGGAGTGCAATGGTGTGATCTCAGCTCACTGCAACCTCCGCCTCCTAGGTTCAAGCGATTCTCCTGCTTCAGCCTCCCGAGTAGCTGAGATTGCAGGCACACGCCACCATGCCTGGCTAATTTTTGTATTTTGAGTAGAGACAGGGGTTTCACCATGTTGGCCAGGCTGGTCTCGAACTCCTCACCTCGTGATCCGCCCTCTTCAGCCTCCAAAAATGCTGGGATTATAGGCGTGAGCCACTGCTCCTGGCCTGAATGTACTGTTTTTAAACCCACCTCCTTCACGGCATTGAAAGCTTACAAAGAACATTTGTATATCTCCGGTACCAGGTTCACAGTAGGATCTCAAATATATCTGCTAAATAAGTGAGTGCTGTTGAACAGAAATGTTATTGAATCATGATATGGAAAAAAAAATCTATGGGGCTCTCACTTTACAGAGGAACACGGAGGTGCCTAGACCTCTGACTCCTGATGCTGTGAGGCACTGGCAGGAGGGTCTTGGGACAGTGACAGTTTCCAAAGACAACTGCCTCAATGCTGCAAATGGAGGAGCTTATCATACCCGGCAGCTCCAAGAAAAAGGTAAAATTGCAGTGCTACTCCCAATGCTTAATGTTGATGGTTGACCTGCAATCAAAAACTCCAAATGACTGTCTACCTTCCAGAAAGGAAAGCAGATCTGAGCCAAGAGAGTAACTAGGGCCTGGCCTGCCTCCTGAAATGGCCCAGGCCCCTGGAGGTATGGAATCTTCCAGCTTTAGGAGACTGCCACCTGTGAGTGTCTGCAGCACCTCAGAGATGAAGTTCAGGTAAGCTGAGAACAGAATAGCATTTTTAATTTTTATTATTTTAAAAAATAAAAAAAATTATTTTTTATTTTTTTGAGATGGAGTCTCATTCTGTCTCCCAGGCTGGAGTGCAGTGGTACAATCTTGGCTCACTGCAACCTCCGCCTCCTGGGTTCAAGCAATTCTCCTGCCTTAGCCTCCTGAGTAGCTGGGATCACAGGCACATGCCACCATGCCCAGCTAAGTTTTGTATTTTTAGTAGAGATGGGGTTTCATTATGTTGGCCAGGCTGGTCTCAAACTCCTGACCTTAAGTGATTTTCCTGCCTCAGCCTCCTAAAGTGCTGGGATTACAGGTGTGAGCCACTGCGCCTAGCTTATTTTTAAGAGATAAGATCTCACTCTGTTGCTCGGGCTGCAGTGCAGTGGCGTGGTCAGCTCACTGCAATTTCAAACTCCTGTGCTCAAGCGATTCTGCCACCTCAGCCTCTTAAACAGCTGGAACTACAGGCATGTGCCACCATGTCCGGCTAATTTTTAAATTATTCTGCAGAGATGGGGGTCTCGCTACGTTGTTCAGGCTGGTCTTGAACTCCTGGCTTCAAGTGATCCTCCTACCTTGACCTCCCAAAGTGTTGGGATTACTGGCATGAGCCACCAAAAAGTATTATCACTTTAATAATAAAACTATCATTGTTTTGGAGAACTGTTTGGAAATTGTGGCATTTACAATATTTGTGAGGTGGGTTTTAGACACGTGCAAGTTGTTTTTAAGAAAAGATTTACATTTATGTATTGTTTTGTGACTGTGAACTCTCCTTAAGGCTCTGGAAGGCCCAGGACAAGGTGTTATAAGCTGACACATGGGGGAAATGAAAGGAAGTCTAAGGAAGAAGCTGGAGCCTCAGCTCGGTGGAACTGGGAATACAAAGAGCTGGGTAGAGCTGTCTGAGGGTGAGGCCTGGTGTGGCTTTGAAGGTGGAGACAGCTACCCTGGAGGGAGTGTGTTACTCATAAACCTTTTAAAGACTTGCCTGGATGGTAGAGGCAAAGCAATTACACAACCGTGGATAGACATGACCTAATTTATTGGCCTTCCCAGTTACCTACTGTGGAGCCAGTGCTATACCATAACCCACAACTAAGAATGAATTTTGGTGGAGTGAGGAGGGGTGTTGCTGAGAATAGGGGAGAAACTGATGTCCTTAAGGAGGAAGAGGCACTGGGAAACAGACCAGAGTGCAGAGAGGTGGACAGACTCTCCTTGATGCACTCCCCATGGAGAAGGCCATTGTCAGAATTCCGCCTGCTTTTTCTACTCTGAGGAGTGAAGAGCTTTTTTTACTCTGAGGCGTGAAGCCCTTAATACCACCACTTAGAGGACGACTTTGGGCAAACAGAGCTCTCACTTGGCCCCTGGTAATGCTGAAGGGGAGCTCCCAAGGGCAAACTCGAGTGCAAATGTAGTAATTCAGCCAGCAACTGAGACCTCCCCTCAAATATGTACAATCCCAAAAGTCATTTTCAGACACCTTTTTGACATCTGAAGAAGGGAACCACACATAAAATACATGACAGCAATGTTTAAAATAGTCATTGAACAGGCTGGGGCGGTGGCTCACGCTTGTAATCCCAGCACTTTGGGAGGCCAAGGCGGGCGGATCATGAGGTCAGGAGATCGAGACCACAGTGAAACCCTGTTTCTACTAAAAATACAAAAAATTAGCCAGGCGTGGTGGCGGGCGCCTGTAGTCCCAGCTACTCGGAGAGGCTGAGGCAGGAAAAAAGGCGTGAACCCGGGAGGCGGAGCTTGCAGTTAGCCGAGATAGCACCACTGCACTCCAGCCTGGGTGACAGAGCGAGACTCTGTCTCCAAAAAAAAAAAAGGCATTGAACATAACTGCTCAGTTTGAGCCAATGTGAGCAACTACAGTGGAGTTCAAAGAAGCCAGTTCACAAGGCCAGGATCTAACCAGCTTGTGGGCACGACAGCATTTGTGTTTATGCATAACCTACACCAAGTGCGCAGTGAAACAAAACCAAAACAACCAAAAGTAAAAAGTGATTCTTTACAGTTGCCTGACTAAATAGCTCCGGGGCAGAAGAACCCTTTGATCCTGCCAAGCAGTTTTAAAGCAGCAAAGTACTCCACACGTTTACTCACTGTCCCCTGACTGGTTTCTCTGCTGCTTTTTATCTCTGTGGAACCAATCTACTGCATCACTTTCTGTTTTCCTAGTTGGACCCTGACTGATGTGCAGACAATGATCTCCTAAGGATCCTTACCAGCCCACCTGTGAGTGGAAACATTAAATTCACAACATGTGAGGTTCTTATTTTGTTTGCTTTCTTGTCTAGCAATTTTTATTTTTAGTTTTAGTTATTGATTTATTTATTTTGAGACAGAGTTTTCCTCTTGTTGCCCAAGCTGCAGTGCAATGGCGTGATCTCAGCTCACTGCAACCTTTGCCTCCCAGGTTCAAGCGATTCTCCTGCCTCAGCCTCCCGAATAGCTGGGGTTACAGGCACCTGCCACCATGCCCAGCTAATTTTTGTATTTTTAGTAGAGATGGGGTTTCACCATGTTGGCCAGGCTGGTCTTGAACTCCTGACCTTAGGTGATCCACTCGTCTCGGCCTCCTAAAGTGCTGGGATGACAGGCATGAGCCACTGCACCCAGGCCCATGTCTAGTAATACTGTTAGTCATTTACCTCTGCAATTAAGTAATTTTTGAAGTAAATTAATTTTGATACAAGTTAAAAAACGGGCTGCTCGTGTCTGTAATCCTAGCAGTCTGGGAGGACGAGGCAGGAGGATTGCTTGAGCCCAGGAGTTTGAGACCAGTCTGAATAATATAGAGAGAACTTGTCTCAAAAAAATGTTGAAAAAAATAAGAGAGAGAGAGAGAGAGAAAGGAAGGAAGGAGAGAAAGAAAGAAAAAGAAAAGAAGGAAGGAAAGAAGGAAAGAAAGAAAGAAAGAAAGAAAGAAAGAAAGAAAGAAAGAAAGAAAGAAAGAAAGAAAAAGAAAGAAAGAAAGAAAGAAAGGGAAAGCAAACCAGCAAGGAAGCAAGCAAGCAAGCGAGGGAGAAAGAAAAGGAGTCTACCACCCTACCAGGGTACTGATTTGACCAGCAAAACAACCAGATCTAAATGACAATCAGTCCACTTGATGGAGACCTCATGATGAATGGTCTACCCTTGGTTGGGTTTGCCACCTGACGTAGAAAATGGGAAGAGGAAAAAAACTGAAACACAATTAATGAACTATGTATGTTGTATAGGTATAACAACAATCACACTTCTCTGTATGAAAGCTGTGTTTTCCCCTGTGATTTCCTTCTGAGATTTTATACAAACTGGTGCTATAGCATTTCGCCTCATCAACTCTTTGTGGTTATTTGGTTGCTACAGTCTTTTCCCTAAAGGGAATTATCAAGGGCCTCAGAAGGAGATGGAAATCAATGGTACTATGACAATTTGCCAACTATTTGAAAAAAATAAATTTATATAATCCTAACTTATAGACAAAATATATGTCAGGTGAATAAAAAAGTTACATTAAAAATTAAGACGAAGTGAATATTACTCTAATCTCTAGATGAGAAGAGTATTCTCATCTTAAAAACAAAAGGTGAAGCAGGAGGATCACTTGAGGCCAGGGGTTTGAGACCAATGTAGGCAACATAGTGAGACCTTGTCTTTACAAAAAGATTTTATTTTATTTATTTATTTATTTATTTTTGAGACGGAGTCTCACTCTGTTGCCCAGGCTGGAGTGTAGTGGCACGATCTCGGCTCACTGCAAGCTCCGCCTCCCGGGTTCACACCATTCTCCTGCCTCAGCCTCTGGAGTAGCTGAGACTACAGGCGTTCGCCACCACGCCCGGCTAATTTTGTGTGTTTTTTTTTTTTTAGTAGAGACGGGGTTTCACCATGTTAGCCAGGATGGTCTCGATCTCCTGACCTCCTGATTCACTCGCCTTAGCCTCCCAAAGTGCGGAGATTACAGGCGTGAGCCACCGCGCCCAACCTACAAAAAGATTTTTAAAAAATTAGCTGGGTGTGGTGGTGCACGTTCATAGTCCTAGCTACTCAGGAGGCTAAGGCGGGAGATCACTTGAGTCTAGGAGTTAGAGGTTACAATGAACTGTCATTACACCACTGCACTGCAGCCTGGGTGACAGAACAAGACCATCTCAAAAAAAAAAAAAGGAAATTTAAAAAGAGGTACATTTGGCTACATAAAACTGAGAAAAAATCTATTTTCAGATAAAGAGAAGTGTGCAAACTGAAACCTGGGAAATACACAGGACAAAAGTCAATTTCTTTAATGTGTAGTGAAATATATAAATCAATAAGACACAAACCACACCAAGCCATATTAAACAGTGTTGACTGCCTTCTAGAATGCATTTCCCTCAACTCCCCTCCTTTCTGATTTTGTTGTCAACATCAGAGTGTTCAATCTCAGGGGATGGATCATGTGTGGTCAAAGTCTGATATTTCAATCCCATTTCTTGCTTTTCTAATTCCCTTGCAGCTAAGGATGACCATATGACATGGTTCTGGTCAAGGAAATATAAAGTAGAAATCTGCTCGAAGGCATCACAGAAGGCCTTTACTTCCATGATAAAAAGGACTCTTCTTGGATATATACCCAAAAGAAGCAGTTGTCACCACTATTTCCTTTTTCTTTCTGCCTCGAATATGAATGTGATGTCTGGAGCAGCTGCAGCTATTTTGCGTTACAAAGGCACCATTCTAACATACTTAAACCACTAAACCAGCTGGCAGCTACCTACTTCCAGATGTATTCTTATGTCAGAAAAATGTACCCCCGATTTGTTAAAGTCATGGTTAGATTTTCTGTTATTTGTGACCAGAAGCTTTCTGGATACAGATCCTCATATATAAATGGGTAGCTATGTGAATAGACAATTCACAAATCAAGAAATGTGAATAGTAAACATATGAAAATAGTTTAAGTTCATTATAATCACAGCATTAGAAATTAAATGAAGCATAATTTTTTTTCCCACAAAATTGGCAAAGAGTTTTAAAAAGTAATACCACCATCCAGGGATAGAAAGGATTCGTTAAAACAAAGGCCTTCCCGCACTGCCAGTGAAGGTGCAATTTGGTAGAACACTTGGAAAGCAGTTTGGTAACATGTAATGAGAACTTAGAAAACATCTATATTATTTACATGAGTAATTCTACTTTTTGGAATTTACCCTTGAGATAATTTAAACTGAATTAAGAATGTAAGCATAAAGGCTTGCCAGTGTTACTTAATGTAGCAATAAGAAACAAATAGAATAAGAAAACACTAAAGTGACTAAAATATTGGAATGGTTAACTAAATTATAGAATATATGCAGTAGAATAGTATACAACCACAAAAGTTATGTTGACCCTGAATCTTCAGTATGAAGGGGTTATTTTTATGTTATGATGTTCATAAATAACAAAAATACCTAAGACCACAACTGTGTTAAAAGTAATGTGGGCGAAGGCTGGGTGCGGTGGCTCATGCCTGTAATCCCAGCACTTTGGGAGGCCGAGGCAGGCAGATCACTTGAGGTCAGGAGTTCAAGAACAGCCTGACCAACATGGCAAAAACCCATCTCTACTAAAAATACAAAAATTAGCCGGGTGTGGTGGCACATGCCTGTAGTTCCAGCTACTCGGGTGGTTGAGACAGGAATATCCAGGCAGAGGTTGTAGTGAGCCGAGATCACACCACTGCACTCCAGCCTGGGCGACAGAATGAGACTCCGTATCAAAATAAATTAATTAATTAAATAAAATAAAATGACATGGGGGTAACAGTTTGACAATTCCTCAAAAAGTTAAACATAGAATTACCATATGTTCCAGTAATTCCATTCCTACCTATATACTCTGGAGAACTGAGAACAGGTACTCAAACAAATACTTGTGAGACAATTGTTCATAGCAGCATTATTCACAATAGCCAAAATATGGAAACAACTCAAATGTCTATCAATGGATGAATAGATAAATAAATTGTGGCATATGCATACAATAGATTATTATTCAGTCAAGAAAAGGAATAAAGTATTAATACATGTTATAAGGTGGATGAACCTCAAAAACATTACACTAAGTAAAAGAAGACAGACAAAAATTATATAATTCCATTTACATGAAATATCCAGTATAGGTAAACCCATGGTTGCTAGTAGTTGAGGGGAGGTGGGAATGAAGAGTAACTGTTTAATGGGTTCTATTTTGGGTTGATGAAAATGTTTTGGTACTAGATAGAGGGGGTGATTGTACAACATTGTTAATGTACAAAATGCCAATGAATTGTTAGCTTTAAAGTGGATAGTTTTATGTTATATTAATTTAACTTCAATAAAATTTTATTTTTCATTCTTTTTTGAATTTGCTTCTAATTTTTATGGATATATAGTAGTTGCACATATTTATGGGATACATGTGATATTTAATATAAGAATACAATGTGTAATGATCAAATATGAGTAAGTAAGATATCCATTGCCTCAAGCATTTATCATTTCTTTGTGTTGGAAACATTCCAGATCTTTACTTCTAGCTATTTTGAAGTGTACAATAAATTATAAACTCGTTTCCTTATTGTGCTATCAAACACTAGATATTATTCCTTCTATCTAACTGTATTTTTGTGCCTTCTAGCCAAGTCCTTTTCATCCTCCCTTCCCCACTACCTTTCCCAGCCTCTTGTAATCATCCTTCTATTCAATACCTCCATATGACTAACTCTTTTAGCTCCCATATATGAGTGAGAATATGTGATATTTGTATTTCTGTACTAGGCTTATTTCACTTAATATAATATCTTCCAGTTCCATCTATATTGTTGCAAATCATAGGATTTAGTTCCTTTTCTATGGCTGAATAATATCCCATTATGTACACTAATGTATATACACTACATTTTCCTTATTCATTCATCCATTCATGAACATGTAGGTTGATCTGTATCCTGGCTATTGTGAATAGTGCTGCAATAAACATGGAAGTGCAGAGATCTTTTTGATACACTGATTTCCTGTCTTTTGAATATGTACCTAGCAATGGGATTGCTGGATCATATGGTAGTTCTATTTGTAGTTTTTTGAGGAACCTCCAAACTGTTATCCATAGTGGCTGTACTAATTTACATTCTCATCACCATCTGTTATTTTCTGTCTTTTTGATAATAGCCATTTTATTTTATTTTATTTTATTTATTTATTTTTTGTTTTTTTTGGTGAGACGGAGATTTACTCTTGTTGCCCAGGCTGGAGTGCAATGGCGCGATCTCGGCTCACTGCATCCTCTGCCTCCCAGGTTCAAGTGATTCTCCTGCCTCAGCCTCCCGAGTAGCTGGAATTACAGGCATGTGTCACCACGCCCGGCTAATTTTGTATTTTTAGTAGAGACAGGGTTTCGCCGTGTTGCCCAGGCTGATCTCGAACTCCTGACCTCAGGTAATCTGCCCGCCTCGGCCTCCCAAAGTGCTGGGATTACAGGCGTGAGCCACTGCGCCTGGCCAGATAATAGCCATTTTAACTGGGGTGAAATGATATTTCATTGTAGTTTTGATTTGTATTTCCCTGATAATTAGTGATGTTTAGCATTTTTTCATATGCCTATTGGCCACTTGCATGTATTTTTTTGAGAAGTGTCTATTCAGATCTTTCGTCCATTTTAAAATTTGATTTTTTTTTGCTATTGAGTTGCTTGAGTTCCTTACATATTCTGGTTATTAATCCCTGTTGGATGAATAGCTTGCAAATATTTTCTCTCATTCTGTAGGTTGTCTCTTCATGATGTTGATTGTTTCTTTGCTGTGGAGAAGCTTTTTAGCTTGATATAATCACATTTGTCAATTTTTGCTTTGGTTGCCTGTCCTTTTGACGTCTTACTCAAATATTTGCCCAGACCAATGTCCTGGAGCATTTCTCCTACATTTTCTTCTAGTAGTTTCATAGTTTGAAGTCTTAGATTTAAGTCTTTAATCCACTTTGATTTGATTTTTGTATATGGTGAGAGATAGGGGTCTACTTTCATTCTTCTGCATATGGATATTCAGTTTTCCCAGCACCATCCATTGAAGAGGGATCCTTTCCCCATTGTATATTCTTGGCACATTTGTTGAAAATGAGCTGGCTGTAAATGTGGATTTATTTCTGAGTTTTCTATCCTGTTCCATTGGTCTATGTGTCTGTTTTCATGCCAGTACCATGTTATTTTAGTTACTGCTGCTTTGTAGTATATTTTGAAGTCAGGTGATGTGATGACTTCAGCTTTGCTCTTTTTTGCTCAGGATTCATTTGGCTATTCTGGGTCTTTTGTGGTTCCATCTTCATTTTAGGTTGTTTTTCTATTTCTGTGAAGAATTTCATTGATATTATAATAGGTATTGCATTGATTCTATAGATCACTTTGTGTAGTATGGGTATTTAAACAATACTAATTCTTCCAATCCATGAGCATGGGCAACCTTTCCATTTGTTTATGTCCTCTTCACTTTCTATCATCAGCGTTTTATAGTTTTCATTGTAGAGATCTTTCAGTTCTTTGGTTAAGTTTATTCCTTTATTTGTAGTTATTGTAAATGAGATTGTTTTTTAGATTGTTCAATGTTGGCATATAGAAATGATTTTTGTATGGTGATTTTGTATCCTGCAACTTGACTGAATTCTTTTATCAGTTCTAACAGCTTTTTTGCAGAGTCTTTAGGATTTTTGTTTTAAATGTAAGATCATATTGTCTGAAAACAAGAACAATGATTTCTTTCTTTCCAATTTGGATGCCCTTTATTTCTTTCTCTTGCCTAATTGCTCTAGCTAGGACTTCCAGTATTCTGTTGAACTAAAAGTAGTGAAAGGGGTATCCTTGTCTTGTTCCAGATCTTAGAGGAAAGGCTTTCAGTTTTCCCCCACTCAGTATGATGCTAGCTGTGGGTCTGTCCTATATTGCTTTGATTGTTTTGAGGTATGCTCCTTCTATATGCAGTTTGTTGAGAGTTTTTTTTTTTTTTATCATGAAGAGATGTTGAATTTTAATGAATGCTTTTTTGACATCTATTAAAATGATCATATGGTTTATGCCCTTGATTCTACCAATGTGATACATCATGTTTATTAACTTGCATATGTTGAACCATCTTTGCATCCCAGGGATGCATCCCGCCTGATTATAATGAATGACCATTTTAACGTGTTGTTGAATTCAGTTTGCTAGTATTTTGTTATTTTTGCATTGATGTTTATTAGTTATTGGCTTATAGTTTTCTTTCCTCACTGTGTCTTTGTCTGGTTTTGGTATGAGGGTAATGTTGGCCTTATACAATTAGTTTGGAAGTAAAAAAAAAAAAAAGTAAATATGGGGAGTTCTGCTTCCAGATAAGATAGAGTAAGTGCTTTCACCCTGTCTCTCCTAGGAAATATAGCCATAGAACCTGGTCACAAGGCACAGAACAGATATCTGATAAGTAAATTGTAGTAGGCAAATTGTGAAAGAATGTAAAATACCACTGAAACTGCTGTGAATTTACTTTTTTCCCTCTCCTCCACTATACCCTGATTTGGACTCAGAGTAGTGCAAAACCCAGAAATGAGCATTGGTGCAAATGGAGAGAGTTCCAGGAAAAGCCCCCTAGTTCAGGTTTGAGGAGTAGGAAAAGGGTTTTCTGGCAGCAACAGCAGTGGTAGCTGGGGCGCATACACACTAAAACTCTCAGGGAAGGGAATCTTCCCTTCGAATTAGAGGAGCTAGGAGAAAATATAGAGGAAATACTTCAGGACATTGGTCTGGGGAAATATTTTATGAATAAGACCTCAAAAACATAGGCAACAAAAGTAAAAATAAACAAATGGGATTATATAAAACTCAAAAGCTTCTTCACATCAAAAGAAACAATCAACAGAGTGAAAAGATAACCTGCAGAGTGGGAGAAAATATTTGCAAACTACTCATCCAAAAGGGAATTAATATCCAGAATACACAATAAATTGAAACACCTCAACAGCAAAAAAGCTGACAATCCAATTTAAAAATGGGCAAATGATCTGAATAGACACTTCTCAAAAGAAGACATACAAATGGGTGAGAAATACATGAAAAAGATGCTCAACATCACTAATCATCAGGGAAATGCAAATCAAAACTATAATGAGGCATCATCTCAGTATGGTTAGAATAGCTATTATCAAAAAGGAAAAAAAAAATAACAAATGCTGGTGAGGATGTGGAGAAAAGGGAACTCTTATACACTGTTGGTGGGGAATGCAAACTAGTATAGCCACTATGGAGAACAGTATGGAAGGTCCTTCAAGACACTACATATAGAATACCATATGATCCAGCAATTCCACTGCTGGGTATACCCAAAAGAAAGGATATCAGTATATTAAAGAGATAGCTATACTTCTATATTTATTGCGGCACTATTCACAATAGCCTAGATATAGAATCAACCTAGGTATCCAACAGATGAATGGATAAAGAAAATGTGGCATATATATACTGTAGAATACTATTCAGCCATAAAAAGAATGAGATCTTGTCATTTGTGGCAACATGGATGAAACTGGATGACATTATGTTAAGTGAAATAAACCAAGAACACAAAGCTAAACACCACACGTTCTCACTCATAAGTGGAGGCTTAAAAAAGCTGACGTCATAGAAGTAAAAAGTAGAATAGAAGATATTAGAGGCTGGGAATGGGGAAAGGAAGGAGAAGGAGAGACTTGTTAAAGGATATAAAATTCCAGCTAGAGAGGAGGAATAAGTTTTACTGTCTACAGCACTGTGGGATGACTATAGGTATTTAATAACATTAATATGGCTGGGCATGGTGGCTCATGCCTGTCATCCCAGCACTTTGGGAGGCTGAGGCAGGTAGATCACTTGAGCTCAGGAGTTTGAAAGCCCAGGCAACATGGCGAAACCCTGTCTTTACAAAAAATAGAAAAATTAGCCAGGCGTGGTGGTGAGTACCTGTAGTCCCAGCTACTAGGGAGGCTGAGGTGGAAGGACTACTTGAGGCCAGGAGGTGGAGGTTGCAGTGAGCCCAGATTGCACCACTGCACTCCAGCCTGGGCAACAGAGCAAGACACTATTTCAGAGAAAAGAAAAAAATATATATATATGTATGCATATATATAGTTTCAAATAGCTAGAAGAGAGGATATGGAATGCCCCCAACACAAGGAAATGATAAATGTTTGAGATTATGAATATGCTAATTATCCAGATCTAATCACCATGTATTATACGTATCAAAAGATCACCATATACTTCATGAATATGTACAATTATTATTTGCTAATTAAAATTAAAATAATGTAAAAACCAAAAAACGCTTATACTGGAAAAGAAGAAAGGTCTTCAATCAATAATCTAAGTTTTCACCTTAAGAAATGAGAAAAAAATAGCAAAATAAACATAAAGCAGGCAATGGTAAATATCAGAGCAGAAATCAATTAAATTGAAACAAAAACAATAAAGAAAAATCAAAGTAAGACAAAAAGCAGGTCCTTTGAAAACATCAATAAATTTGATAAACCTTTAACACGACTAAAAAGGAAAAACAGGGAAAGAATACAAATTATCAATACCAGGAATGAAAGAGGGGCTATTCCTACATAATATTCAGACATTAAAAGGATAATAAATAAATATTATAAATAACTTTATGCATATAAACCTGACAACTTAGAATAGATCCATTTCTCAAAAAACACGCACTGTCAAACTCACTCATGATGAAATAGCCGAAAAAGTTCTATATCTATCAAAGAAATTGAGCTCATAGTTTAAAACCTTTCAAAAAAGAAACTTCCCATTCCAGATGGTTTCATTGTT
Organism: Homo sapiens; assembly: GCF_000001405.40. Taxonomy (NCBI): domain Eukaryota; kingdom Metazoa; phylum Chordata; class Mammalia; order Primates; family Hominidae; genus Homo; species Homo sapiens. The sequence goes on from NC_000011.10 coordinate 108,582,046, forward strand.
TCATTTTACCAATCGTTTAAGGAAGAAGCAATGCCAGGGCTATATAATCTCTTCCAGAAAATAGAAGAAAACACTTCCTAAGTCATTTTACAAGGCTAGAATTACTGACACCAAAACCACACAAAAATAGTATACAGGCTGGGCGTGGTGGCTCATGGCTGTAATCCCAGCACTTTGGGAGGCTGGGGCGGGGGATCACTTGAACCCAAGAGTTCAAGATCAGCCTGGGCAATATGGTGAAACCCTGTCTCCACTAAAAATACAAAAAAGTTAGCTGGGCGTGGTGGCACACGCCTGTAGTCCCAGCTACTTAGGGAGGCTGGGGTGGGAGGATTACTCAGGCCTGGAAGGCAGAGGTTGCAGTGGGCTGAGATCACGCCACTGCACTCCAGCCTGGGTGACAGAATGAGACCCTGTCACAAAGAAAAAAAAAAAAGGATAGAAAACCAGAAAACTATATATCAGTACCTCTCATGAACCCAGATTTTTTAAAAACCCTCAATATTAGCAAATGTAGTGAAATCATATAAAAAGAATAGTACATGATGATCAAGTGGGATTTTCTTGAGCATGTAAGTGGATTAGTTTTCTCAGGCTACCCCAATAAAGTACTGCACATTGAGCGACTTGAACAACAGACATGTTTCACAGTTTTGGAGGCTGGAGGTCAAGGTGCTGGCAGGGCCATGCTCCCTCTGGGGGCACTAAGGAAGGGTCTGTTCCAGGCCTCTCTCCTAGCTTCTGAAGTAGTTCCTTGCCTTGTGGCAGCGTTACTCCTGTCTGCACAAAGCATTCTCCCTGCGTGCTTGTCTGTCTTTGTGTCCAAATTTTCCACTTTGTATAAGGACATCATTAATATTAGAATAGGGCCCATCCTAATCACCTCATTTTAACTTGATTTTCTCTGTAAAGACCCTATTTCTAAGTAAGGTCACATTCTGAGGTATTGGCAATTAGGACTCTAACATAGCTTTTTTATTTTTTGGAGGACAGTTCAACCCACAACAGTAAGGCTGGTTTGATATTCTAAAATCAATTACTGTTAATAAGTATATCGCCAGGCGCAGTGGCTCATGCCTGTAATCCCAGCACTTTGGGAGGCCAAGGTGAGCAGATCACGAGGTCAGGAGATTGAGACCATCCTAGCTAACAAGGTGAAACCCCGTCTCTACTAAAAATACAAAAAATTAGCCGGGCGTGGTGGCGGGCTCCTGTAGTCCCAAGTATTCGGGAGGCTGAGGCAGGAGAATGGCGTGAACCCGAGTGCAGTGAGCTGAGATCGCACGACTGCACTCCAGCCTGGGCGATAGAGTGAGATTCTGTCTCAAAAAAAAAAATAAAAAAAAAAATAAATAAGTATATCAATAGTCTATAGAAGAAAAAGCCACATGGTCATAGAAGTTGATGCAGAAAAAGCATTTAATAAAATTCAAGATATGTTCAAATAAAAGCTCTCAGCAAGCAAGAAATAGAACCAGATAAAAGTCATCTACAGGCCGGGCATGGTGGCTTATGCCTGTAATCCCAACAGTTTGGGAGGCCGAGGCGGGTGGATCACTTGAGCCCGGGAGGTGGAGACCAGTCTGGCCAACATAGCAAAACCCCATCTCTATTAAAAAAAATTAACAAAAAAATAAAAATAAAAAAGTCATCTACAAAAAAATCATAGCTAACATCGTAGTTCATAGTGAAAGACAGTGCTCAGCAACAAAGCAAGGAAGTACAATGTCAATACTCCTATTCAACATCATGCTTGAAGTCCTAGTCAATATTAGGCAAGAAAAAGAAATAAAAGGCATACATATTGGAAAGGAAAAAATAAAACCATCACCACTTACAGGAGACATGATTGGCCATGTAGAAAATCACCCAGAAAAATCTGCCCCCCTCAAAAAAGAACATCCTAGAGCCAATAAGTAAGTTTAGCTAAGTGGTAGGGTACAAGATCAATATCAAAAATCAATTGTATTTCTCTATACTAGCAATGAACAATTTTAAACTTAAATGTAAAAATTTATATGGAAAAGCAAAGGAATGATATAGACAAAATAGTTTTAAAAACAAAGAATAAAATCGGATGGCTTATTTAACTCAGTAAAACACCTTTGAGAGTCACACAGGTTGTTGTATGTATAAATAATTCATTCTGGCTGGGCACAGTGGCTCACACTTATAATCCCAGCACTTTGGGAGGCCAAGATGGGCAGATCACCTGAGGTCAGGAGTTTGACACCAGCTTGGCCAACAGGGCGAAAACTTGTCTCTACTAAAAATAAAAAAAAATTAGCTAGGTGTGGCGTCACACAGCTGTAATCCCAACTACTCAGGAGGTTGAGGCTTGAGAATAGTTTGAACCCAGGAGGTGGAGGTTGCATTGAGCCAAGATTGTGCCACCGCACTCCAGCTTAGGCGACAAAGAGAGACCCTGTCTCAAAAAAAAAAAAAGGGAGGAAGCATACTACTTGACGTTAAGACCTACTATAAAGCCACAGTAATCAGGATACCATAGTATTTGTGAAGGAAAAGACATAGAGGTCTATGGAAAAGAGCAGAGTCCAAAAATGGACTCCAAAAATATAGCAAATTTTTTACAAAGGGGCAAAAGCAATTTAATGAAGGACAGTCTTTCAACAATGGTGTTGGGATAATTGGGCATTAATATGCAAAAATAAAATGAACCTCAATCTAAACCTCACACTGCACATAAATCTTATTTCAAAATGCATCAGTGTAAGACATAAAACTATAAAACTTTAAAAAGAAATCATAGGAGAAAATGTTTGTAATCTGGGCTGAGGCAGAGTATTCTTAGAACGCTACTAAAAGCATGATTCATAAAAGAAAAAAGTTTGATATGTTGGATTTCATCAAACTGGGTAACTTTTACTCCACAAAGACACAGTAGGAAAGTTAAGACAAGCTACAGATGGGAAGAAAATGTTTGCAAACCTGGTGTTCAACAGGAGACTTGTATCTGGAATATATAAAGAATTCTCAAAATTCATCAATCAGAAAACAAATAACCCAACTAAAAACTGTTCAAAAGATTTTAGCAGATACTTCCCCAAAGAGAATATATGGAAGGCAAGTAAGCACATAAAAAGATGTTTACCATCATTAGTCACTAGGGAAATGCAAATTGAAACATGAGGAGATACCTCTACAAACCTATTAGAATGGTTAAAATAAAAAAATATTCAAAATACCAAATGCTGGCAAGACTAAAGAACTACTATGCTCTTGTCTGAAAGTATGTGTCCCCCCAGAATTCATATGTTGAGCCCTACCCCTCAAGGTGATGGTAGTAAGGGATGGGGCCTTTGGCAGGTGATTAGGTGGAGAGGGCTTCTCCCTCATGAATGGATCAGTGCCCTTTTACATGAGGCCTGAGAGGAAGCCTTTTTGCCCCTTCTACCATGTGAGGACACAGAAAAGGCACCCTCTATGAGGAGGGGGACTTCACCAAACACAGACTCTACCAGTGCCTTGATCTTGGACTTCCCAGGGTCTAGAACTATAAGCAATAGATTTCTGCTCTTTATAAATTACCCAGTCTAAGGTATTTTGTTGTAGTAGCCTGAATGACAAAGACAGAGATTGGAACTCTTATATACTGTTGGTAGGAATGCAGAATGGTACAGCTGTGGGAAAAACAGTTTGGCAGTTTCTTGCAAATTCAAGAATATGATCCAGCAATTCCACTACTAATAAAAATCATGTTCACACAAAAGCCTGCTCATGGATGTTGATAGCAGCATTATTTAATATCATCAAAATGTGTAAACAAAACAAGTGTTCTTCAGTGGGTGAAAGGATAAACGAACTGTAGTAATCCATATAATGAAATACTAAATACTACTCAGCAATATAAAGGAATGAATTATTTATTTATTTGTTCATTTATTTATTTTGAGATGAAGTCTTGCTCTGTAGCCCATACTGGAGTGCAGTGGCACCATCTCAGTTTACTGCAACCTCCACCTCCCAGGTTGAAGTGATTCTCCTGCTTCAGCTTCCTGAGTAGCTGGGACCACAGACGCGTGCCACCACGCCTGGCTAATTTTTGTATTTTTAGTAGAGACAGAGTTTTGCCATGTTGGCCAGGCTGCTCTCAACCTGGCCAACATGGCGAAACCTCAAGTGATTCTCCTACCTCGGCCTCCCGAAGTGTTGGGATTACAGGTGTGAGCCACCTTGCCTGGCCAGAATGAATTATTTATACATACGACAACCTGTGTGACCCTCATTTTACTGAGTTAAAGAAGCCATTCTCAAAAGGTTATGTATTCTGTGCTTCCATTTATATAACATTCTTTAACAAATAAAACGGTAGTGTTGAAGAACAAAATAGTGGTTGCCAGGATAAGTTACTCCCTCCCTGATCCCCTTTCCTCCCTCCCCCATCCCCTTTCCTCCCTCCCCCATCCCCTTTCCTCCCTCCCCCATCCCCTTTCCTCCCTCCCCATCCTCTTTCCTCCCTCCCCCATCCCCTTTCCTCCCTCCCCCATCCCCTTTCCTCCCTCCCCCACCCCCTTTCCTCCCTCCCCCATCCCCTTTCCTCCCTCCCCATCCTCTTTCCTCCCTCCCCCATCCCCTTTCCTCCCTCCCCCATCCCCTTTCCTCCCTTAACTGCTGTTAAATGCATCGTTTCAAAGTGAAAACCAAGGTAAGCTTTATCAATATAAAAAAACACAACTTTTTGTTGGGGTGCAGAGAATTTGGTCACTGTCATCTCCCATTTCCTCTTTCATCTAGAAAGCCTAACACACCATGGAATGAGGAAGCTGGCTCCTGTGATCTGTTAATATTTGAAGTATGGCCTTTTAATAGGGCCATTGGCAATGTCAATAAGGAAACATCCTGAGAAGGAGAGGGCGATGAGCCTATAGCTCTCAAATCTCACAGCTTGGGGAATAACTCACTACAGAAAAACCGACCTGAATGAAGGTGAAGGAGAGAATCCACCCACGTTTACGAAAGACCATGCCTTAGCTAGCACTTCTTAGTTCTTAGCCACCTTCTTCTCAATTTTAAGACCCTGCTGTGCTAAACAGGAAGGAAAGCATTTTCTTTTCTTTTCTTTTATTATTACGATACTTTAAGTTTTAGGGTACATGTGCACAATGTGCAGGTTAGTTACATATGCATACATGTGCCATGCTGGTGTGCTGCACCCATTAACTCGTCATTTAGCATTAGGTATATCTCCTTACTAAACTTAACCTGACCTCCTTTTGACCTTCATGTGGTTCTCAGGTTTAAGACCATCTGTGCTAATGAGGAATGAAAGTATTTTCTGACTAACCTTCACCTGACTTTCTTTCGCCCTTCACCTGGTTTCCTCAGATCTTTCTTTCCCTTAGTTTGTATTGCCTATAGCAGTAAGTTAAGTTCCATTTGACTAGGTATTGAGTACCGAAGTGTGTGAGGCTCTCCATCCCTGAAATAATCCTTGACCACAAGGAATCAAGGTTGATGTACAACTTACCATGTACCAACTTACCTGTGCACACATTAACATTGTAAAGAAAAGGACAAGGGCAGAAAAACATTTAGACATTTTTAAAAAGAAATTTACCCTTACAAGTTATTTATTTTTTAAAAGACATTTTTAAAAAGTATTTTACCTTCGTAACGGACATTTATGAAAGTAAAAAATAGTCAAACATTCCATATTTATTATCCAAAGAAACAGTTTTATTTATTTATTTATGTATTTATTTCAAGACAGAGTTTTGCTCTTGTTACCCAAGCTGGAGTACAATGGCGCGGTCTCGGCTCACTGCAACCTCCACCTCCTGGGTTCAAGCGATTCTTCTGTCTCAGCTTCCCAGGTAGCTGGGCTTATAGGTGCCAGCCACCAAGCCTGGCTAATTTTTGTATTTTTAGTAGAGATGGGGTTTCACCGTGTTGGCCAGGCTGGTCTCAAACTCCTGACCTCAGGCAATCCACCCATCTCAGCCTCCCAAAGTGCTGGGATTACAGGCGTGAGCCACAGCACCTGGCCCTATTTTTAATAACATATGATAACTAAAAAATAAAACAGTAGTAAAAGGGTTAAAGTCCCTTTAAATGTGATTCCCCAAAGATAATCATTTTAACAGTATAAAGTCTTCCTTATAGAATGCATATATGCATTTTTAACATAAATGGTTGCCAGCAATTTTTTCTATATAGGCAGATGGTATCAGTTATCTTCCCATACCCATTATGCCATTTTCCTTAGTAATAACATCTCCAACTTTTAGCTGAGCATTTGACTACATAGAATTGTGTGTTTTTTATTTTTATGGTGAATGGAGATAAAATAGCAAGAGATTTAAAGTGGATAGATCCCAGTCCTGGTTCTGTTATGAGCTAGATGGGCCAGGTGAGGAAAGTCACTTCAACTTTTTGGTACTGTAGGAGGCAGCACAGCACAGTGATTATGTACAGATGGAGTTCCCAAATCGGACACTCCCTAGCAGTATTATCTCAAGCATGTCACTTACCCTTTCTAAGCTTCCTTTGTCGAATGGAGATAAAGATATCCCTTAACTCATCAGGTTGTTGTAAGAATTAAATGAGATAGTGCACACAAAGAGCTTAGCATGGGTCAATACTCAACAAATGTTAGCTATTATTACAGTTGTTTTATTAGCTTTTGGAAAAGAAGATAATAGTATTTGCTTTATCAGGTTGAGGATGAGGATAAAAAAATATGAAAGACTTTATAAGCTAAAAGAGTTATAATATCACTAAGCTTAAAAAGAACACTGCTGCTTGGCATTGGGATATGGAACGATATTATTATAGTAGTTCTGTGTGTATTGCCTGTGGGGACAAATCCACAGGAGTAACTAGACAGGAAAATGTATCTGAGAGGAAGTTCTCCCTCAGTTTAAAGGAATTAACTAAATTGGATGCCATTGGAAAGTGCAGACAGCTCAGAGATCCGTGGTGTGTTAATCTGGTACTTTGTTATGTTTCAGAACTTGCTCAAGCCTCCTGAGCACACTTGTGACTTCCAGGCATTGTTCTTGTTGTCCCTTTTCCAGGCCACACAGGACTGCATAAGGGCGAGCTACAGTTCATCTTACACATTCTATCGCCAATGAAAACCTTTCATAGACTGAAGCCATTTGGGACAGAATCTGTGTTTTATTTTCCACTGTATTCTCAGGGCCAATCCAGTGTCTGGCACACAGTAAAAAGCCCAATCAGTAGACATCCAATGTCTCTAGAAACTCTGCCCCTTAGCCAGAGGCAGATTTCACAGGCTGGGAGAGGAGAGGGCAGGCAGAATGTGTAGGGGAGGCAGGAGGCTTGTGTATCTGGCTTTTAACCTCTGCCGGATGTGGCAGCTGCCACCAGCTATAGACCACTTTATGACTTTGACATATACAGTCCTGTTCAGACCTGTGCCACAGCTCAAGGATATTAGTGTAAATCAATCAGAAAAAACTAAATTCTGGAAAACCCTCCTGGGCTGCAATCTTGCCATGGAGCAAAAAATGGTCTAAATCTAGACATGCCATTTAAAAACTTGATTACTCCAGGCACCGTAACATCTGGTTCTGATGCCAGATAGATTTAGGTTCAAATTCTATCTCTGACGTTTATGAGCTGTGTGACCTTAGGCAAGTTCCTTAACGTTGCTAAATTTCAGTTTTCCTTCTATAAAAAGCCATTAATAATACCCCAAGAAATGGTTGTGAGGATTATTCAATCTTGATGGGTAAAGTAGTTTTGAAATAGATCTGGATTATAAATTCTGGCTCTGCTGCTTAAGTTGGACAAAATACTCGACCTTTTTTAATTGTTTCCTTCTCTGTGAAATGAGAATTAAAGTGTATACCTAATGAGGTTATTGGGAGGATTAATTAAATCTGTATAACATGTTTAGTACAGTGCCTAGTATATAGTAAGGGCCTAATAAATGTTAGCTGTCGTTATTACCACAATAATTACTATTATTACATAAAAAGGCAGCACTTAATATATGTTGGTGTGGCCATCTCCTCCACCTTAATCTCCTACTAATGAGAAATATCCAAGAATTGGACAATTGGGTCAAGCGTAAGGCGTATCTTGATAGATATTGCCATAATGCTCACCAAAAAGCTTGTAATCAACTTACAACGTCACTAACAATGTGCAAAATCTGTCCATTTCATTCCAACCCTCACCAACATTTTTTTTTCTGTCATTTTTAAAGGGGCAGCATGGTATCTCAAGGTTACTTCAATTTTCATTTATTACTGTGAGGGTAGACATTTTCCCATCTGTTATGTTTACTGTTTGGATATCTTCTGGTGTGAATGATTTATTTCTATCTTTTGCCTATTTATCAGTTTGAATCTTGGTGTTTTTCTTAAAAATCTGAATAAACTATATATTAGAAACATTAACTATTATATTTAATGCAAATACTTTCCTGGTAAGTTGGAGCCAGAGAGGTCTGGTACAGATGAGGGGAGATCAGGAGAAAGTTCTATGTGTTCAGGAACTTTTCTGTGGGTGGGGCTGCTGCCTTCTGCATGATGAACTCAACTACCCTCACACCTATCTCAGAACATCTCTGGCCCTGCATGACACTGTAGTTCTTTTTTAAAAAAAAATGATTTTATTTATTTTATTTTTAAAGACAGGGTCTCTACTGTGTCACTCTGGTTGGAGTGGAACAATCATAGTTCACTGCAGCCTTGAACTCTTGAGCTCAAGGGATCCTCCCACCTGAGCCTCCTGAGTAGCTAGTACTGCAAGTATGTGCCACAATATCAGGCTAAATTTATTTTTAATTTTTATTGTAGAGACATGGTCTCTCTGTGTTGGTCAGGCTGGTCTCAAACTCTTGGCCTCAAGCGATCCTTTTGCCTCAGTCTCCCAAAGCACTGGGATTACAGGCGTGAGCCACCGGGCCCAGCCCCAACTATAGGGTGCCTGTATTTCTTCTTAGTTGTCTTGCAGATACCTCAAGCCTATCATAGATATAAATGAACTCATCAGCCATTCCCCAACCTGCTAAATTTCTAAACTTCCCCATTTGGACCCTTATTGTTCTAGTCAAGAGGTCTTGAAGCTCTTTCTCAATACAGTAAAAAGGCTTCCCTGAGTCTCTCAGACAGGCCTGTTGAAGCATCTCTTTTTTGTTGTTGTTCACATATGCCAAGCCAGAACAGAATGAAATTATACTCTTGAGTTATAAGTCATGTGTCCTGATTTTTGATTTGGAAAATATGATCACACATATCAAGAAAATGAGCAGAAGAGGCAGCCAAGTTGCCATGTTGTCTCAGGCCCTTTCTGCATGCCAATATCTGATACTGAAATTAATACATGTGAGCCTGAAGTGGGTAAGCAGAACAATCCCATGGAGCCTGCAAGCCAGACATGGGTATTTGATAGTGGAAGTGGGGAATTAATCAAAGGAAAAGACAGTACTAGAAATCATTGCCTTGGGTATTTGGTCCACACATCTACTTTCCTTAAATGATTTTTGTATTTTAATGGTGATATTTTTCAAATTGTTTGGGCAATTAAATACTTTTAATAATTAGTATAATACAGTATCGATTTTGTCTTAGCATTATGGCTTTTTCTGTTGATGCTTCCATTAGAATATGAGTGCCATGAAATTAGAAAATGTGTTTTGACCTTCCTTCTAATGCCCAGCCCAATGGCTTTGTGTAGATACACGTGCTTTGTGTAGATCTATGTGGAGATCCAGTTCCCTCTAAAGTCAACTGCAGTGGGCATCGTGAGTTGCAATAGAGAAAACACAATAAGGCAAGCAAGCATCAGGTCAAAAATAAAAAGTCAAGATAACATCTTAAATGAAAGCTTCTCTCCTTGTTATTTTCTAACTCTCCCCTCAATTTCCCCAAATATACAATGGATCACTTAAGAAGCCCCATCCTCTTCAGAGACAAGAAACATTTCCAATAACACACACTGAGAATAACCGCAGTTTCTTAGTGCCTTTGGAATATGCACTGAAATTCCGTGCAGTTCTGAAATTCTTCTTCTGAAAGTTGGGTGTGCCTTGTGCGGTGCATGTGCATATGTGTAGGTACATTATGCACGTGGGTGTGTGTGGGTGTGGCATACTGTTCTCCTGAAGGCACACTTTCTACACTGTTCAGGGGAGGGGAATGATAAAGCCACTTTTTCTCAAGGCAGATGGTATGAAATCCATATTCCCCAACCTCAAATATTCCTTCATCCCTCAAAGAGTCATGTTTAGGGGAGAAGGGTGAAGTCAGGGCATTGGGCTTAGTGTATTCTAATTCTTTCTACAAAGACCAACTAGATTTTCCAATTTGAAGAGGGTCCCTGGAGGGTTTCTTTTGTCGGCGGTGGGGGACAGGCAATTCTAGAAAGAATTGGGAACCTGGAACTCGCATTAGCAAGCAGTTGATCATAAAACAAAATGACTTGCTAAATTCCAATCAATGGCACACAGTGTGGTCTGAGAGTGATGTCCTGAATTCCCTTCCACAGTTATCTAGAGAAGGACTTAGATGGATATATTCCAATATTGGCGAGAGAGTCCCTTTAATTCATTCCAGCACTTATCCCACACTTCCCCAGCAGAAAAACTGGTTAATGTACATCCTGGGTAATTATCTGTGTCTCTGGATTTCATTCTTTAGTAACTAATCCCTCACCTACAACAGTGTATAGTAAGGTCAAGGATGAAATTTCTCAGAAACTCGCTCCCCACAGCACCACGCACAAGAAGACCCACCCATTCCAGCCAACCCCGTGTGTCCAAGTCCCATTCGCCCACATAAGCCTCTATTTGACAAATTCCTCGAGCTCCTACCCTTGGGGTGGGGACCTTTCGCCTCCCGTGAGGTGCCGGCTCTCCCGTGCTTCGCTGACTGCCCGCATTGGGTGGGGAGATTCGCCTCTGGTGCCGAGGGAAAACTGCGTTAGGCGAGGGTGGAAGCTCTGTCGGACCCGTGCGAGCACGTGGGTGCGCGCGGGCCGCGGAGTGAGCAGCAGCCAGGATTCCTCTCCAGATCGCGCCCCCGCCGCATTTCATTGCCTGAAACGGCCCACGCCCCGCGATGGCCCAGCAGACACCCGGCACAGCACAGCGTCACTGCGCGGCCCCCGCAGCGCACGGACCCCCCCACCCTGCCCGACCCCAGACCCGCAGCCGAGCCCGTCTGGTATGTGGTGGGTGGAGAGGGTACCAACTAAGCATCCCAAAGTCCTTCAGGGAGCAACTCCGCGCAGTTTTCTCTTCCCGACCCGCAGCCTCCGCAGCAGCCGCTCGGAGCACCCCCGGGCAGGTGCCCCGCGCGAGCTCAGCGCCTTCCCCGCGGATCCCCGGCCCCTGCGGGACCCAGGCCCAGGACAAAAGAAATGAATTTGCTCTGTACCTGATCCTGTCCTTCTCGGCCCTCTGTAACTCCTCATTCCTTTCCAGCACCTGAAGGATCTTCCTGGCCTCTTCGTCATTTAAGAAACTGAAATCAAACGCCGGAGGAACTTTCGTCATTTTCTTTACTGTGTGTGAGTTACACTTAAGCTCCTTGGCGCCTCCTGTTAGGAAGGCATTTTTCAACCTGTACAAGACCAGTTTCACGAACTTGATCCCACAGCCAATAATAAGTCCGCCCCTTTGAAAGTCTAAAACCACAAACCTAGGGAACGCCCACACCTGAAGGGCTCATATTGACAATACCTTAATGACATGTTTCTCTCAACCTGTCCAACCGAGATGCAAAGTGAACGGCTAAAGGGAGAGAGGGAACCAATCCCGTTCCAAGGGGGCGGGCCCTCCCTTGTCCCCTCCCTCGTCCCCTCCCTCGTCTCGTCCCGTCCCTCGTCCCCTCCCTCGTCCCCTCCGGTCACCCTCCCCGCCCCCTATCTGAGTTGTTAAGCAAACAAGCCTACATAATTCTGCCTCTTAAGTGAGGCAAGGCTAAGTGTTGGCGCCAAAGTATTTGCTTTTGCTGTTGCTGTTTGCTCGCAGAACTTGAGCTTGATTAGTAAAGGAGTGAAAAAGGAGATTCATGACTAATCCTCCCTTTCAATAATTAAGAGCCCATAGAAAATAGAATTGCAAGTAGGGTTTGTAACTGGCAAAAGGGTTACTTATCTGAAAGACCAGGAAGAACTAAACTCAATTACACTACTGACTGTGGATGAACCTGGCTGAAGGGCGGAAATTAGTGTATCCTTGGAAACGAATTATTTGCCAAGCCTCTCATCCCACAGACACCCCCACCTCCACTGTCCCACAAAAGTCATTCTTAGACTTTAGAAACAAACAAACAAACAAACAAAACCGTTTATGGTATTTTAGGAGAAGACAGCCCAGAAGCAAAGGACTGTAGAAAACACCTGTTAGAAGTTTTCTGTAAGATTTTATTATCATCTTAATAAACTCAGAGAAGTAATACACATGCCATTTAAAAATACCTAATCCTCTGGTGAAAGCAAATGGTAATCCTATGAAGCCACAGAAATAGCTTTCCTAGAAAGTCAATTGTTCCACAATGCAATGAAGAATAATAGAAACTTATAAAGATATTCACATATATACTTTTTTTTTAATTATCAAGGCTTTTACAGAAAACATGTTTTTATCTTGGCTTCACTTCCTACCCAAAAATAACTCTGTCAGATTGACTTTCCTGCCCCATAGCCTTAATTTGGTCATTTTGAAGATGGTGGTGATGATTACTAACATATAAAATGTACTTCTACATATATCATTTCTTTTCATGGCACATAAACCCAATTAAAATTTTGTATCTGTACAAGAACATGATATCAAAAATTGCCACTTGTGTTTTGTTCTCTGGGCTACCCCATTTGATCATCATTATTTAAAACATGCCTAGGCAGCTAGCCATTCAGATAACTTTCTGTGGGTGTCTGTTATTTGTGTGAACCAGGAACCAATTTTGTTCACCCATGGTGTACACAATACAGAACTCCTTTATAAATAGTGTCTGTATTAATGATCCTGTTTTGGGAGTATGTCTTGTATATGGTGTCCAGTTTTTCTAGTGTGTTCATTTATTCAGCATACACATGGGACTTTTCAATATGGTCACTGGTGGGATTTTACACTGTTTCCAGTATATCAGTGAACTGATTTCAACCAACGTATCCTGGTGCCTATTACATGAAGGCATCACACACTGTGAACAACACAGTCCTTGTCTTTAGAAAGTTTGTAATCCAGTGGGAGAGATACACAAATAGAAAGATGACTATGTAAAAAAGAACATAATAGAGGAATAAAGAAAATTCCATGAGCACACAGAAAAGTTAGTGCCAACTGAGTGGATGGAGAGAGGATACGGTATTTAGGTTGCTGCATGAAGAGTCAGATTTCAAGAGGAAGAAATAGGGGGTGGTGGGAGGAGATGTGTGAGTCTATTCTAGGCAAGGGGATCAGCGTGCTGAATAGCAGAAGTACAGTCTAGGAATCTTCTCATATTCCCTCAACCTCTTTAATGGCCAGACTGAACAAAAGCTTGGAAGCTAGAAAACACTGGAGCATGTTCATGGATTGTTAAGTGATCTGTTTTGGCAGAGCATGTAGTCTCCACAGGGGTAAAATCTTCCTCTTTTTATGTAGAAAGCACAAATCTACACATGATACACAGATACACAGTATATCTGAAGTATTAACATTGCACAAGGGAGGTGATTGTGAAAAAAGTTCTAAAAAGGTGCATTGTGGGGACAGTAGTGAGAAAGAGGTTTAGAAACACTGGGCTAGTGCTCAGAGCACAGTGAGCTGAAAGGTAGGCTGAGCTCTGACTATGAATGCCATGTGATGAAATCTAGACTTCATTGTGTAAGCACTGAGGAGCTAATACAGGTTTTGAGGGTGATAATGATACAGTTAAAATTGAACTTAAGGCCGGGCACAGTGGCTCACATCTGTAGCCCCAGCACTTTGGGAGGCGGAGGCGGGCAGATCACGAGGTCAGGAGATTGAGACCATCCTGGCTAACACAGTGAAACCCCGCCTCTACTAAAAATACAAAAAATTAGCCCAGCATGTGCACCTGTAGTCCCAGCTACTCGGGAGGCTGAGGCAGGAGAATCGCTTGAACCCGGGAGGCGGAGGTTGCAGTGAGCCGAGATCACACCACTGCACTCCAGCCTGGGCAACAGAGTGAGACTCTGTCAAAAAAAAAAATTGAACTTTGGGTAGATTACTCTGATAGCAGTAGACAAGAAGAGTAGAGTGAAGATGGCATCAAGGAAACCATTGTGTTGGAATGCTGATGCAGGAGAAAGGGAAAGAGGACCCAACCAAAGGCAATGTAAGTGAGAGTAGAAAAAGAGGGTGGAATTCCAAAGATATTGGCTGGATTTGATAACTCATTAAAAAGGAGGATTAAGAAAGACAGAGACGCAAAGATGATGCAAGATCTCAAGAGAGATGTCTAAAAGGAGACCAGTCTATTTGATAGTATGAGAAACAAGGTTTGTCAAGAAATCAGGTGTTCAGTTTTTGGCACAAGCAGTTTGAGGTACCTGCAATTCATCCACATGGCAATTTAAAATGAGAAATGTGGGACTCAAGTTCTTGAAACAGGGATGGAGAAGTAGACTGGGAAGTTGTCTGCTTAAAAATGGTTGCCAAAACCCTAAGATAGCAAAGGAAGGATGAGGAGCAGAAGCTGAGTTGAGAACTTTGAGTGTCCAACCTCATCAGACTTCAGCACTGAGGCATGCTTCAGCCCTGGGTTGTGGCACAATGGGGCATACTATTGAGAAATTTTTATATTGAGAAATTTACAAGGCATTGGGGACTGCCCTGGAAACCATACAGAACTGCTTTTGTGGAGTTTTAAACACAATGCTCTTAAAATTAAAATAATTCTCCAAAGGTTTGTTTTATGGGCTTATTTAGCCGGAGGCAAGCAGCCATTTTCAATCTTAGTATCCGGTAATCCTGGCAACCTTTTGCCCAGGCTCTCAGCTAAAGAGATACTCATCAGTTTAGTATTTAATAGTCACAGCTGGATAGAAAGCAGTGATCTTTAGAAATCTCTCATAGTCCCCTACCCTCTCTAGTCTGTTGGCCAAATCCCCACCACAGGGCTTAGTTTTTTCCATCCTTGACAATCACCAAGCCAAGAGACATGCTGATCACATCACTTGCTTGAATGTCTGATTTTTTTATTTTTATTTTTATTTTTCTTGAGATGGAGTCTCACTCTGTTGGCCAGGCTGGAGTGCAGTGGCTCAATCTCAGCTCACTGCAATCTCCGCCTCCAGGGTTCAAATGATTCTCCTTCCTCAGCCTCCCAATTAGGTGGGATTACAGGCGCACGCCACCGCACCCAGCTAATTTTTGTATTTTTATTAAAGAAGGAGTTTCACTATGTTGGACGGCTGATCTTGAATTCCTGACCTCAGGTGATTTAAATATTAACATAGTTTGCTTTATCATTAGATCAAAGTAATAACACATTATTATCAAAAGTTCTCTGATAAAATTCAAGATTGCTTTTTGTTAGGACTAAACTAAATTGAGCTAAATTTAAAAATACTTGGTAATCCTTTAGAAAGGATTTTTCCTTGATGTGGCAAGGAATGTCTGTCCCAGACAACACCAGTATTATAATTAATGGTGAGTCTGTGAAGTAACAACAAATCAGAGGTACCTGCTATTCCCTGTCTTGTGTAACATTGTTCTGGTAGTTCTAGTTGATACAATAGGGAAGGAAAAAAACAATGTGGTGTAACTCTTAGAAAAGAGAAAATTGATCATAGATGATAATTATCTACTTAGGAAAAAGACCAAAGAAATTTGTTAAAAAAAACCACAAAAACTATTAGAACTAAAGAAGGAGTACGAATTAGTGGCCATGTGTGGCTTCATTCAAAAAATATTTATGGAATGTCTACTATCCATTGGGAAATGTTCTAGGAGCTGTGTAGACAAGATGTTCCTGCGCTCAAAACGTTAGCTTCTAATGCATAGAGGTTAAAAAATAAATAAATAAACAAATCAACATCAATTTAGAGTGTGATAAGTGTTGTGAACCAAGTAAACAGGGTGGAGAATGGGAGGGATGCAGGGAGGGCTCCAGCCAGAGTGGTCAGGCTGGAGACTGACCCGCATGATGAGATGTCATATGAGCTAAAACCTGAAGGATAAGAAGCCAGACATGTGAAGAACTTACGTGTACAAATGTCCTCAAATTGGTTGAATAAAATGTGGGTAGAAAGTAGATGTATGTGCTATTTATAAGTTCTTTTTGAACCTTCATCTTCATCTAAGAAATATTCCACAGAATTCCTTGCCCAGATAATGGGCTTAGTTGTTATGGGCATGTAGTATTTGTTTAACCTGCTGTATGTCAGGCTCTGTGACAGGTGCTGGAAATGCAGAGGCACCAAGGCAAACAGGTCTCTGTCTTCAGGGAGTTTGCACTTCCTTGGAAAGAGACAGATAATACATTAGTAAATAAATAAAAAGATTTACCACGTGTGATAAACGCTATGAAGAAAATTAACAGAGTGATATGGTGGAGAGTAAGTCTGAAGAGGAGGGGATAATCTTACATGGGGTAGTTGGGAAGGGTACCCTGAGGTGACACATAAGCGGTGACCTGAGGGGTGTCAAGGATCCAGCTTTGCTAAGACACAGGAGAAGCGCTTTCCAAGCAGAGGCAAGTGCCAAGATGCTGAGGCAGGAGAGAGATTGGCAGGCTCTGGGCTGATGTCTCTGGACCGTGGTAAATATCCAGAAGAGGGACATAAAAAAGGAGGTTGGAGAAGTAAGTGTGGGCCTGATAACATAAGGGAGCTAGGCCAAGCAAGGGAGTTCAGATTCCATCCTAAGGACGTGGGCTTGGAGTCAGTATCTTTGGTTCAAGCTCTGGCTACACTATTTATTAGCTGTGTGACCTTGGGTAGCCATCTCACCTCCTTCCACCTCATAAGATTGTGCAATTAAATGTGCTAATGTCTGGGAAGTGTGTAGCATATGGTAAGCCCTCCGGAAAAAGAGACGGAGAGAGAGAGAGAGAGAGATCTTCCCAGCTAGGTGGTCAATGGGATTCTGCCCAGTTTCCTCCTCACACCTGGCTGGCTTCTGGGATAATAAAATGAATTTCCAGATGTTACCTCTTCTCTCCCTGCCTCCAAGCTAGAGGAACTCTTTCCTCTGGGCAGAACTCACCTCACATCGTATATGACATAAGGATTAAATGTTTTAAATTGAAAATGTAGCATAATGACACCAAAGTGGTAAAAGAAAAAAAAAAGATATTTGTAATCCTACCATCCTAATTCAAGGACTGTTTCCATATTTTAATATCATTCTAAAGTTCTTTCTCATGTATGCATGTGTATAAAGCTATAGTTATAATCACAATTGTGTATATACATATATACAAATGCATACTCATAACACAGTTGTAATCACAGTGTGCATATTTTGATAAAGGCTTTTAATATTACCATGAAAGACCTCTGTAGATGTCACAACCTAACTGGATTTAAAAAAAGAAACTTCAGTTCTGAAAGTTCTTTGAGAACTTTAAACTGCTTTACAGAAATAAGATTGTTGGTAGTTTTTATGTTACTTCAATAACCAGTTCTGGCATTTTATAGTATTCACTCTTTGAACATTCTTCCTTATAGCAATTCTACCTACTTCCATGTGGTTGCCTTTCTGTTTAGAAGAAGTGCCCTTTCAATAACAATCCTTGTGCAGACATCAAGTAACACCTGGAAAAGAAACCTTTTTGTTTGTTGCTGGGCAGCCTTCTCATCAGTAAAGAAAGCAGGGTAAGTGAGAGCACTGACAATGCTGATGGGATGCAGGCTTTAATAACTACTGTCGACCTGAGAGAAGGAATGCCATGCCTGCTCTCAATAGATTTTGGAAAGTTTTCAGTAACTCACTTCTTCATAAGCAAAGACCTACATTTGTTTGCTTCCATAATACTAATCCCTTGAACTTGATTTTACTCTTTGAGTCCAGGAGATTGCAATCTGGGTAACTTGGAATCTACAAGTAAGGTGAGAAGAGACGGCCCTTTCCTATGCTTTCCCTTCTATATTGTATGGAGATGGGGGAAAAGCGTACAGAGAGTGGAAGAAAATTCAAATATGGGAGACTGAACTCAGCATCTTCTAAACTTCAAAGAAATGTCCACTCAGAATGAAAGGAGTGAGATTGAAAGTTAAGTTGTCCTTTCTCCATCAACAGCCTAAATACTGGTATGCTGCAGTCTCTTTGCAACCTTTTATTAGATGGATCATTGCAATTAATTAATATACCACTCACATCTAATCAAATGGTGGCTCCAACTAAACCTGAAGTTTCTTTTTATCTCTGTGCATTTTAAAGAGTTTATTAATGTATTTGGATTTTTTTTCTCATTTTGATTCAAGTACTTAGGTTTTAAACTAGAAAAAAAAATGTTAACTGTTTAATGTGACTGGCACAGTATGCGGATGATAGTTCTTCAAAACTTGTGACTTAAGAAGGCAAATTTCCACTAAATAGAATTTGATAATTTCATTTCTTGTTTTTAAATTCATTATCAGGACCTACTAGTGTCTGGGTGGAAGACTTTAAGCAGAGCTAACTGAGTTAACTCACCAATGAAGGCCTTCAGAACTTAACCTCCATAAATTAATTTTGGTGTATTTTAAGTACTTTTTGGTTCTTCACTTGCTGTATTAGTCATTTGTTCTCATATATGGGGCGCACTTCAAATAATACATTAACCATACACATTTTAGGATTCTAGCCATCCCTTTTTCCACCACACACAATTGTTTTCCTGGTTATCTTTGTTGTTTCACATGGTCAGGTGTTTATTGTCTAGTGACAAGTTCAATGACAAGTACAATGTTATTCAATGCCTTCAAACAGGATAATGACACATAAGTTTCTAAATACAAGCTGTTGAAAGAACACAAAGAAGTTGTTGCCATGCCTTAAGAAGCATGCTAAGTCCTGCAGCAGAGCCCATGGATCGGCAAGAACTGTTCACCATACAGGGGCTTCCTGCAGGTAATAGAATATTCCTACCGGAGTGAAATTTGTCATATATGCTTGTGGTCCTGAGTTAGAATGTCTAACTTGAGTACTAATTGAGCAGAAAATGTCAACCCTCTTGGAATAGAGTAACATCTGGGTCTTGCTAAAACCTATTAAACTAATTATTGTGCAGATCAAAATATGCCAGTGCTTTAATTAACTGTATGTTTTAATACCCGTAGTCACATGATGGTATGTATCATATTAGACATTCTTCTGGTTAAGTTGCTGACTAGGTAGACAAACTTTCAAATTAATAGCATACTTCAGTTAATAGTCATAGGAGAGAAAATGCACTTAACATATAAAGAAATACAAATAAAAATAGTATTTCCAAGACTGACTAAGAAATGGTCACATAAATTTACAACCATACTAGGTACAATCCAAGCTTGTAAACAACAATTTATATAATAACAGATGCCCTTCTACTTCTGGCCTATTTGTTAAAACCTTAAGTACTGGAATCCAATCAATATTTTTCCCTTCAAGGTGTAATTTCAAAGTTGAGTATTTAAATATGACAAATAGTAAAATCTATGAAAACTTTGATCATTTCCCCTATATTGTAAGTATTTGAATATGAAATGATGGAAACTCTCTTTCTTTCTTTTCTCTCCCTCCCTCCCTCTCTTTCCTTTCTTTTTTCTTTCTTTCTTTTCTTTTCTTTCTTTTTTATTTTTATTTTTCTACAGGGTCTGACTCTGTCATACAGGCTGTAGTGCAGTGGTGCAATTTCAGCTCACTGCAACCTCCACTTCTTGGGCTCAAGCCATCCTCCCACCGCAGCCTCCCACGTCGCTGGGTCTACAGGTGTGAGCCACCAGGCTTGGCTAATTTTCATATTTTTTGGAGAGAATGGGTTTCACCATGTTGGCCAGGCTGGTCTCGAACTCCTGGAATGAAGCAATCCGCCCACCTCAGCCTCCCAAAATACTGTGATAACAGGCAAGAGCCACTGTGCCTGCCCTGAAATGATAGACTCTACATCCCTTTCCTATTTGCTTTTAAGGCTGGTCCAACTGTGATGACATGGGAACCATTTAATGTGCTTCCCCTCATAGCTTATCAAATTGCTCCCTTGAAACACTACTGTATCCTGCATCCATTTCTAATGCAGCCATCCATTCATTTATTCTGGGTTATTTTCACTAATTCATTTAGGGTTATTTTTGTTCATTCCATCATTCAACAGATATTTATTAGGCACCTGCTGTGTGCCAGGCACTGTTTTACAGCTGTTCTTTACCTCTCTATTTGAATTTCTCTTTTCAGTTTAATTTCCTCCAAATTCCTTCCTTGATAGTTTTCAATGGTTATTTGCCCCCATCTCCTACACCTCTCTTTTTGAGGGGTGTATCCAATGTAGATTTATGTTATCCACCGATTTTCCAGAAAGGCAAATAACCTGGGCCAGAGGGGTTTCTCCCATGTAACTCACTGTCCACCTGGGACTTCCACTAAAACTGCCTTTTTTTTTTTTTTGGAGATGAGGTCTCATTCTGTTTTCCAGGCTGGAGTACAGTGGCCAGATCACAGCTCACTGCAGCCTTGACTCCAGGGGCTCAAGCGAGTCTACCATGTTAGTCCCCCAAGTAGCTGGGACTACTGGCGTGAGCCATCATCTCACCCATCTAAAACTGTCTTTAACATAAAGCAGATTATAAGGGGTTAGTAGGATAAGAAAGGAAAATAGAAACCCAATACTTACTGCAAATACTATGCAAATCATATATAATTTCTCAGGTTGGTTTAAAAATCATATTTAAATAGATACAGGTGATACAGTGTGGCTCTGTGTCCCAACCCAAATCTCGTCTCAAATTGTAATCCCCATAATCCCCATGTGTTGAGGGCAGGACCTGGTGGGAGGTGATTGGATCACGGGAGCGATTCCCTCCATTCTGTTCTCGTGATAGTGAGTGAATTCTTGTGAGATCTGATGGTTTTATAAGCATCTGACATTTCCCCTGCTTGCACTTCTCTCTCCTGCCACCATGTGAAAAAGACCTCTCTTTTCCCTTTGTCTTCTGCCACGATTGTGAGTTTCCTGAGGCCTCCCCAGCCATGTGGAACTGTGAGTCAATTAAACCTCTTTCCTTTATAAATTACCCAGTCTCAGGTAGTTCTTTATAGCAGTGTGAGAACAGACTAATACAATAGGGTTGCCTTTTGGATTGCTGAACATATTTTGGAGCTAGATAGAGGTGCTAGTTGTACAACACTGTAAATGTACTAAATGCCATTGGATTGTTCATTTTAAAATGATTAATTTTATGTTATGTAAACTTCACCTTAATACAAATAATTTTTAAATCATATTTCACACCAGTCATGGTGGCTTGTATCTGTAATCCTAGCTACTCAGGAGGAGGATTGCTTGAGGCCAGGAGTTGGAGACCAGCCTGGGCAACATAGTGAGAATCCGTTTCTTAAAAAATTGTTTTAAGAAAAATCATATTTCACTATTTTTGTCCATGTTGATAACATTGTGAACCTCCCCATCCTCACTGCAGTAAGCTGGGGATAGTCCACATACAAGCTCAGTACATTAAGCATAATGCCATTATTAACTCAAGCTTCTCAAAATGTGAAGTTTAAGTTTAGTAGGACAGCATTAAGCCAAAGAGGCTGTAAACACTGGCAAGATACAACCACTCTGTTCTGATGAATAGGCCATTTGCTCCACATGACTGAATGCTGGAACAAATATGACCTCCACCTGTGGGCAGAGAGCAGTTCCTAATAACTACCTAACAATGATAAGGTGCAAGGCTTCCTTATGGATTGACCTGGAGGAGAGAAAGGCTGTTTCCAGGAGAAGCGAACACAGACTTCAGAGATCTTTAGGAAAAGATGGCTGGGATTCTGGAATGATAAGGAAGTATAACAGGCTGTTATTCACGAGTTGATATTTGTTAGAAATGGACCTAGTGGTCAGGTCAGAAAAGAAGATCTGATGGTAGTAGACCTGTTTCAATTTTTTTAAGGGTAGGCAGTTGGTTTTTCTACATTTAATTGAAGAAAGGGCTGAATAGGCCGGGTGCAGAGGCTCATGCCTATAATCTTTGAGAGGCTCAGGTGGGAGGATTGCTTGAGCCCAGGAGTTTGAGACTAGCCTGGCCAACATGGTGAAACCCCATCTCTACAAAAAAAAAAAAAAAAAAATTAGCTGGGCATGGTGGTGTGTGCCTGTAGTCCCAGCTACTTAGGTGGCTGAGGTGGGAGGATCATTGGAACCCAGGGAGTTAAGGCTGCAGTGAGCCAAGATTGTGCCACTGCATTCCAGCCTGGGTAACAGAGCAAGATCCTGTCTCAAAAGAAAGGCGGGGGGTGGGAGAGGGCTGGATATTTTTGCCAATTAAAGAAAACTTTATTTCCTTTTATTTCATCCTACCCTCATTACCCTACTCAGCCTCTTGGTAATTTCTGTATTTGTTTTATGTGTATTATTATTGCAAATTAGAACTCAGAAGATTTTCATAGTTAGGAGGTCTGAGCCTTACCCCTTTTCTATAAGTAAGTGTCCTGGTTTATAGATGACAGGATGGGAAGTCAATGGGAATGTGGAGATGACTTTTAAAGAATATGACTCTAAGACAGTCAGAAAAGTGGTCTGGAAGTAGGTGTTAAGGCCAAGGAGAATGCCAATGCCTGAGGGTCCTGAGACCCCAGGGTCAAAGGGAAGAAGACAACACAAGAAGTGGCTACTACCTGTGGTCAAGAAGGAAATTCAGGTTATTAGGATGAAATCAGTTTTAGGTTAAAGGGGAAAGGAACACTCACATAAAGGTCTGTAAGTGTACAGGAAATTTTAGTAAAATTAATAAGGGTTTCAGTGGCCATAAAATAGGTAAATTAGAGAAATAGGCTTGGTTGGGTGGAGATGAATTGGATGGGACTGACTTAGAAGGAATTGAGAGTAACAGAAGTAAGAGGTGAGTGGACAGGAGGGAGATTCCCTAAGAACAAGATCACTGGGATTGGGATGGGTTCTTAGCCAACAGAAAAAAAATTCTGGGACAAGAGTGTCAAACCAATGATCCCCAAAGTTCCAGGTGGAAACGGGTTGTGATGGTGTAGCACCTTGAAAGGGTGCCTCAAGGTGGAGACCCTTTCCCTGCTAATGGGTTTTAGCCATCATTTCCATAAAGAGTTGATCACAAAAGCAGTGACCCTTCTGCTGGGGCTCTTCTCATCCTCCAAAGACTTAGTGTCTGAGCAGTGCTGGCTTGGGGTCACAAGTGAAAGTCATGGAAAATAGCTGCCTAGGTCCAACATAGGAGATGTGATTCTTATAAAAATTATACTGTGTGACATATTAGAACAGTTGTTCTCAACTGAAGCTGATTTTGTCCCTTGGGGTCATTTGCCAATGTCTGGAGACATTTTTCACTGTCACCTGTGGGAGGAGAAGTGGTACCAGCATCTACAGGGTAGAGGGCAGAGATGCGGCTAAATATCCTACATTATACAGGACAGCCCCCCTCCTACGCCCAGCAAAGAATTATGTGGTCCAAAATGTCAACAGTGCTGAGGCCAAGAAACTTTGTGTTAGAGCAATTTGGATTCAGAGAACCTAGGTTGTGGGATACACTCTGCTAATTGCTAACTCTGCGTCCTTTGAAAAGCTACTCAGTTTCTCTGATGCTTCATGTGCTTGCCATGCCTACTGTATAGTGGACATATATGATGAATCATTCTGAAAAGGATGAAGAGAAATACAAATGTAATAATTCAGCAGCAGAGGCAGGACTGCAGAACCTCCCCACCAATTGTGAGGCAGGATTGCAGCAGCCTCTGCGCTGGCCTCCAGCCTCCATCCTCAGCCCTTTTTAGTCCATTGTTTGAAATAGAAAGCAGACTTGTTTTTCAGAAATATTTCTTTCAGCATATGTTCAGCTATATGACTTCCCTAATCAGGAATTTGTGAGATCTCACCATCACCTTCTTCTTTTTTTAAAAATAGAGACAGGTTCTCACTCTGTTGCTCAGGCTGGAGTGCAGTGGCACGATCATAGCTCACTGTTACCTCGAACTCCTGGTTTCAAGCGATCCTCCCTCCTCGGCCTCCCAAAGCACTGGAACTGCAGGTGTGAGCCACTGCACCCAGCCTCACCATTACCTTCTACACCAAATCCCCAAACTGCCTAGCTCTAAAGCCAGTCATGATGTCACCCTGTTAAATCCCCCACACCAGTCCCTGTCAGGCATGCCTGCCCAGACAGCTGGTTTCCTCCTCGTGGGCCCTGTCTTTGCTCAGACTCTTTCCCCACCTTCTGCTCCCCAATCTCCACTCCACTTATCTCTTTCTTACCCATCCTAAGTCTTGGCTCAGCTTTACTTCCCTTACAAAGCCCTCTGTACCTGCTCCAACCCACCTGCCTTACTTTTCCAAAAGTTTTCCACCTAGTAACCAGCCCCACACAATTTAATATCAACTTACTCACCTTTTTTTAAAAAAATGGATTTTAAATTTGGGCTCTCTAATGAGCTTGCAAACTCCTTGGTTTTATAATAAGCCCTTTAAAGACAGGTTCATACCAAGGACTCGGCTCAAGGCTCACTTTGTGCAAGAAGCTTTTCCCAACCCTTCCCCTTATGATTCACCCCTGCCTGATGACACCCTCCCTCAAGCCTCCTCTCCTCATACAGGTTTTTTTCAGAGCACCTAGAACTCTTTATATTACTTTTTGTTTATATACCTTTTCCCACTAGCTAAGCAAAAACTCTAAAGCAGGAACCATATCTTAATTACAATCTGGTCCAGGTTCAATTTTGTCATACCACTTACAGATTTTTTTAAAATTTGTAAACCATTGAGAACATTTCTATTTACCTTTTCAGACTACAAAGATCGTAAATGATGGACTTTTCATTGTGACCACTAAGAGTCATCAAACCAAGACTCAAGACAAATAGGAGGTCTAAAAATCTCTGTCTCAGGAAGTTCTTTGAAATAGGAATCCGAGAACAAACAGAAGTACATCAGCTGTTCCAGGCAATAGACTGATACAACATAAACATAAAAATCACTAATGAAAATATCACTAGCTAACATATGTTAGGAAAAGAGACAAGAGCTTTGTTTCTCTTTCAGCTTTTCACTCACATGCCTTGAAAAGCTGAAATAACTGAAAGACAGAAAGAATTCTAGAGTACAATACTGGGAGTACACAATATTAACATCAAGAATAAGAATTATTTTTCAAACTGACTTAGGCCTATGTTTATTAAATGTCTTATTATTTTTAGTGTGGGGTGAATATGGAGTCAACTAGAAAAGAATTCATCATAATTTTTACTCATTCAATGTAAAAATATCCTCCAAAAAATATTCTTGCATCAATACATAACTATCAGAGCATCAAACAATTGGAAACCTTGTCATTGCTGGTACTTACATCTGGGCAATTGGAAATGATGATGTGACTGGCATGGTGGCTCTACGATGTACTAACCATTGTCTTTGTTTTGTTTGGCTTATATATATGTGCTCTTCTAATTTGCATGTATAATTGCCTAATGCCAAGCAATTACCCACTTTCCTCACACACTGATTTATACATGCAGGAATCCCTCCCCTTCACTAATCTTTCAAACCTCCACCCAGAGTTGCATCAAACAAGGGCCCAAGTACCTGCCAAATGCCTTCTCTTAGACTAAATTATACATTTCTAACTAGTCTCAGTATATCCTTACATTTTATCTCCTTTAAACACTAGTATTTCTCAAAAGATTATCTGAGGATCAGAATCACCTGGGTTGCTTGTTAAAAATGTAAATTCCTGGGTCCACCCAGACCTACTGAATCAGACTCACTAGTAGTATCAGGAATCTGCATTTTCAACAAGTACTGTCTGACAATGCATATGCATGAGAAGGTTTGTAGCCACAAGTTTTTTGGTTTTCAAATTTTACTTTCCTAAAGATTTGAGGCCCATTACCTCACAACAGTATAGTACAAAATAAAGGTGGTTTTGTGATTACCAAATTCTCAAAATGAACATTCAGGACTAGCTAATATTCTGGAAATAGAAGACGCTTTAAATACACAACTGATTTTTTTTTTTTTAATTTTTTTAGATGGAGCCTCGCTCTGTCACCCAGGCTGGAGTGCAGTGGTGTGATCTCAGCTCACTGCAACCTCTGCCTCCCTGGTTCAAGCAATTCTCCTGCCTCAGCCTCCCCAGTAGCTGGGATTACAGGCATGTGCCACCACACCGGGCTAATTTTTGTATTTTTAGTAGAGATGGGATTTCACCATGTTACCCAGGCTGGTCTTGAACTCCCGGGCTCAAGCAATCTGCCTGCCTCGGCCTTCCAAAGTGCTGGGATTACAGGCATGAGCCACCACGCCCAGCCCACAGCTATTAAACTTAGCTTTCCCTAAATGTTCCTCTATGTGTTGTTGAATGTGTATTTGCTGAGTATAGGAGAAAGGAAGTTTTCCATGCTTCTCTGCAGCTCCTTCCCAGAAGCTAAGAGAATTGGGCTAATACCTATTTGGTGGTATAGAAAATTGCTCAAGCAGAGATTGCAAAGACTTCTGTCTTAGAGAGCTGCTCTCTGCAAGCCAAAGTCACATCCTCTGGCCTGGTGCAGGGGCTCACACCTGTAAACCCAGCTACCTGGGAGGCTGAGGCAGGAGGATCGCATGAGCCCAGGAATTGGAGGTTACAGTGAGCCATGATCATGCCTGGGTGACAGAGAAAGATCCTGTCTCAACAAAACAAAACAAAACAAAAGACAAAGTCAAATTCTCTGTGTGAGAGAGAGGGGGAGGGGATCAGAGAAGGGGGAGGAGAAAAGGAGGAAAAGGAGAGGGAGGAGGAAGAGAGGAAAGAGGAGGGGAAAGAGAAGAGAAAGAAAGGAGAGGGAGCAAGTCCAGGGCTGAAGGCTGATTCCAGCAACCATTGTCCTTGAGAATTATTCCTGCCTGAATTAGTCCTCTATACTCAAACTCCTTTTGGGATCTTGGTATCTCACAGTGATACATGATCTTTGCTGATATTATCCTATGTATGTGATTCTTAAGCAGGGGCAATTTCTCTTCACACCCACCCCAGTGGGGACAATTGGCCATTCCCTAGACATTTTTGATTGTCACAGCTCCAGGGATGGGTTGGGGAGGGATTGGCGGTAGAGGGGGTGGGTAGCTACTGGCATCTAGTTCTTAGAAAACAGAGATCCTACTAAACCTCCTTCAATGCTCAGGATGACCCCTGAAGATAAGGAATCATTCAGTGCAAAAGGTCAATACTGCAAGGTTGAGCAGCTTTCTTCTATTTGATATTGTTCTGCCTGATCAGCCTGATGTGTGACCCTGGTCATTCCCTACCTCCCATCCCACTCCCTTTGCTATCAACTGGAACATGTTTCTGTTTATGTCTTCCACCCACAAATGTAATGCCTTTTCCATCTTAATTCAGCATTTATTATGCGCCGTGGCCATAACTTTTGCAGTCTGAGGTGTAAAAGCAAGACTAGCACACATTTCTTTTTTCTCCTTCAAAATTTCACTGATAGAAGATTTGTTTATATAGTTGATCTTAGCAAACCCCCTCATTGTATGAATTTTTTTCTTTCCTTATTAAGTTGAGAACTCTCACCCTTTCACTTAAAGGAAGCACTTTACAACTTCTCTTTGGCATGACTGAATTTCCAGCATCACTACTGTTGTGCTTTGGGGCCATTATGAAATAAAACAAGGGTGACTTGAACACGAGCACTGTGAGACCTCAACCGTCAATCTGATAATCAAGACAGCTGCTAAGTGACTAAGGTGCAGGGAATGTAGACAGCATGGATACACTGGACAAAGGGAGGATCCATATCCTGTGTGGGATGGAGCAGGATGGTGTGAGATTTCATCACACTACTCAGAAAAGTGTGCAATTTAACACTTATGAATTGTTTATTTCTCGAAGTTTCCATTTAATATTTTCGGACCGCAATTGCAAAAAGTGCAGTCTTAGATAAAGGGGGCCTATTGTATGTGGGCTCATGAGCAGCTAGGCTATAAAAGAGGCTCAGCCTTGCACTGTTGCTCCCCTGCAGAAAAGCTCGGATGTTATTTCTCTCCATTTTCTTCCTTTTTAATTTTTTAAATTAATTAATTAATTGATTTTTGAGACAGGGTCTTGCTCTGTCACCCAGGCTGGAGTGCAGTGGCACAATCAAGGCTCACTGCAGCCTCAATCTCCTGGGCTCAAGCAATTCTCCCACCTCGGCCCCCCTGGAACTACAGGCAGGCATGCGCCACCATGCCCAGCTAATTTTTGTATTTTTGTATTTTTTTTTTTTTTTGTAGAGAGAGTGCTTTGCCATGTTGTCTAGGCTGGTCTTGAACTCGTGGACTCAAGCAATCCGTCCTTGGCCTCACAAAGTGCTAGGATTAGAGAGATGAGCCACCATGGCCCCTTTTTTAGATAAGCTGATTTTCAGACCTCTTATTGAAGAACTGAGTAAAATAATAAAATTCCAAGTAATTCTTATAGCTATTTTTTATTTACCTTTGAAAGTGATATTGATATTTTTATTGATATACTTCTCTGCCAAACATTTGCCTGACTTGGCTTCCTAAATGAAGCTATTTGGAATGGATCTGCAGACCCTATGGTGGTGGTAGACAGGAAGTACCCAGGAGAGTGCAGAATTGGAGGGCAAGAAAGGAAAAGAGTGTCATACTCTGGTGATCATGCCATGCTTTTATAAGACATGGATTACCACAATAGCCACAAAATTTTGTTTCATTTTTTTTTCTTTGGAGGGAGGGGATAAGAAACTAAAATGAATATTCTATTTGACAATGTTTGCTTCAGACTTGAAAAATCCATCATGTGCAAAATGTCAAGCCTCAAATAGGACAGTAGACTACCCAGGATTTTGAATAATTTAATTCAGTATTTATGTCCATCCCAGGAATATGGTGAGGAGTCACAGATCAAAAGTGCTGCATTCTCCCACTTTCCTGTAATATAATAGCTACAATTTATTTGTTATTATATTATTAATCCTTTTTTTTTTTTTTTTGAGACGGAATCTCGCTCTGTCACCCAGACTGGAGTGCAGTGGCACGATCTCAGCTCACTGCAAGCTCCGCCTCCCGGGTTCACGCCATTCTCCTGCCTCAGCCTCCCGAGTAGCTGGGACTACAGGTTATATTATTAATCCTTTTAATATATTTTCTTATTAATCTTTGCAGTAATTCTATGAAGATTATTACCCAAATTTCACAGTTCTAAGAAGCACATTTTCCCACCACCGAATGTCTCTGAAACCAGGACGGATCATATAGTGTCCCATAGTCACTGTCCGCAAGACAGCAGCTACACACTGATTGTCACTGCCTGCTCATCAGCAAATTTGGTTGTCACTTTTTGTGGCATGAAAGTAGCAGCATCGAAGTATGGCTTGGAGGAAAATCTTGGAGGCAATTGTAGGGTTGTCTTGTAAGAGCTAAGCATCATCAATGCTCTTGATGGCATACACGCCAATATTATATAGAAAAGTAGGGACATCAGTGACTGTGAGTCAAAAGCAATTCAGAAAAGTCTTACTGGGCAGATCACCTGAGGTCAGGAGTTCGAGACCAGCCTGGCCAACATGGTGAAACCCCATCTCTATGAAAAATACAAAAATTAGCCGTGTGTGGTGGCGTGTGCCTGTAGTCCCAGCTACTTGGGGAGGCTGAGGCAGGAGAATCGCTTGACTCTGGGAGGCGGAGGTTGCAGTGAACTGAGACGGCGCCATTGCACTCCAGCTTGGGCAACAGAGTGAGATTCCATCTTAAAATGAAATAAAAGAAGAGTCTTACTATGTTGTATTTGAGGAATACATTAAGTAATTTATTTTGCTAAGACTTTTATTTTTATCTGTGCATTACGGCGACATATGATTAAAACCTGTCTAAATGTATTGAAAGAGCTCTTTCAGTAAGTATGAAATAAAAATTCTACATTACAAGAAAGCATTGTGTCTTAATGGCAGTGTTTTATTTTTACTTGTACATGAAAGAACAATGAGTCTTACAATATATGGATTATTAGATTCATTGAAATATGGTATTATCCCCTTCCTGTCCATAAAGAAAATGAGCCTCAACGATATTATCTTTTGCAAGGTCACAAAACTATTAAGTGGCAGAACTAGGAGGTGACCCTAGGTCTCCCGAACTCCACAACCTGTGCTTATTTTCCATTGCATTGTATTGAGCCGCTACTGAATTTTTATTAAAAATCACAGACTACTCTGTTTATTTTCACTAACATTTTGTGGATCTAAAATGAAAACTAGCTAATGTTTTTAAAAATCTTCCTAAGTTCTTTTACAATGTGATACATGAACTCAATAAATTTATTAATAAGACTTTTGACTTTGTGGAAGCAAAATTTAACCCTTTGTTTCTATTTTACTGGAGCTTGTCCAAGCATTTTGTAATTTAAAAGAAGGAATCAACATTTACTAAGCTTCAGTTAGGCCAGGCATGGTGGCTCATGCCTGGGATCTCAGCATTTTGGGAGGCTGAGGCTGATGGATCACCTGAGGTCAGGAGTTCGAGACTAGCCTGGCCAACATGGCGAAACCCCGTCTCTACTAAAAATGCAAAAATTAGCTGGGCGTGGTGGTGTGTGCCTGTAATCCCAGCTACTAGGGAGGCTGAGGCAGGAGAATCTCTTGAACCCGGGAGGCGGAGGTCACAGTGAGCTGAGATGGTACCGTTGCACTCCAGCCTGGGTGACAGAGCAAGACTCTGTCTCAAAAAAAAAAAAAAAGTTTCAGCTACACAGGGCACTGTGTTTTCAAGATAGGTATTATTAGCCCCACTTTACAGATGAGGAGGAAACAGAGTCACAGTATTTAGATAATTCATCTAAGGACAACTGCCAGTAAGTGGCAAAGCTGGGACACAGTTCTTTTGACTGTGAGTGTGGATTTACCTCCCCAATATGCAAAATCAATAAAATGTATTAACTTATCATTATTAAATGCTGCTGAACCAAAGTTACATGTGTCTGGCAAGGAAGAATTTAATGCAAACTTTTTTCCTTTACATATACTTCTTTTATATTGTAGTGTTTGGTGTTAAATAGCATGGCTGGTTCTTAGGCAACCACAGCCAGACATAAAACTATCCTAACTCCTCGGTGATACTCATGTCAGTTTTTTTTTTTTAATTTCTATTTTTTGAAGACAGTCTCACTCTGTCTCCCAGGCTGGAGTGCAGTAGTGTGATCTCGGCTCACTGCAACCTCTGCCTCCTAGGTGCAGTCGATTCTAGTGCCTCAGCCTCCCGAGTAGCTGGGATTACAGGTGCATGCCATGACACTTGGCTAATTTTTTGTATTTTTAGTAGAGACGGGGTTTTGCCATGTTGCCCAGGCTGGTGTCGAACTACTGGGCTCAGGCAATCTGCCCACTTCAGCCTCCCAGAGTGCTAGGATTACAGGCATGAGCCACTGTGCCTGGCCTTATGTGGATATTAATGCTGCATTAGGTTTCTCAACATCCCTGCTTCCATTGACAAAGGAGCAATTTCACGCTGTGCTCTGATTAGAAGCACTGGAGATGTCCAACGAGCCTTTAAAGCAGGGGTTCCCAACCTGGGGGCCACACAGCAGCAGGTGAGTTCATATTTTAGAGAAGTCAGAAGTGTTTCTGAGTTTCTATTTCAGAGAAGTCAAGCTATTCATTCTTATATAAGTTATTATCAGATTAAACTTCAAAAACCTTTATACTTCTAGAATGAAAAGTAATTTTAGGTTGGGCATGGTGGCTCACGCCTGTAATCCCAGCCCTTTGGAAGTCTGAGGCAGGAGGATTTGTTGAGCCTGAGAGTTTAAGAACAGCCTGGGCAACACAGGGAGACCCTGTCTCTACAAGAAATTTTTAAAAATTAGCTGGATGTGATGGTGTGTGCCTGTAGTCCCAGCTACTCCCAGCTACTCATGAGGCTGTGGCAGGAGGATGGCTTAAGTCTGGGAGGTCAAGGGTAGGTGACACAGCGAGAGCCTGTCTCAAAACAAAACACAACAAACTTTAAAAAAAAGTGCACAAATAACAAGATTAAGATGATCATACACAGTTTACTTATGTAACTAGTAAAATTTAAGAAGCTGTTATACATTCAGATTTCATTATTGTGTTAATGCTCAGTAAGACATGCCAAATGAATTATTATTGTACTGAACAGGCAGAACATGTATAGCCTACTTGTGCTGATGAGTCATGATTTTTAAGTTTCCGCTTATAATGCGTATCAATCAGTCACTATGTGATGACTAAATTAAAATTGGTAAAAGACCTTATAGCCATTGATAATGGGGGAAGAAATTATGTTTTATGCTCTATTCTTACTCTACCCAGATCATTACCCAATAGTCTAGTCTGGGCCACACTTACAGGGATATATATACAAGTATTGGTTATTTAGTAACTCTCCAGGTCAACAGGTGGCATGAGAAGAAGCTACTTCTGAAAGAAGTATTAAGGATAGTGTCAAGTCAGTTCAAGAAGCTTATGTGAAGGGCCTACCATTAGCCCAGCATGTCAAAGTTGAGAAGTGCATTAATTCATTCACTTATTCATGCATCAACTATATCCTGGACATCTATTGTGTGGAAGACACCTTGTGGGAAGCCAAAATTGCTAAAGATTATTAGCTAGTTGAGAAAACTTAGTTGTGCTGCTGTCTACACAAAAAGGTTGAAAAGGGCTGAAAAAGACAAGTGGCCTATTTCTTTCTTACCAAAGTCCAGGCAAAATGCTTTGCTTATCAACACAGTGCCATATTAATAAGGTTTTAAGCTTTTTTTAAAAAAAAAAAAAACTAAGGCTGGGTGTGGTGGCTCACACCTGTAATCCCAGCACTTTGGGAGGCTGAGGCAGGTGGATCACGAGGTCAGGAGTTGAAGACCAGCCTGGCCAAGACGGTGAAACCCCGTCTCTACTAAAAATACAAAAAATCAGCCAGGCGTGGTGGTGGGCATCTGTAATGCCTGCTACTTGGGAGGCTGACGCAGAGAATTGCTTGAACCCAGGAGGCGGAGGTTGCAGTGAGCCGAGATCACGCCACTGCACTCCAGCCTGGGTGACAGAGTGAGACTTTGTCTCAAAAACAAAACAAAACAAAACAAAACAAAACAAAACAAAACTAAAGTTTTTGGTTTTTTCTGTGATTTGAAGCTCTTTTTTTTCTTTTTATCTTCTTTTTTTTAAATTTAAAAGGTTTTTTCCTTGTTGCTACTATCTAGTCAATTATATTGCTTACGAGATAACAGAATTCATGTTATCTCAAGAGCAACTGTCATGCTGATTGTGTTAGGAGAGGCTTTTCCAAGGGAAAACTTTTTTCTCTCATCCTCACTTCCAATAGCTATTCACAATAATTTAGGGCATGTTATTTGAGTGAATATTTAATTTAGGAATAAATATAACTCCTAATAATGCATACAAAAGATTTATGAAGTGAGAGAAAATACTTATGACATTTCTTCCATGGTCATAAAACTAAAATATATTTGTACATAAAGAGCATTTATTAATTTTTTTTTTTTTTTTTTTGAGACGGAGTCTCACTCTTTCGCCCAGGCTGGAGTGCAGTGGCGCGATCTCCGCTCACTGCAAGCTCCGCCTCCCGGGTTCACGCTATTCTCCTGCCTCAGCCTCCGGAGTAGCTGGGACTACAGGCGCCCGCCACCACACCTGGCTAATTTTTTGTATTTTTAGTGGGGATGGGGTTTCACCGTGTTAGCCAGGATGGTCTCGATTTCCTGACCTTGTGATCCGCCTGCTTTGGCCTCCCAAAGTGCTGGGATTACAGGCGTGAGCCACCGTGCCCGGCCCAAGATTATATAAATTTTAAAAAGCAAATAGCTGGGCACGGCGGCTCACACCGGTAATCCCAGCACTTTTGGAGGCCAAGACAGGCTGTTTGCTTGAGCCCAGGAGTTCAAGACCAGTCTGGGCAACATGGCGAAACCCCGTCTCTACTAAAAATGCAAAAATTAACCGGGCGGGGTGGTGCACACCTGTGGTCCTAGCTACTTGGGAGGATAAGGTGGGAGAATAGCTGGAACCTGGGAGGCAGACCGAGCCAAGATCACGCTGCTGCACTCCAGCCTGGGTGACAGACAGAGACCCTGTCTCAAAAAACAAAACAAAACCCAAAAAACAAACGGGCCGGGCGCAGTGGCTCACACCTGTAATCCCAGCACTTTAGGAGGCCCAGGTGGGTAGATAACCCGAGGTCAGGAGTTCGAGACCAGCCTGGCCGAGATGGTGAAACCCCGTCTCTACTAAAATTACAAAAATTAGCTGGGCACGGTGGCAGGAGCCTGTAATCCCAGCTACTCGGGAGGCTGAGGCAGGAGAATCCCTTGAACCAGGGTGGCAGAGATTGCAGTGAGCTGAGATCGAGCCATTGCACTCCAGGCCGAGTGATAGAGTGAGACTCTGTCTCAAAACAAAAAAACAAAAAGCAAATAATTCAGGCCCTTTGCTTTTGTCTATATGTAGGTATGCTGCCTATTATTTACCTGAGAAGCAAAACAAACTGGATATTCCAACTGAAAATGTGACTGTTATGACTCATAATTCCTGCTGGATTTCAAATCCTATTGTCTTATGATTACCTCATTGGAGTTGTGTGAATCACCTTGTCTTCCGTGCGTTGACTAACTAGAAAGAACCTCCTGGTTTCTCCTGAGAGATTGCTTTCTTTTTGTTGTGGTCACCATCACCATGACACTGCAATAGGGCGATCACATTCCAGAGCAGTGGATGGTGTACTAAGCCAGGAGCCTGAATTAGGGATAGCATAATTCCATCCTATTCCTTAAATATTAGGTGAGCAGCTACTCAGTGTAATGCTCAGTATAGTACTCCATGGTCTTTTAAAACTTTGCAACCTGGCAGAGGAGTAGAAAATGTAAGGGAACAGCTGAAAAAATGGGCCAAGATAAAAGGTTTAATCTTCAAACTTTCAGTGTTAATCAAGCCCCTCTTAAATTGAGATGAGGACTGACCTAAACACAATTATTTTCCCTTTTTGGGATAGGAAATCCTAAGACAGTTCCCAGGGCTTGAGGCTATCACTAAGAGCTACTTAAGAGTTTCTGAACTATAAGATCTGGCGTAATTAGCCAGGCGTGGTGGCTGCCAGGGCCTGTAGTCTCAGCTAATGGTGTGTGTTGTGGGGAGTGAGAGGATAAGGAGGGAGGATGGAATTGTTTGAGCCAGGGAGTTCGAGGCTGCAGTGAGCTATGGTTGGGGGCCCCTGCACTCCAGCCTGGGCGACAGAGTTGAGACCCAAGATCCAGTCTACATCCCTCAAATTTTTCATGATGCCCAATGTTTTCCTTTGTAAGCAGGGCTTAGATTCCAAATAGATTCCACTAAAACTGTGAATGAGAAACAAGGCAAAGTCTTGTTCTCCTTCTCCAGTGTGTTCCCCTCAATGCTCTAAGAGCATTATTTGTTAATGGAACATCATGTTTGGGTACAAGGGGAGGCGAAGGGAAGAGGGAAGGAAGGAGAAGGCAAGGAGGATGACTAAAGGTACTTCAGTGGTTCAGAAAGAGGTAGAAGATTTACCTGTTGGCTACTGCCTTGTTAGCCTACTAGATGCAGATGCTGTTTGTGGGCAGGAAAAGCTTGTCATCTTGCAAAGGTGCACAGGAGGCAAGACTTTTTTTTCCCTATGTCCTTTCTGTATTTTCTGTTAACACCAGATGCACACCAGAGATGTTCTAAGCAGGTTAAAAGTGGCTTGGGATTATATCTGATTAGCAAAGAGTTAATGAATTTGTGGCAAAATTCTGAGTGAATTAAAAAAGAAAGTCAGCTGCAGCATAAGCTTCCTAAGCCACTTATGCAGGATGCTTAAGGACAGTCTAACCTGTTAGAGAATCATTACAAGGTATATACCACTCTATCCCTTTCCTTACCTCTTGTAAGCTTCTGTGGCATAATGAGACTTCATGTTTATTTTAGTGTATATATTTGTTGGAGTTACTAATAAAATAAGAAATTAAAAGAGAACATTTTTAAAAAATTCAGATACGTTTGAATAGACAAAAGAAAGAGGCATTTGTTTAGGGATTAGAGGTAGGTGGATGGGGGTGTGTATGCCCCCACATACTCATTTGTGGAATTTGTGATGCATTTTTAAGGAGGAACAGTCCTGGTAACCATTAAGAAATATTTCTGCCAGACACATTTGTTTTCCTAGAGTGTTCTTAGGACAGTATTCTGAGAATATTTCAGTCTGCTTCCACTTAGCACTTGAAATACACAAATCCTGAACAGAAAAGGTTCACATTGCGTAGTCCCCTGCCTGAAAAATAATCATATCCAGTTTTCACTGGAGTTTCTGGGAAAGCTGAAAATTTCACTTCTACAACTCAAGTTTTACCCAGAATCAAATACAGAAACCTTATAAAGAAACATGAATTTAAAAAATTAACTATATTGTGTTATTTCCTCTATTCCCTTCCCCCTCCCTCCATGTAAATAAAATTGGTAACATCACAAACAGTAGTTATTCTTTTGGTAAATATGATTCATGTCTATAGCAGCCCCTTGTGAAATGTTATTTCATACTATCTAATTCTCATGGCTGCCTGAGGCTGGTGGTTGAGAGATGATTATCCTTATACATGGAATGTTAGATGAAATCTGGTATCACTCTGGCCACTAATATAAATGTGTACTGATGCTGTCCGAAAATGGATGGTCTACCTCACATGGCTTTCATGATCTGTAAGATAATCCTTACTGTTCCTATCATTGTGTGTCTGTGAATGTTTTCTCTGTCTCTGTCTGCTAAGTCAAAGGCTATATACATTTTATATATATGTTCATGTATTTATGTATAGATCTTTTGTGTCTACATATCTATGTAGATCTATGATTTTTTGCCTCAAATTCTTGAATTTTATATCCATTCTTTAGGAATCAAATCTGATGGCTTATTGTTTATCTATACATATTTGTTTTTTATTGAGTATAGACTGCTTGTCTTCCTTTTGTCCACCAAATTAATATCCTACAAATAGATGAGTTGTTTAACAGTCATTGTTATTGAAAATTAATTTTCAGTATCTTGTTGATAGTGACTGCAATCATAAGCGTCACTCTCTCCAACCCAAAATAGTACTGCCATCTGTCTGTATAATCAGAGGACTGGCCCCAGGACCCCTGCAAATCCCCAATCCCCACATACTCAAGTTCAGCAATCCACCCTGTAGAACCCCCATAGATGAAAAGTTTACCCTGCGTATATCAGGATTTCCCATCCCAGGAATACTGTGTTTTCAGTCTGTTCTTGGTTGAAAAGAATCTCATGTAAATGGATCAGCGCAGTTCAAACCCCGGTTGTTGAAGGGGAAACTGTATGTGGATTTTGACAAAAGTGTCCTGGATCTTTATAGCCTTTCTGTGTAGAAATATGTTTTGCTCTTCTTGTACCTTGTAACATGATACCATCTGGCTTTTACTAGAGTGTCGTTTATGGCCGTGGTGGAAGCTCTTAGTCTAACATTGGGTCAAGAATAGGCATGGAAACTCCCAGACATGGCAAGGCCATCTTTGAGATTTCTGGTAGGATAAGGAGGTGGAGCTTCTACTCTTCTTGGGAAAATTCTTTCAGCTAGTTCTCCTCTCCCCTCTTGCCAGTGGTTGGGGGAAGCAGGACACCTCTTCTCCCCAAGGGGAAATGGAGCAATTTTTTTTTATTATAAAAGACCAGATTCCTTGGAACATATCCTCGTGGAGAAAAAAATAACTCTATCTATTAGATAAGTAAAATAAATTCTGTTCTAATATATAAACAGCCATATTCTAATAGGTCAGAACTATTTTTCTCTATTTTACAGATGAGAAAGGGTAGACTCAAAGAAGTTAAATTTCTTACTCAAGTTTACATAGCTATTATGTATTATTGCAATTTTTGTAGGTAAAATTGAAAAAGGTTATATGACAAGCTCATATCATTCAACCTAATAGAAAATCCAGGGCTGCAGTGCATGGACTCTATCTCCCACCCTAGAGTCTTATCTTATGTTGAAGTGAACTAAATATGGCCTGAGAAGGACTCTGTACTTCTATATTTGAGTCCTTGTGGAGAACCATAACCTAGCTTAATAGGCAGACAAAACTGAAAACTAAACTTAGGAGTATGCACCTGTAACAATAGCTGAGTGTTGGTCAATCCCAGCAGCCATACTTCAACCACTCATAGACTGCTGAGTGTTCAAACTGCGTTCAAATATGGCAAACACTGAGCTGTAACCAATCTCACTGTTTCCGTACCTCATTTCCGATCCCTGTACGTCACTTTACTTTTTTTAATCTATAAATTTGTTCTGACCACGATATACCCCAGGAGTCTCTCTGACTCTGCTGTAATTCTGAAGGCTACCCTATTCACAAATTGTTTCCTTTTTTTTTTTTTTTGCTCAACTAAACTCCATCAAATTTGACTTGTCTCAAGTTTCCTTTTAACACTTACATACCACTGTTTCTTACTTGGATCTTTAATGATGACTTGAATTGTTTTAATTTAAATGTTACTTAATATGTACAAACAAAAAATTAGGTACAAACTTCTGATTCATGTAGCTTTATTAAACTATATGGGCAATAATTTTTTTAAACTTAAAAATTAAAAAAAGAAAACTAAATAACCTAAAAATCTATTTACCAATATGTATGTCATGAAACAGAGGGTATAGTGTTGCTGAAAGAAAACAATGAACTAGGTTTTTAAAAAAATCAGCCATTGGTTACTTTAATGAAATATTCATTTTAATACTGTATCCTCCCGATGCAACGCTAATGAATAAAACACACTGTTTTCAGAATTTTTTTAACTGCATACTTACTACTATACATAGTAGTCATGAACTGTTGAACTTCTGTGTACAGAAGTGAAATTTATGTAACCTATCTACTCATTTATGACAATATGCCTTTTATAGTATTTGCTGTGTGATGACTCAATTCTTCTACCAGTTATCTCTATCTGACTACTTGTAAAACTTTCTCTCACTTCATGCCTCCACTTGGATTGAAACCATCATTCATATATTACATTTGCTTCTTGTGTTTTTTTCTCATTGGTTTATAACAATCAAAGTAGTTCATGACTCCACTGTATCATATCATTTTCATACAAGCAAATGGAAGTCTCAATGGATTAACTTTTCTATAAAACTAAAGTTTTTTTCTATGAAATTGCCTTTAATTTTGAATTTTCACTTCAATGAAATAAGTTTGATTTTGGTAAAAGAATGAAACATCAGTACTACTTTGAACACAGTTAACTGTCATTTTAAAATCAAGACATAAAAGCAACCACAGATGCTTGCCAAGAAATTAAAAATTCAATGCTAAACATGTAGTTCTAACAACAAAGAGGACTAAGATAACACAGAATCTTCTCTCGTAAACCTCAAAATGCTGGATGCAATGTAGCTATTTAGAGGTACAATATAATTATATGTAACTACATAGAGAAAGGAAACTCCCCATACCAGAAATGGAAAAAAGATGTGAAAGCCTTGTGGTAAGCACACAGACTGACTCTGCAATTTTACACTTAGAAATTAACAATGCTATTTAAGACCATAGGTCTTAAGCCTATGCAGGGACACTGAGAGCGATGTGCCTGTGTGAAAGAATGACTAGAAGAACTCTCCCCATAGTCTCAGGGAGACTCAAAGGAAACATGTCAATGCCTAGGTTTTTGGGCAGAAAACAACATAAGCTCTTTCAAGAAATTAAAACCCCAGGTACTCCATGGACAGATGTGGAATTTCCTGTATTGTCCAGAAACTCCCCGAGTCACAAAGTTAATGTAAACCTCAACTTGACAGTATGCCAGAAGCAAAAATTAAATAAACAAATAGCTGGGCATGGTGGCTCATGCCTGTAATCCCAGCACTTTGGGAGGCTAAGGCGGGTGTATTGCTTGAAGCCAAGAGTTAGAGACCAACCTGGCCAACATGGCAAAACCCTGTCTGCACTAAAATAAAAAAAAAATTAGCCAGGCATGGTGGTGCGTGTCTGTAGTCCCAGATACTCAGGAGGCTGAGGCATGAGAATCTCTTGAACCTGGGAGGTGGAGGTTGCAGTGAGCCGAGATTGCACCACTGCACTCCAGCCTGAGTGACAGAGTAAGACTCTGTCTCAATAAATAAGTAAAAAATTAAAAAATAAATGTATTACTCTGTTTTCACGCTGCTATAAAGAACTGCCCAAGACCAGGTAATTTATAAAGGAAAGAGGTTTAATTGACTTCCAGTTCTGCATTGCCTGGGAGGCCTCAGGAAACTTACAATCATGACTGAAGGCAAAGGGGAAGGAATGAATCTTCTTCACAGGGCAGCAAGAGGGAGAAGTGCTAGCAGGGGAAATGCCGGGCACTCCCAAAACCATCAGATCTTGTGAGAACTCACTATCATGAGAACAGCAAGGGGGAAACTGCCTCCATGATCCAATCACTTCCCACTGGGTCCCTCCCACGACATGTGGGGATAATGGGGATTGCAATTCAAGATGAGATTGTGGTGGGGACACAGACAAACCATATAAATAAATAAATAAACAAACAAATAAGCTACTTTACAGGGTACTTCCAAACCCAAGGCTACAAAGAAAAAATGATCCCCAGTGAAATGACAAAATACAGGAGGAAATAATCCACCATGTGTGAAAGTTATCAGATTCAATAAACAGCAGTTATATACTCCCTCCCAAGCACTTCAGCTTATAGCACTATAAAATAAGTATGTTTAAAACAAGAGATAAGAAAGAATAGGAATTACAGGAAAATAAGATCAAAGTCCTACTTTTAAAAAATAAAATTTCTAAAAATTAAAATAAAAAAATACAGCTACACTAATTCTTAAATAGACAATTCATGACCTGAAATTTAGATCTAAGGAAATATATACAAATGTGACTCTCAAAAGCTTGAGAAATGGAAAATATGAAAGATAGTTTAAGAGATATGGAAGAAAGAAGAAAAATGTCCAGTGCCTATCTAATAGGAATTTCCAAAGGAGAGAATGAAGAGTGGGAGAGGCAGTATTTCAAATGATAATGTCTGAGAATTTTCTTAAATTAATGAAAGACATGAATCTTCAGGATAACTAATGATGGAACACCTCAAATGAAAAGAAAATATTAAGACACCCAAAGATTTTTAAAACTTAAACTAAAAGAGAACATTAGTTAAAATGACAATAGACTTTTCAACAGAAATTATCAAATTCAGAGTCAATGGAATAAAAGTTGCAAAACTGTCAACTTAGAATTCTATCCCCAACTAAATTATCATTCAATTGTCAAAATAAAATAAGGCAAAATAAAAATATTTTAATACAAAACAGAGAAGATTTACCACTCACATTCCTTGCTAAAAGAGCTAAAGAAGGATTTACTTTAGGCAGAAACAATTTGAACAAAAAGGGAAGGATGAAGGCAAAGAGGGGTTGAGTGATCAAGGAGAAGGAAGATACTGGTTTTGACTTCTTGCCTCATTTCTTCCCCATTCCAGAAGGGCTTCTATGTTCCTTTCTATTCTTATTTTTTCTATTTTTAATTTTTTTTGTAGAAACAGGATCTTACGATGTTGCCCAGGCTGGTCTCAAACTCCTGGGCTCAAGCAATCCTCCCACCTCCCAAAGTGCTGAGATGACAGGCACGAGCCACTGCACCTGGCCTGTCCCTTTCTATTCTTATGGTTACTTGCCCTCTATCATCTCTTCTTCATTCTGTGGAACTTCCTTCTGGTTAGTATCTTCTTCCCTGGGCACCATCAGGCTCAGCATGAATTATAGTAGGGTACTGTGAAACATAATAAATGAGGGGAATAAGAAATAGCCCGAAGAATATTTTCAAGATATTTTTGATGTAATGATTATATTAATATCATTAGATTATCACTGGAATGAAAATATGAAATTTTAAAGTCCTATGTCCAATGGTTCAAGGCCACCAATTTGAAAGACCTGCTCAATAACATTTGGCCTCTTCTCTCACGGTTGTTTTAATTTTTTCTTAGCACCAGGCTCATTTTTTATCATGGTTAAAGGCTTTTCCCAATCAAACAGGCCAACATGTGTTCATTGTTTTGTAAAAAAGTTTTTCATTTGAGGTGGGGCTTGTGTGTTGAAGATGTGTCTGTGGTGCAATTGGCATTATTGTTAAAGGCAGACTTCTCCAAGAATCAACATAACTCCGTCTAGCATGCTCTCTGGGTGCAGCATTGATATTGGCATGCACACCCACAGAGAGCTCATTTGCCAGGTCCTCCCTGTTCAATCATGTTGTAAACACCAGTGCTTAAGCAGTAGTGAAGTTATTGCCTGGCTAAACAGAAACTCTCACTCTTCAATAATTGATTCTTTTAGATTCATTTGAACAGTTTGGGAAGGAAGGACCTCAACTTCCATATCTCTGCCTCCATTAAACAGGAAAGGACACAGACTTAGATTTAAATTACATGTAAGATTCTGTGGTTTTAGTCTATTCTCTGTCCTTTCCTTGTCTTCTCTTAAGTCACTTTTGTTTTGATACACTGGGTGGGGAATTGGCAATTCACCTTAACTCACAGTGAGTAATGGAAACACTGCGAATCTAGATAAGCTTTCAAAGGTAGGTTACCCAATTGAGCATACTTTAGTGTTTCTATAGGGGCTTTTTTCCTAAAAAGCCACTTTTCATGACGTAGCATAGACTTCCTGGCTTGATCTGATAAAACATATTCGGTGAGATAAATGTCATGGTTTCTCTCTTACAAAAAGGAAGACAAGTAGGTACGGAGAAATTAGGGGCAGCAATAGCATTGAGAGGATAAGTCATCATCTGTATTATAGGTAATCAGAAAGACCCCAGGCCCACAATTTCTTCTCCAATGGCCCTGCTTAGGTGGTAAATGGGGTAAAGTCAAGAGAAAGTAACTTACAAAGGGTATTATTAAAACAGTGGACTTATTAAAACATGCAGCAACGGAGTTCTTATTGAAGAGTGGGTTGAATACATGCTTTTACCTTTACTCTCTTCTAAAGCACCACTAAGATTACAGTAAGGACTTTAACAAGGCAAAAATCCACAAGGACAAATTAAACAGAAAAAAATATGGGGGAAAAAACCTTTGGAAGCCGGAAAGCAAATGGGCTAGTGTAGATGAACTTAGCAGAACCCAGAAAAAAGTAAAACCTAAGAAGTAGTGGAAGGCAAGAAGCAAGTTGCTTCACCCTACAGAGCTCAGAAAGCCTGGAATTGGAGGTGCTGGGCATCAGTAAGATCATGATGTAGATAAGGTTAATACAAGGTTAGTTGAAAGCCTATGTAAGAAGCAATTAAATCACTGGGTCAACTCTCTGACTCTTCAGAGATAGAATCAGATGGTTTTTTCATCCTGACGTAAGACTGGAATTGTGTTGCTCTCCAGGAGTAGAACTAGGCTTTGGGCTGAATGGCACTGGGCACGACTGAGGGTGGGGTTAGGAGCTGCAATGAAAATGAGCAAGGAGGCCGCATGCAGTGGCTCATCCCAGTAATCCCAGCACTTTGGGAGACCAAGGCAGGAGGATTGCTTGAGTCCAGGAGTTCCAGGCTGCAGTGAGTTATGATCATGCCATTCCACTCCAGCATGGGTGACAGAGCAAGACCCTGTCTCTCAAAACAAAAAAGAAGAACAAAAAGAAAATGAGCAAGGTGATGGAAGAACTAAGTGTAAAGCCGCATACCTAATGGTGAGACTCCCAGCTTGCTCTGGGAATACTGGTAGTCAGATGATAACCTCCAGGCAGGAGAGTGGATAATTTTTCGCAGTGAAAATTGACTACCCCATGAGAAAAAAAAGATGAATTTGAAATGCTTGTTTGGAGCCCCAACAAAATCTTAGCCAGCTCACACTAGAGTGGTGGTTCTCAATTGGGACGACTTGGTCTTCCCTCCCACTAGGCATCTGACAATGCCTAGTGACATTTTTTAGTTACAATGAAGGAGGGATGCTATTATCATCTAAGGGGCGGTGGTCAGGGATGCTGCTAATCATCTTACAGTGCACTGGACAGCCTCCCACAACAAAGAATTATCTAGTTCATAGTATCAATAGCGCCGCTATTGAGCAACTCTGCTCTACAGCAAAGTCCACCAGTTGAAAAGCACAGCCACGACTCACAGGATCAAATCAACTTTTTGATGCCTTATTCTTAAAAATGAAGAAACAGCCAAAGAACACTAAACACTCGGAATCTGAGAAAATCTTGTAACCAAATCTTTTTTTTTTTTGAGACAGAGTCTCGCTCTGTCGCCCAGGCTGGAGGGCAGTGGCGCCATCTACGCTCACTGCAAGCTCCGCCTCCCGGGTTCACGCCGTTCTCCTGCCTCAGCCTCCCAAGTAGCTGGGACTACAGGCGCCCGCCACTACGCCCGGCTAATTTTTTGTATTTTTAGTAGAGACGGGGTTTCACCGTTTTAGCCGGGATGGTCTCGATCTCCTGACCTCGTGATCCACCCGCCTTGGCCTCCCGAAGTGCTGAATTACAGGCGTGAGCCACCGTGCCCAGCCAAATCTTTTTTTTTTTTTTTTTTTTTTTTTGAGACAGAGTCTTGCTCTGTCACTCAGACTGGAGTGCAGTGGCGTGATCTCAGCTCACTGCAACCTCTGTCTCCCGGGTTCAAGCAATTTCTCCTGCCTCAGCCTTTCCAGTAGCTTGGGTTACAGGTGCTAATTTCTGTATTTTTAGTAGAGATGGGGTTTCACCATGTTGGGACCAGGCTGGTCTCAAACTCCTGACCTCAAGTGATCTGCCCACCTCAGCCTCCCAAAGTGCTGGGATTACAGGCATGAGCCACCACGTCCAGCCCAGAAAGACAGACATCTTAACAATCATAGACAAAAAAGGGAAATGTAATGAAGAAGGATAAAAT
This sequence comes from Homo sapiens, assembly GCF_000001405.40. Classification (NCBI taxonomy): domain Eukaryota; kingdom Metazoa; phylum Chordata; class Mammalia; order Primates; family Hominidae; genus Homo; species Homo sapiens. The sequence continues at coordinate 108,627,029 of NC_000011.10, forward strand.
ACACATGTTGTGTTTTATATATGTAAATATACATATGCATATATATACATTAAATCCTCTTTAAAAATCTTTAAAGTACATTCAAGAAGCAGGAATAAGAGGCTATAAAAAGGAATGTGTATAGAACAGAAGAAACAGAATCCTAGGAAAATGATATGTAAAATAAATTCAATAAAGTGTTGAAGCCAGGTGTGGTGACTCATTCCTATAATCCCCGAGACTAGGGAGGCTGAGGCAGAAGGATTGCTTGAGACTAGGAGTTGGAGAACAGCCTGGGCAATATGCAAGACCCCCATCTCTACAAAAATTTAAAAAAGTATATTAGCTGAGTTTGGTGGTACATGTCTGTAGTCCTAGCTACTTGAAAGACTGAAGCAGGAGGATCTGCTTGAGCCCAGGAGTTTGAGGTGGCAGCAAGCTGTGATCACACCACTGCACTCCAGCCTGGGTGACTGAGTGAAACCCAGACTCATAAAAAGGGTTGGTCGGGGGGCGGGGGTTGAAAGATCAAGTTGAAGTAATTGTTCATAAACTAGAACAAAAGGGCAAACAGATGGAAAACTGGAGAGATTAAAAAAATACATAGGATATGTTGCGATCCAAAACTCAACAATAAAATTCTAGATCAAGAGAACAGATAAAATGAAGGTGAAGAAATTATCAAAGAAACAATATAAGAAAATTTTCTGCAAGTGAAAGACAACAGTTTCTTGACTAAAGGGGGTGACCACAAGTGATGAAGAAGATCCATATTAAAGCACATTAATGTGAATGTTTCCAATTTGGTGATTAGGAGAAAATAAGTAAGTAAATAAGTAGAGATAAAGAGAAATACATCATATACAATGGATTGGGAATGGAATGACATCATATTTCTTAAGAGCAACACTGGAAGGTAAAATACTATGGAGTTGAATGTATTTGAGCAATACGTTCAAATCTCTGAGGAAAGTGATTTTCAGCGTAGAATTCTGTGCCTAGCCAGATAACCAAAGAAGTGTGAGATTGTGATGAAGACATTTTAGAATAGCCAGGTCTAGCATACATGTAACCAGAGTTCTTGAAAGATATATTAATAAATAAAAAACAGGCATATTCCAAGATAATGGCTGATACTTTTCTAGAATTGTTATCATTATGTTTTTTGAGACAGAGACTCACTCTGTGGCCCAGGCTGGAGTGCAGTGATACAAACACAGCTCACTGCAGCCTTGATCTCCCAGGCTCAAGTGATCCTCCTGCCTCAATCTCCTGAGTAACTGGGACCATAGGTGCACACCACTGCCATGAGACCCTTGGGGTTTCACTTAGCCAGCCAGAAACCTCTGTGGTAGGTGGCACCTTCTGCCTGAGTATTGCTCACGCCTTCTGGACTCGTAGTGCCCACTTGGTCTGGCCGGCTGTGTTTGGCTCATGCTACTGGTCCAGGTCTCACACCTGCCCAGGGCTAGCAAGCATTGGGTCCAGCCACTGTGCACCACCAGGCACACAGGCTGCTGCGGTGGGGCAGGCACGTTCAGGAGCTGGCACAGATGCTGGCTCCGTGCAAGGCTGCGGTTGGACCAGATGTACCGCACATAGCTTCCACTATGGCAACCTGCATTCCGATGAGGGGAACATGGTGGTACATGGAAGCTTGGAGACACCAGGAAGCACAGAGCCCCAAAGAGCGTGTCACAGCCCTGGCTTGGGTAGCCCCTAGGTCTGGCCTCCCTGAAGGACCACAGCTCTTCTCTCCTTCTCATCACCCACAAAGCGGTGAGTTGCAGGGGCATATTTCAGTCCTGTTTGTGTTACATACAGTTCTTTCCGTCCTGCCATTTGGCACATCCCAAGTTCTTGTCCTGTGTCCAAGAAGAATGAGGTGTGTGGACAACTAGAGGGTGAGCAAGGCAGAGAGGAGCTTCACTGAGCAACACAACAGCTCTGGCAAGCTATCCTGACCAGTGTCCAGCTCTCAGTGGGAAGGAGACCCAGAGTGGGTAGCTTCTTTCTGCAGGCAGGTTGTCCCAGACCAGTCAAGGAGACCCAAATTGGGTAGCTCCTTCCCACAGCTGGTCCGCCCAACATCTCTGTGAGTCTGGCTGAGTAGGGTTTTTAATGGGCTTCAGAAGGGAGGAACTGACAGCCAGGCCCCCCATGCCTCAGGCTGTCCCTGGCTTGAAGGTGGGGCTTCACTAGGACCCACCCCTTTCTGCCCAGGAGCCTGCCTGCCTCCTGCCACCATCAATCATGTCTTCCATGGCACCCAGGCTGTTTGTGTGGAGGGGTGCCTGCAGGGTCACGCCAAGCCTCCCTCAGCACTGCCTAGGGCTCCCTCCCATGCTCCTCAGTGCCCAAAGTCTGGAGAGGGCTGAGGCAGCAGGGGACTGGCATGTCAGCACTCCCAGAGCATGTGCATGCCCAGCTGGGTCGTGACAGCACCTGGGCTTGGCCTCAACTTTGCTCTGAAATTGGAGTGGGTGGTGGCAGCAGGGAGAGGCCAGGCAGCTGGAGCAGGCACTTTCAAGCCTGTGGGGGCAGGGGAGGCTTCCTGGGCCCCTGAGAGAGCAGGGATGCCCGGGTGGGCAGCTGTGGCTGGGAGGCTGCAACTGCACTGGAAGGGTGGGGTTCCCACCCAACCAACTGGAAGGGGGCAGGGTTCCCACTGGCTCCATGGAGACTGCAGCCTCAGCCAGGCCTCCCAACCCCACGCTGCAGCTGGCATCTTCACAGCATATGCTCCAGATAGGCCGATCCTACCATCACCACCACACCCAGCTACTTTAAAATGTTTTTTGTAGAAGTGGGGTCTCTCCACATTGCCCAGACTGGTCTCGAACTCCTGGGCTTGAGCAATCATTCTGCCTCCCAAAGTGCTGGGACTACAGTCATGAGCCACTGTGCCCAGCCAATTTTCCAGAATTATTTAAAGATACTAAACCTCAGATCCAGGAAAGCTGGCTAACCCAAAGCAGGGCATACCAAAAATCCCCACAACTATACACCCAATAGTGAAATAACAGAAAAAAAATTAGAAAATCCTAAAAGCAGCTGGAAAAAAGCCAGATGACTTAACAAAAGAAGACTGTTAAAATGTCAGCAACAATAAAAGCTAGAAAACAATGGCATAATATCCTTAATGTGATAAGAGAAAATTACCTTCAACCTAGAATTCTATATCCACCAAAGTATTTTTCAAGAACAAGTTAAAATATTTCAGGCAAACAAAATAGAGAGCTTACCACTCAGAGTTTAGAAATCAGAAGAAATTCTAAAAGATGTCTTTTAAGTCAAAGAAAATGATGCCAGAAATAAGCCTGAGAAGTAAGAAGAAATGGTGAATAGAGATAATGATAAATATACGAAGAAATGTAAAGCAACATTAATCACACAAAAACTTAACGTCGAATTAGTTATATATATATAACTTTACATATATAATTATATATATATAACTTTACATATATAATTATATATAAAATGTTATATATATAATCATGTATGTATAACCTTATATATAAATGAACATCCTGGGCAATAATAGCATATAAGTTCGGGGGGAATGATTAGGGCTAGGGTATTTTAAGATCCTTATATTTTTAAAAAGGATGGTAAGGATAGCATTAACTAGAAAGAGAATAATTATAGAAAGTATAGCTCATAAACTATTAAAGGGAAAAATAACATGGCCAAAAGAAAATAAAAATCCAAAAGAAGACAAGGAATAAGTGAATTAATAATTAAGTAAACATAAATGAACCAAACTCTCCAGTTATAAGACAGAGATTGTCACACTGATAAAGAAATTCTAGCTATATGTAGTTTCTAATAAACACACCAAAAATATAAGGGCACAGAAAGTTTAGAAGTAATAGGATGGAAAATAAACCCTAAACAAATAACAACAACAACAACAAAAGCAAAAATCATTCTCAGAAATAAAGAATATTACATTGTGATACAAGGCTTAACCAACTTTTGGCTTTTATTTCGACCTTCTATATAGTATACATTGATTTATGTTTAATTGAATTTCATCTTACTTGCTTCTTTTCACCTTCTTTGGATTTATTATTTTGTTCATTTTCTAGCTTGTCTTTTTTTTTAACTTAAGTTGGATGTTTTGGTCGTGAATTTTCCTACCTTTATCTATTTAAAATACAGGTATTTTAAGGCTATAAATGTCTCTCTAAATATTTCTATAATTGAGTCATACAAGTGTTTTCTTTATTATCATCTTTTAAGTAATTTTTAAGTTTCCATTTTGGTTTCTTTTTGGCCCATGATTATTTTAAAAGTGTGCATGAAAAATTTTCAATCTTGTGGAGCTTTTCTAGTTTGTCATTGATTTCTCATTCAGTTGCATTGTGGAGAGGTTATATATGATGCTAAATAATTTGGAATTTATTGTAATTCACTTTTTTGCTTGATATATATTTAGTATCTATATGTGTTCACTCTATGCTTGAAAATAATGAGTATTGTCCAATTGTTATATGGAATATGCTATATATTTATGTCTTAGGTACTTGATTGTGTTGTTCAAATCTTGTATGTACTTGTTATTCTTTTTCCTATTTGATACATAAATTAGAAAGAGTGTTGTGTTAAAAAAAATTTCCCATTTTGCTCATTGATTCATTAAATTTTCCTTACCATTTTTTGCTTCATATATTTTGAGACTATGGAGCTAAGGACTAAAAGTTTGTAATTATCACTTTTTAAAATGAGTTAGCCACTGAAATTGTCATAAAAATGCAAGTTGATGGTTATCAGGTATGTATAGATGCTCTCAGTGTGTTCTTTTTTTAAAAAAAAAAAATCAGTACTAACTTATCTTTCTGGATACCTGCTTTCAATCTATTTTTGGCTTTTGGAGATTTCCCTCATTTTGTTTTGAGGTACATTTTGAAAAAAAATATTTTGTATATCTTATTTTTTATTGGTTTTCAATGGGAGGGTTATTCTAGGCATGTATTCGACCATGATGCTGGAAAATGAAAACTACCTTTCTTATTATAAGCCTTTCCTCCCTTATTTCCTGCATTCTATTTTTTCGATTGGATTTTTCTTGAACTCCTTTTATGCCCTCTAATGGTTTGGAGCTTTGGAAATGTACTGGAATTTAGCTTACTCAGCATCCATGCCAATCCCCTTCTGGTTTGCATTTGGATATTACAGGGTTAGAAAGCTAATATAATATTTCTCAGATTTCCCTGAAGCAAGACATCCACATATGATATCATATCCACCCACATACCCACATGTGGGTGCATTCCCTTTCCCAGATGCACCCCCATGAAATAGGAGGTAGGTGACTGTGGGCAAGGAGTTTGGTTCTTATTGAAACAATGTCAAAAACATCTGGTTCTTCTGGTAACAGCTGTGGGGTATTTTCTGGCATGTGGTCTTTGTATCATGAGTGTCAAAATGCCAGGCATTGGTGGCAGTATTTTTCCATTAGAATAGTTCTGTGTTATGGTTGGCCATTTTCCTTTGCTACTTTTGTCCCCATCTGTATGGTTACTGGCTGTTTAGCATTCAAACTCAGCATGCTGGCCCTTTCAGAAATCTTCAGAGTTACCCCCAGGCAGCTGGAAGCTTTTTAGCTGGTTTTTTTTTTTTTTTTTTTTTTTGGTTTTTGGGTTTTTGTTTTGTTTTGTTTTGTTTTTTCTAGCTTAGTTTCTTGGCGTATTGCAAGGTAGTCACTGGTATCCTTAAGGGATGCTCCTGCTGAGTGTCAAGATCACTTCTTCACACTTCTTCCTTTTCTCTGAGATGTTGGTCCCTTAAAGTCCTGACTGCTTTGGCAAGCCTGAACTCCAGTTTTTATCTCTTCAGCCTTATGAAATTGCTGAAGCTCTGCTAGTTTCTCTGTCTCTTAGTAGCAGCCTTCCGCCCAGCTTCTCAGCCTCTCTCCTGAAAAGCTGAAATCAGCAGATGCCCCAAGGGAAATAATGGCACCTATAATAATGAGCTCACATCAATGAGCTGCTCTTTTCGCTTTTATCTTAGCCCCTCAAATAGATCTCACTATTTTGGAGGCTGTCCTATATTTATATCTATCTATATTCATCCTCCCTCTCCCAACTTTCCTGGTTGTTTTCAAGTTGAAGTGGTTGATATGTTCAGGCTACTTCATTATAGCAAGAAGTAGAATTCCTCCACCACCTTCTTTCTTGTTACCATGGTTTTGAACATGCTGTTTCCTTAGTCTTTTCTTCTTTTTGTTACTTATTTTGGAGGATAACTCCTACTTTAAGATTCAGCTCTATCATGACCTACTCTGATAATCAACCTCCAAGTCTAATTTAGATTTGCCTCCTCTATGTTCCCTTGTGCTTATTCCTTAATACATAGTTTTAAAATTATTTAATGCAGTTTTCAACCTATAGACCAAACTCCTTGTGGACAGAGATTTTGTTTTGTAGTTTTATATTCCCAGTGTGTAGGACAAATCTGGCATATAGTAGTTGCTCAATAAATACAAAGTTAAAATTGAAATTCAGCAGTGGCTCAAGCCTGCAATCCCAGCACTTTGGGAGGCCAAGGCTTGCGGATCACGAGGTCAGGAGATCGAGACCATCCTGGCTAACATGGTGAAACCCCGTCTCTACTAAAAATACAAAAAAAAATTAGCCAGGCGGGGTGGCGGGCGCCTGTAGTCCCAGCTACTTGGGAGGCTGAGGCAGGAGAATCACGTGAACCCAGGAGGCGGAGCTTGCAGTAAGCCGAGATCGCGTCACTGCACCCCAACCTGGGTGACAGCGCGAGACTCCGCCTCAAAAAAAAAAAAAAATTGAAATTCAGGCCAGGTGTGGTGGCCCAGCCTGTAATCCCAGCACTTTGGGAGGCTGAGGAGGGTGGATTGCTTGAGCTCAGGAGTTTAAGACCAGCCTGGGCAACATGGCAAAACCCCATCTCCACAAAAAACACAAAAATTAGCCAGGTGTGGTGGAATGCACCTGTAGTCCCAGCTACTCAGGGACTGGGCTACTCCAGAGGCTGAGGTGGGAGGATTGCTTGAGCCCGGGAGGCCAAGGCTGCAGTGAGCTACGATCATGCCACTGCACTCCAGCCTGGGTGACAGAGTGAGAACCTGTTTCAAAAAAAAAAAAAAGTGAAATTCAAAATGCAATAATTTTCTATATGGCTGTCGGACTTGGGAAGGATTTAATGAGAGTAAATAATCAAGAAGTATGCTTTATGCTTCTAGTTCCAAGAATAGACCCAATTGTATGCATGATAAAGAGGACAAATCTTTTTCTTATGGGTTGAATGGTCCTTTCCATTAAAAACTAGGAAGTCCACTCTCCCAGAGCCACACCTTCCAGAGCCACCAGATCTTTGGATAGGCTGTTGTCCCTGTACTAATAGCTCTCTCTTCTCCTGTTATAGTTTTCTGCCAATGTGTTCCAGCCCCCAGGAAAGCCTCACGGGATTGCCTGGAGAGGGTGATGCCATGTGGCTAATCCATATTTTAGGAATCTTGGCTTACATCCACATATTTTATCATTAATTGTTAGTCATTTAACTAGGTTATTGATACTTCAACTTTCTTCACAACACAGCTCACAAAAATGGATACTATTGTAAGTCTCCCTCCAAACTTACATCCCAGCCAATCAAAGTGCTGACATTTTCCTGTTGACTTGATCTTATTGGTGAGTTGACCCAGGCTTTACTTTAGCTATTCTCCTGTCTGGTATTGCTTTCTGTTCTGTCTTTCTTTCACCCATTAGACCTGTTTTAGAGCCTCTCATTTCTATTGTTTTGTCCAAGAAGCTTGTTCCATCTTTTTTGCAGATATTTTAACAAGCTTCCTTTTTCCTAGCCTTACTCATAACACGCTATCAAAGTTAAGCTTCAGTAATTCAAATCCAGTATAGAAATTGCACATAGAAGAAACAATATACTTCAAAAACCACCATTGCTCATTATCTGTGTGTGTGTTTTTTTTAATGCTCATATGTCCATGGGAACTTGGTTCATGCCTATTCTGAACTACGTAAGTTGTCAAGTTCTAGCGCATCATGGACTTTTTATTATAAGTGATTTCTCCTGTACTCCTTTCTTCCATCTCCAGTCAGAAATGATTAGCAGCTCTAATTCTGTTTCTACATTTTCCTGCCAGAAGAAGGCATGTGAATGGAATGCTGACAAGCAGCATTTCAAGATCCACTGATATTTCTTGAAGAAACCAGTCAATAGTTTGTTTCTTGGATACCTCTCCTAAATTAAACCATCTCATAGTTCTCAAGCACATTCTATTGGTGTTGCTCAGAGTTTTGCCAAACATAGGGATGAGTGTGCTTAATTCAACTTGCCTTGATGGATAGACTGGTTTCCACTCCCTCCTACTTCCTTGTCCACCTGGAGAACAGAGTTGGAAATGAGGATTCTTGACCACAGTGGCCCTGGGAGATCTAACCACTGGTATCTCATTTTTTTTCAACTGATCTTTTATGAAAAGGCCATATTCACCTACCAGAATTTAGTTGCCAGTCAGGATAGCCAGTGTAAATAAATCGCGTTGTTTGTGTCTCAGAAACAGAAACGTGTATTGCTGCATTTGGTTCATTACATTCACTTACTCTGGTCAGGGATAAATGTTAACAAGAATGCAAATGGCAACAAAGGTTTATGGCATTCAATTAAGGTGTATATATATTATACTGTACGTAGTACATGAGAGTTTTTATTGTTCTAAATAAATACCTGACAATGTCCAATTTAATAGAATCTGAAGCTGAAAGTGACAAAAACACAATACTTTCTCCAAAAATATGACTGAAAATACACACTGTAGAAGTTGTACATGAAAGGAGCTGTATTATCCACAACAATCAAGTGTTCCATATGCTTATATTAGGCTGAAATGGCATTTATTGTAGTCTAATCAATATGCCTTTGAGTAGGGCCATCTCTGCTCCCAGGAATCCTCCCAATGTCACTGAGGCAACTCTAATAACCAAATATGATACCCCTAAGATTGGGCAAAGACTAGCCTATTTCAATGTTCCCTTTCATTTTTCACTCACTGCAAGGAAAACACTTTGTGGTATTTTGTATATTAATAGTAATATCCAAGATATATTTAATTTAATATTGACAATAAAGGAAGAACTATAACAAAATTACTTGGGACAATGTTATTTTTAGTGAATGTTTTTATCATAATGAAACTAATGATGGGCTGGGAGCAATCTCTCATGCCTGTAACCCCAACACTTTGGGTGACCAAGGTGGAGGATGACTTGAGGATGGGAATTTGAGAACAGCCTGGGCAAGGTAGGGAAATGCTCATCTTTAGAATAAGAAAAACAAATTAGCTGGGTGTCGTGGCTAGCATCCATCTGTAATGCTAGCTATTCGAGAGGCTAAGGTGGGAGGACTGCTTGAGTCCAGGAGCTCAAGGTTACAGTGAGCTATGATTGCACACTGCATTCCAGTCTGGGTGACAGAGAAAGACTCTGTCTCTATGAGAAATAAAAAGAAAAAAAAAAAATATTTTAATATGATTAAGATGAAAGCAGATATCTTGATGCTATTGGAAATGCTTGTACATTACACCAACCTCCAATTGTCAGCCAGAGTACTGCATTTCATGAGCATTCCAAGTATGACTGCTTAGATATTTGAACAATATCACAGAAAGTGAGGTAGGACTTTCTCATTTGCTCAGTAAATGGTGGGACCATTCATTGAGTAAATGAGCCTCAAATAAGTCGATGTGTATTTGTAAGTATAATGATAAAAACTAGGTTAAGTCAAAAGATTCTCCACTTAACCTATCAATCTTTACATTGCTTCAAGGAAACCAGAATAGTTTTCCTAATTTTGAATGTTAGCATTGGTTATACAAATACAGGCATGAAACCAATAAAATTTCACTTAAACTCCACAAGCTTCTAATAACTCCTTCTTTACATTGAATAAACAAATTATATGTGCTGAAATCATAAGAAATCTTCAGGGAGCAAATTTATTGAGTGCCTCTTCTGCTTGGTAATGAGGATTATTTAGAAGTACAAAAGAAGGACTGGCTCAAGAAGTTTAGAATAATGATTTGAAACAAAGAAGAATATAAAAGAAGATAATGGGCATTATATAACCTCGACAGAATATCAAATGAATGCCAAGGTAATTTATCCACTTATACATAGTGATTTGGTAGACACTGAGACAAGTATTGGGAATAGAGTGGTGAAAAACTAGAATTCTCATCTTATAGATCCTACATTTTAGTCAAGAAGGTATAAAATAAACAAGCAGAAAATCTGTACTAAAGTTACTTTGAGATAATTATAGGTGTTCTAACTGCAAAGAGTAACCAGACAACGTTAGATGCATAGGTCAGAGAAGGCCACAGTAAGGAGGTGGTGAACTTTGGGCTGAGGTCTGTCTGATCAGAACAAGTCAGCCACGTGAAGATCGGGGGAGAAGGCAAGTTCAAAACTGCACTGGCGAGAACAAGCTTGGCGTGTTTGGAGAAATCCGAGTGTGGTGAAGTATTGTGAGCAGGGAGACTTAGGAGATCAGATGGGAGATGTAGCTAGGACCAGAATACGAAGATCTGGAAAGGTTTGGTAAAGAGTTTGGACTCTTATAAGTGCAATAGGAAGCCAGCTGGAGATTTCAAGCAGGAGAATGTCCTTATTCCATTTGTTTCCAAAAAACTGTGATGCTAAGAGTGTATGCAAGAGAAATGAAAACATATGCCCCCATAAAAACTTGTACATGAATGTTTATACCAGCATTATACCAGCATGTTTATGATGAATGCATAAACAAAACAGCATTATACCAGAATGTTTATGATGAATGCATAAACAAAACATGGTTTATCCATACAATGGCATATTGCTTGTCCGTAAAAAGAAATAAAGTACTGATACATGCTACAACATAGATGGACCTGAGAACATTAAGAGAAAGAAGCCAGTCACAAAAGGCTACATATTGTATAATTCCATTTACGTGAAATGTGCAGAATAGGCAAGTATATATATAAACAGAAAGTAGACTGAAATTTGCTTAGAGCTGGTGGGAATAGAGAGATTGGAGAGGGTGGTAGCTAAAGGGTATAATGCTTCTTTTTGATGCGATGAAAATGTTCTAAAATTGATTGTGGTGTTGGGTGCACAACTCTGTGAATATACTAAAAGCTATTAAATTACACACTTTTAAATGGTTGAATCTCAATAAAGCTGTGGCCCAAAAAAGATTGTGATAAACCCTATAGAAATCCTGAAACTTTCTTCCTGGGTTGACCAAGAGAAGTTTAATAGAGAAGTCATCATTTGAGTTCGCAGTAAAGTATGTGAGAAAATTAGGGGAGAAAAATCTTGCATTTGTAAAATGCATGATTAATTGTCAAGTAATTTTCCAATCTATTTTCCAAGGGACATTATTTTTGTTCTGCAATAAAGATGCTATTAATGGTCACGTAAATTTGAGAAATAGTCATATTTCTTTCTTGGAGATTCACAATGAACTTTATCAGCCTACTAAAAAGTTCTGAGTAATTCTGCAGCTTCTGAGGCTCAGAATAAAAGTGTCTGCTCAAAAGAATTTGAGGCTAAATCACTGGACAAAGTTCTCTCTCATCTCAGCATTAAGGTGACAGGAAGACAGAGCACTTTTTGGAAATGGAAAAGGAAGATACAGTCAAGGAAGACCTGGAATAACACCACAAATGTCTAAACTTATCAAAAAGACAGGAGTATCTCAATTGCTGTGCTCTGAGGGCAGAGATGGAAATCACAAACGTGCCAATATAGGAGCAGAATGAAAGGTCGAAAGAGATTTCCAACTGAATTTAACCCCATAGGGCTTTGGCATCCTAGTAAAACTTGAAACACAGACTTTGTGAATGCTTCTTCTCTCAGATACTTCTGAGTCTCTGCTCTGGTCTTTGCCTGGCAGCAGAACTCTGGGTCTAGGCTGCACTGACAGCTGGGCACTCAGAACCAAAGTGAGGCATGTGAGAAACTTTGGATTGCATTAATTGAAAATCAGAGTTGCTGTGGGAACTCCCAACTCTACTTAGGAATGATATTCGTGTAGTTTTTACTCAACAAATATTTATGGAGCACTTGCTGTGTGCCAGGTGCTGTTCTAGGTACGGGTATACAGCAGGGAGCAAAACAGAAAAAAATTCCCTGCCCTCATATGACCAATATTCTAGTGCAATGGACAAAAATAAGAGGAAATATACATGGTAAAAGGCCTTTGTGGAAAGATAATTTTGTCTTTTTTTGAGATGGGGTCTTGCTCTGTTGCCCGGCTGGAGTGCAACAATGCAGTCATAGCTCACTGCAGCCTCAACTTTCTGGGCTCAAGCAATCCTTCTGACTCAGCCTCCTGAGGAGCTGGGACTACAGGCATGCACCACCACACCTAGCTAATTTTTTATTTTTTGTGGAGATGGGGTCTCACTATGTTGCTCTGGCTAAGAAAAGGGGATTTTTGATAAAAGACTTAAAGGAAGTAAGGAAGCCAGCTTCAGAAGGAATAGTAGATGTAAAGACCCTAATGTTGAAAACATGCCTGGTGTGTTCAAGGAAGAGCAAGGAGGCTGGTATAACCAGAGCTCAGAGAGTAGGGGGAAAGTAGTAAAAAATGAGGTCAAAGAGAACACAGGAAGTCAGATCATGGGGTTCTTACAGGTCATAATAAGGACCTCACTTTTTACTCTGAATGGGACCGTAAGCCATGGAGAGTTTTGAGCAGGGGAGTGACATGATTAGACTCAGATTTTAACAGGATCACTCTACCTGCTGTGTGAAGAGACAGGAGGTAACAATGATAGAAATTAGGAGAACAGTAAGAGGCTAATGCAATGATGTGAGAGAAGGAAGAGAAAGGTGGGTGGGACCAGGTTAGTGGTAGTGGCAGTAATAAAAAGTTACTGAATTCTGAAGATATCTCAACAATGGCCCGGTTGTTTAAAAAAAACTGAATTCTGAAGATATTTTGAAGGTTGAGCTAACACAATTTATAAATGGAGTGAGGATGTCCATTTAAGAGTGACACTAAGTTTTAACCTGAGAAACTCAAAGGATTGAATTGTAATAAGCTGAGCTGGAGCAGATTGAGAGGAATGGTTTGAAGGAGTGAACTTATCAGGGCTTAAGGCTAAGCTGGACATGTTAAGCTTGAAGTTTTAGCCATCCAAGTGGAGTTGTCAAACAGGTAGTTGGATACACAGGGCTAGAAGCTAGAAAAGAGGTTTGTGCTAGAGATATAAATTTGGGTTTCCTCACTTTCGAGATGGTATTTAAAACCATGCAACCAAGAGACTTCATCTAGGAAGTGAGTTGGGGCTCAAAAACTGATACCCCAAATATGGCATTCTGACATACAGAACTGAAGAAGACTCAAGGCCTCTCTCAAAGAAGTTGAAATTCCTTTATCTGCCTAACATCCAGAATCAACAAGAACAATGATTATTTTTTCTTCCCCTCCTTCATATCTCTCATTATCTATCACAGAAAAGAAGACCAAGAATGTAACCACACCTAAACAGACCCTTTCACAAGATAATGTCTGTTTCTCAGACTCATTCAAATTCCAAAGAGACATTATTTACCAGCTAATCTCTGTTTCACATCCATTCATTCTCCCTAGTAATAATTTATTTCTCCTCAACAGAATTTCTCTTCTTCCCCCACCCCATAACCTGTTTTACCAGGATCCAAGCCCTGATTCTTTCTGCAACCTCAAGATGGTATTGTCGATGTAAAAGGAAGAAGCTGAAGCAAAATTAATATAAGTAGAGAGTTTATTTGGGCCAAGGTTGAAGATTGCAACCAGGATCATAGATTCCAGTTGCCCTGAATATACACTCTAGCAGTGTATAATTTATAGAGCAGTTACAAGGCAATTTTTAAAGGCAAAAAATGGGGACAGGGAGTGAGCTGGTGCAAAGTTGTTTGTCAGGAATTCTCACTGGTTTTCAGAAATAATATTGATTAGTGATTGGCTATACATGGTTAAGCTGTAGGGTGTGGGTTATATTATAGCGCCTGGTGTGGCATTGTTAGGTTCATTTATAGCTATTTGTGGCAATAGCAAGCAGTTTCAAGAGATGAATACAGAGAGCTCATATGGGGGAGTAGGGTGTGATTTCTGTCTCATTTAATGCTTCTCTGGGCCTAATAATTTGAAAGAGCTCACATTCATTCTTCTTATGAAAGTTATTTTCTTTCCTCAGTGTATAAGCTTCTGCAGCTGACAGGGAGGTTGGGTCTTCATTCTGAAAGCTCTTATGCATACACATTAAATAAATTTGTATGCTTCTTTTTCTATTATTCTGCCTTATGTCAGGAATTTTCAGTGAAACTTTGGAGGGCAAAATGAAAGTGTTCCTTGGCCCCTACAAAAGAAAGAAAGATCTAAAAACTTGGATCTCTCCAAAATTTAGGGGTCAGACCTGAGAGGGAACCAGAAAAGGAAACTCAGGAGTGGCAAGACAGATTAAAAAAAAAAAAAAAAGAAATCCAACAACTGTGGTGTCCTGGAGCCAAATGAAAAGAGTGGAGGAGAAGAGAGAAAGCAACTGTGTCAAATAGTGCTGCTGGGATTGACACCTGGATTTGGCATTAAAGTAACCTTGATAGAACAACGTAGGTGGATTGGTGAAGCAAAAACCTGATTAGAGTGGATTCAAAGCTAACAGGAAGAGATATTAAAGACACCAAGTACAGACTGAACTTTCAAGGATGTTTTCTGTAGAGATGTAAACCAAAAATAAAATTCTAAGCCTCCCCAACCAAACAAATGGACCCCTCCTCTCAGTCAAGGGCATTCCAAAGTTAACCTAAAAAGCTAGTTCAGGCCATGATGGGAAGTGGGGGTTGGACATGCCTCATTATACCCTCCTCCCTTTGGAATTCAGGCACAGGTGACCAGCATTAACATTATAACAGAGCTCTTAAGAATGACAAAATAGACTTTTTGTAGAAATAAGGCACCAAATTCCAGCCTGACTCTAGTATAGCATCATGTGACAGACAGCAGGCCCTGAAGAAATTGAATCATTGGCCTGGCACGGTGGCCCATGCCTGTAATCCCAGCACTTTGGGAGGCTGAGGCAGGCAGACCACTTGAGGTCAGGAGTTCAAGACCAGCCTGGGCAAGATGGTGAAACCCTGCCTCTACCCAAAAATACAAAAATTAGCCAGGTGCAGTGGTGCATGCCTGTAATTCCAGCTACTTGGGAGGCTGAGGCATGAGAATCGCTTGAACCCCAGAGGCAGAGGTTGCAATGAGCAGAGATGGTGCCACTGCACTCCAGCCTGGGTGACAGAGTGAGACGCTGTATATATATAAAAAACAAACAAACAAACAAAAAAAAACAGAAAGAAAGAAAGAAGAAAGAAAGAAAAAAGAAAAAAAATTTAAATAAATAAAAAAATTAAAAAAAATTGAAGCACTTTACCCCAAAATGAAAAACTCTACACTCTGTAGAGAAACTCCATTCCTTTCCAGGTCTTTTCCCTGATCCAGGAGAGAACTAAGGGTCTGGCACCTTTTTAGATCTGATAAGAGCTCTGAAGCCTGCTACCTAGAGGCCTCATCTGCATGATAAAACCTTGGTCTCCAAAATCCTTTATCTTAACCCAGAAGTTCTTTTCTATTGATTCCAGGTCTTTAGAGAATAACTCCTTTAACCAATTGGCAATCAGAAAATCTTTAAATCCACCTATGAATGACCAGGAACCCCTACCCCCTTCAAGTTGTCTTGCCTTTCTGGACTAAACCAATGTACATCTTACATGTATTGATTGATGTCTTATCACTCCCTAAAATGTATAAAATCAAGCTGTAGCCATACTACCCCTGGGTACATGTTCTCAGGATCTCCTGGAGCTGTGTCACAGGCCATTGGTCACTCATATTTGGCTCAGAATAAATCTTATCAAATATTTCAGAGTTTGACTCTTCATGTTGACAGAGAGGAGAGAGATGGCATAATAGCTCATCAAGAGAAGTTTTTGTTTCTGGTTTTTTTTTTCTATTAAAAAAAGTGCTGGGCATGCCGGCTTACACCTGTAATCCTAGCACTTTGGGAGGCCCAGGTGGGTGGATCACTTGAGCCCAGGAGTTTGAGACCAGCCAGGATAACACGGCAAACCTCGCCTCTTCTGAAAATACAAAAATTTGACAGGTGTAGTGATGCACGCCTGTGGTCCCAGCTACTTGGGAGGCTGAGGTGGGTGGATTGGTTGAGCCTAAGAGGTGGAGATTGCGGTGAGTCGAGATGGTGCCACTGTACTCCAGCCTGGACGATAGAACGAGACCTTGTCTCAAAAAATAAAAGAAAATAATAAAATAAAATTGGGACGAGGAGAGAAAGTGCACAATTGCTGGGCTGCATTGAGATCCTTGAGTAGCCTAGAGGGGATGGCATCTGAAGCATTCATTTTAGGGCTGTCCTAGGATAGAATTGTGTTCAATTCATCCATAGGAACCTGTGTAAAACAAAATTGGAAAAGAGTGGTCTTTGGGATTTTGATTTAATTTTAAGAATGTGGGGCTTTACTATCTTGCACATTAGTTAAAAGGATGAAGGAGATTCATTGTTTGTATTTTCTGGAAACAGAGTCTTGCTCTGTCACCCAGGTGGGAGTGTAGTGGCACAATCTCAGATCACTGCAACCTCTGCCTCCTGGTTTCAAGCAATTCTTGTGCCTCAGCCTCCCGAGTAGCTGGGATTACAGGCATGCACCACCATGACCAGCTAATTTTTCTATTTTTAGTAGAGATGGGGTTTTGCCACATTGGCCAGGCTTCTCCTGAACTCATGTCCTCAAGTGATTTGCCTGCCTTAGCCTCCCAAAGTGCTGGGATTACAGTGTGAGCCACTGTACCCCCAGCCATTATTTGTACTTAAATGTCACACTGGGAATTTGATAATGAAAGGGAATTTGTATTGTTGCAATTTTAGGTTTTTAAATATTGTTGACTTTTTCTTATTTGGAATCATGCTGCTAGGCTCATTGTATACCCATTGTTGTTGAGCTCTAGTTAAGGACTATATGTCCTAATATTTTTCTCAGGACAGTCCTAGTTTATGGTTTATGTGTCAGAGTAATTATTGATAGCTCTCCCTTCCACTCTCAAAAGTGTGCCAGTTTGTTTTATAAATGCCAAAGTCCAAACTCTAGGTGAGGTGGTAGGAAAAAGATCAGGGAGCAATATTTTGCCTAAGACATAGTATGGCCATGACCCATTTCAGAGGTTTTTTCAAAGCATAAGATGAATAGCCCACCAGAGGTCCCACGAGAAAATTCAAAGGACAAGATGTCATTGTATCTGATTATAACTGTAGGTCCTTTACCTACAGGGTCCTTTACCTACAGGGTCCTTTACCTACTGGCACCAAGATACCAGGTTGCAGCAGAGAAAGAGGTGTAATCATAGGGCCTTTGAAGAGGAAATGGGAGAAACCTCAAATCTGTCTCCCTGAGGAGTTTGGGGATAGAGTTTTTAAGGGTTTTGGAGTGGGCCAAAGCATGGAGATTGTTGATCAGTTGAAAAGTGCAGAGTGAAGTCAAGGGACAGGGAGATAAGGAAACTGTTTTCTCATGCTGATTTGGTTCCTCTGTGGGGGTCTTTAAACTGGTTGGCATCAGCTGTTTCCCTGGGATTTGGGATCTAAAAAACACCTTAAGCAATTCATAAGCAAAAGCCATATGATTCTAACATCAGAGATCCTAACTGTAGGAACAGTGGGAATGCAAATGGTCAGTATCTAATGTTACTTTCAGTTACAAGGAAGAGGGCAAAGCGCAGCCTGATTAACTATAGCTGCTTAATTATAACTATATTTCTGTCCAGAATTCTTGTTAACCCTGTGAGGACAGCTTGATAATTACAGAGATTTGTAGTACACATACACATAGGGTGACTCTGAGGGTAGTGGCTGATGTAGGGACAATGGTTTCTTTTTTAACAGCTTTATTGAGATATAATTCACATACCAAACAATTTACACATTTAAAATGTACAGTTTGGCCAGGCACTGTGGCTCACACCTGTAATCCCAACACTTTGCGAGGCTGAGGTGGGCAGGTGTCTTGAGCTCAAGAGTTCGAGACCAGCCTGGGCAATATGGCAAAACCCAGTCTCTAGAGAAAATTTATAAATTATCTAGGCATGGTGGCACACACTTATAGTCCTAGGAACTTGGGAGGCTGAGGCAGGAGGATAACTTGAGCCCAGGCGGTTGAGGCTGCAGTGAGCCATGTTCATGCCACTGCACTCCAGCCTGGGCAACAAAGTGAAACCTATCTCAAAAAAACAAAAACAAAAACAAAAACAAACAAACAAACAAAAGCCAGTACAATTCAATGGTTTTTAGTATATTTTAAAAGCTATGCAAAATAATAATAATAAAATATTAAAAAAGAAAGAAAGCTATGGAACCATCACCATGGTTTTAGGACATTTTCATCCTCAAAAGAAATGTCATGCCCATTAGTAGTCATTCTCCATTTTCCCCACTGCCTCCCTACCCTCTCCCACTGCCCTAGGCAACCACTCATCCACCTTCTGTTTCTATACATTTGGATATTCTGGTTATTTCATATGAATGGAATCATACACTTTGTGGTCTTTTATGACTGGCTTTTTTTTCACATAGCATAATGTCTTCAACAGTGACTTCTTGCAGTTGGACCCAAGGCTGTCCCGATAGAGTCTGACTTATTTCTTGGAGGGAGGTAGTTACACTCATGGATGGCCAAAGCTGTAATTATTAAACTGAAGAGTGCCAGGGGACTTGGCTTTTCCTCCACTCCTTATGTTCCACAGAGGGGAGGGATGATCTCTCTAGAAAGAAAAAGCACGGGAAGAATCCCATAACAATGCCAAACAGCATGAGAACTCTATGCAGAAAGAATTGCTATGAGCTCGATGGAGGAAACACTTGCAGTGTGTTTTAGGTGATGGCTCAGATTTAGATAGAAGAATATGAGGGCAGAACCTAGTACAGAATCAAGTAGGCAGAAAATGGAAAAATCTGTTAAATTATAACCTGTCATATAAATACCTAAGGGGTATGTTGATGCTTG
Source organism: Homo sapiens (assembly GCF_000001405.40). NCBI lineage: Eukaryota > Metazoa > Chordata > Mammalia > Primates > Hominidae > Homo > Homo sapiens. The sequence goes on from NC_000011.10 coordinate 108,646,093, forward strand.
TGTCTACATGTTAAAGACGACCATAATCACCCAAATGGTATCATGAACAAGATGCTTGGAAAATCCCAGGCAAATATTTATAGGCATACACTGCATACTTCGTTAATAATAAAATATGCATAGCTGTGTTATGGCCTGCAGTGATAAATATCTGCATATTTAGAAAACCACCTGCTTTCAGAAATCATTTTCTCCTCTGTTACTGCCTTGCTTTCCTTGATGACTACAAGGATTCTATTTACTTTAAATTATTAAATTCAGGATATAATTTGAACATAATAAGAAGTACAAGTAGAATTTCAAATATAGCATTAACAGCTGGGCACAGTAGCTCATGCCTATAATCCCAGTACTCTGGGAGGCCGAGGTGGGAAGACTGCTTGAAGCCAGGAGTTTGAGACCAGCCTGAGCAACATAGCAAGACCCCGACTCTACAAAAATAAATTTAAAAATGAGCTGGTTGTAGTGGCATGCACCTATAGTCCCAGCTACTTGGGAGGCTGAGATGGGAGGATTGCTTGAGCCCAGGAGTTCAAGGCTACAGTAAGCTATGATCATGCCATTGTTCTCTAGCCTGGATGACAGAGTGAGACCCTGTCTCTAAAACCAACCAACCAACCAGCCAACCAACCAACCAACACAAACAAAAATGTGATAGCAATTAACTGTATCTTCTGCTATGTACTGAATATTTGTTATTACACACTAGATTGTTCTTGCTGATAGAATTTTGAAGCCATTTTCTGTTTCCAGATCAGCATGGGAGATAGTGGTTTCTGCACACAAACAAATTGGCTTGTTTTTAGCATGAATGATTTGTGTTTGTGCTGAACAAGACTTTGCCAGCTAAATGGTCTGGCAGAAGCACTACGCATATATATAGATAACCAAGCAAGAAATGCTTTCAATTTACTTGCTATATTTTTGAAGAATAATGTATCTGCCTAAATAACCTAGTGGGAATTACCTAGCTTTCTCTTCATTTGTTTTTCTAAATATACATTACTCCAAATATTTTAACAATTAATGAAGGTATGACTGGACATTCATCTTTTTCACTTGATATATGGAAATATAAAACCATTATCATTTTGATTTCATTCAATCACTATATCTGGTTATAATTCAGCTGTGTTTTTAATCACTAATATACTCCAGGAAGTTCCATGGTGACACTGAATGTATTACACTATCAATTTATTAAAGATGCTTTCCTTACCAAAATACTTGTTCCAAAAGTTTGTTAAAAAGTCAATTATTTATAAAGGTGAATATGGGGGGAGGAGGCAGAGCAAGGTGGTCAGATAGAACCCTCCAGCAAATGAACAATTATTCATGTAAGAAAGCACATTCATAAGGCAGTACCTGTTTAACATTATATCAAGGAAAGAGGAATTGAAGAGGATAGGAAAGACAGCCTCGCATTGCCTATACCACCCTCCTCGATCCCTTGGCAGTACTACACTGAGCGTGGAGAGAGAACATGTGCTCTTGTGGGAGGGAGAGCAAAGTGAGTGTGGGACTTTGCTGCCTGTCACAGTGGAAAACAACACAGAGAAGAATTCTGCTGGCACCCACAGAGAGATTATCTAGACCAAAGGGGAATCCTCTGCCCCAGCGGTAGTATCCTGAGTTCCCGTCCAGCTCCACCACCGGTGGCTGAGGCCCAGAATAAATTTGGGAGGCAGTCAGGTCACAAGGACTGTAGCCCTTGGGCAAACCACAGTGCTGGGCTAGGCTCAGAGCCAGTAGACTTGGGATGCATGTGACCCAGTGAGACACCAGTTGTGGTGGCCAAGGTAGTGCCTGACTTATCCCTCCCCTTAATCCAGATAGTGCAGCTTGGGGAGAGATTCCTCTACTTGGAGAAAGGAGAGGAAAGAACATAGAGGACTTTGTCTTGCAACTTGGGTGCCAGCTCAGCCACAGTAAAATGAAGCGTCATGCAGATTCCTGAGGCCCCTAGTTTGAAGCCTTAGCTACCATCACATGATGGTATTTCCAGACCCAGCCTGGGCCAGAAAAGGAAGAACCTGGCAGAATCCACCACCTGCTGACTAAAGAGCCCTAGGACCTTGAATAAACAAACATCAGCAGTTGCCAGGCAGTAGTCCTAAGGGCCTTGGGTGAGACCCAGCACTGTACTGGCTTCAGATGTGACCCAATACAGTGCCAACTGTGGTGGCCATGGGAATGCGTGTGTCACCTCTCCCCAAATCCAGGTGGCGCAGCGCAAAGAGAGACTCCTGATGGGGGAAAAAGAGGAAAGAAAGCAAGAGTCTTTGCCTGGTAAACTAGGGATTATACTTTATTTTACCCAAGCCCATCAAGGCAGTGCTTCTAGGAGTCTGCAGCAGTTGCAGCGTTACTGGGCTTAAGGCGCCTCCTAGTGCTGATATGGCTTCAGTGACCACAGGCTTAGATCACAATACTAAATTCCTTTTCAGTACAGCCTTCCCAAGAACAGGCACAGACAAGCCCAGGCTGCTAAGATTGGAATAAATACCTAACTCTTCAATGGCCAGACATTAATGAACATTTACAAGCATTAAGAACATCCAGGAAAACATGACTTCACCAAATGAACTAAATAAGACACCAGTCACCAAAATTGGAATGATGGAGGTATATGATCTTTCAAACAGAATTCAAAATAGCTGTCTTGACGAAGCTCGGTGAACTTCAAGATAACTTATACACACAAGGAATTCAGAATTCCATTGGACAAATTTAACAAAGAGAATGAAATAATTTTAAAAATCAAGCAGAAATTCAGGAGCTGAAAAATTCAATTGACAAACTGAAAAATGCATGAGTCTCTCAACAGCAGAATTGATCAAGAAGAATTGGTGAGCTTGAAACAGGTTATATGAAAATACATAGAGGAGAAAAAAAATAAAAAGAATGAAGCACACCTTCAAGATCTAGAACATAGCCTCAAAAAGGCAAATCTAAGAGTTATTGGCCTTAAAGTGGAAGTAAAGAGAGATACTGAGGTAGAAAGTTTATTCAAACAAATAATAACAGAAAACTTTTTAAACCTAGAGAAATATCAATATCCAGGTACAAGAAGGTCATAGAACACAAAGAAGATTCAATCCAAATAAGACTATCTCAAGGCACTTAGTAAACTCTCAAAGGTAAAGGATAAAAAAAGGATTCTAAAAAGCAGCAAGAGAAAAAGAACAAATAACTTATATAGGAACTCCAATATGTCTGACAGCATATTTCTCAGTGGAAAGTTTTTAGGCCAGGAGAAAGTGAAATGACATATTCAAAATACTGAAGGAAAAATATTTCCATTCTATACTATTATATCCAGCAAAAATGTCCTTCAAACATGAAGAAGAAATAAAGACTTTTCCAGACAAACAAAAGCTGGGGAATTTGGTCAACACCAGACCTGTCCTACAAGAAATGCTAAAGAGAGTTTCTTAATCTGAAAGAAAAGGACATTAATGAATAATAAGAAACCAGCTAAAGGTGTAAAACTCACTAGTAGTAGTACACAGACAGATACAGAGTGCTCTAACACTGTAATTGTGGTGTGTAAACCACTCATATCGTGAGTAGGAAGACTAAAAGACCTATCAAAAATAATGACTACAACAACTTTTCGATAGATACATAGTATTAAAATATACAAATAGAAAAAACAAAAAGTCAAAAAGGATGAAAAGGATGGAGTTAAAAGGTAGAGATTTTTAGATTTTTTTTTTGTAATTAGAGTTGTCATCAGTTTAAAATAATTGATTATAAGATGTTATTTGCAAGCTTTATGGTAACCACAGATCAAAAATCTACAACAGATACCCAAAAATTTTTCCAAAAGAAATTAAAATATACTACAGAGAAAATCACTTTTACACAAAGGAAAATGGGAAGGAAGGAAGAAAGAAAGAGAGGACCAACAAAATAACCAGCAAACAAATAAGAAAATGGCAGTAGTAAATCTTATCTGTGAGTAATAACATTTAATGTAATTGGACCAAATTCTCCAGTCGAAAGACATAGTAGCTAAATGGATTAAAAAAAAAAAGACCTAAGTTTATGTTGCCTACAAGAAACATATGTCACCTATAAAGACACACATAGGCTGAAAATAAAGAAATGGAAAAAGATATTCAATGCAAATGAAAACAAAAAAAGAGCAAGAGCCAGGCATGGTGACTCACACCTGTAATCCTAGCACTTTGGGAGCTGAGGTGGGAGAATTGCTGGAGGCCAGGAGTTCAAGACCAGTTGGGCAACATAGCAAGACCCTCATCTCTACAAAAAATTTAAAAATTAGCTGAGTGTGGTGGCATGCACCTGTAGTCCTACCTACTTGGGAGGCTGAGGTAAGATGATCACTTGAGTTCAGGAGTTTGAGATTACAGTGAGCTATGATCACACCATTGCACTCCAGCCTGGGTAACAGAGTGAGACCCTGTTTCCAATTAAAAAAAAAAAAAAAGGAGCAGGAGGCAGGAGTAGCTATGCTTATATCAGATAAAATGGATTTTAAGATAAAAACTGTAAAAAGTGACAAAGAAGTTCATTCTATTATGATAAAGGGGTCGATTCTGCAAGAGACTATAACAGTTGTAAATATACCTACATCCGACACTGAAGTACCTAGATATATAATGCAAATATTATTAGAGCTAAAGAGAGAGACAGAACCCAATACAATAGTAGTTGGAGGCCTCCACATCACACTTTCAGCATTGGACAGGTCTTTTAGACAGAAAATCCACAAAGAAACATTGAACTTAGTCTGCAGTACAGACCAAATGGAGCTGATAACATTTACAGGACATTTCGTCCAACAGCTAAAGAATACACATTCTCTTCAACACGTGGAACATTCTCAGGTATAGAACATGTATTAGGCCACAAAATTTAAAAACATTAAATAATATAAAAATTCAAAAACATTGAAATCATATCGAGTATCTTTTCTGATCACAATGGAATAGAACTAGGAATTAATGACAAGAAGAACTTTGGAAACTATCCAAACACATGGGAATTAAACAATATGCTCCTGAGTGACCATTGAATCAATGAAGAAATTAAGAAAGAAGTTTAAAAAATTCTTGAAACAAATAAAAACAGAAACATAATATACCAAAACCTATGGGATATGCAAAAGTATTGTAGTACTAAGAGGGAAGTTTATAGCAATACATTTCTATATCAGAAAAGTAGAAAAACTTCAAATAAACAACCAATGATGCATCTTAAAAAACTAGAAGAGTAAGAGCAAACCAAACCCAACATTAGTGGAAGAAAATAAACAATAAAAATCAGATCGATCACTTGAGCCCAGGAGTTCAAGGATGCCGTGAGCTATGATTGCATTACTGCACTCTAGCTTGTAACAGAGTGAGACCCCAACTCTAAAAAAAAAATTAAATAAAACTACAGGCCAACATCTTTGATAAACATAGATGCAAAAGCCCTCAACAAAGAAACTGGCAAACCAAATTCAACAACACATTAAAAAGATAATTCGGGCTGGGCGCAGTGGGTCACGCCTGTAATCCCAGCACTCTGGGGGGCCAAGGTGGGCATACTGCTCAAGCCCAGGATTTCAAGACTAGCCTGGGCAACTTGATGAAACCCATTCTCTACTAAAACTACAAAAATTAGCCAGGTGTGATGGTATGCACTTGTAGTTCCAGCTACTCGGGAGGCTGAGGTGTGAGGATAGCTTGAGCCTGACAAGTTGAAGCTGCAGTATGCTGAGATCATGCCACTGCACTCCAGCCTGGGTGACAGAGTGAGACTCTGTCTCAAAAAAAATAAAAATAAAAATATAATTAATCATAATCAAGTGGGAATCATTGTAGGAATGCAAAAATGGGTCAATCTAGGCAACTCCATAAACTTGATACATTATAGCAATAGAATGAAGGACAAAAACATACGGTCATTTCAATTGGTGCTGAAAAAGCATTCAATAAAATTCAACATTCTTTTGTGATAAAAACTCAAAAAACCAGGCCTAGAAGGAACATATCTCAACATGATAAAAGCCATGTATGACATAACCATAGTTAGTATCATACTGAATGGGGAAAAAACAGCAAGACTTTCCTCTAAGATCTGGAACAAAACAAGGATGCCCATGTTGACCACTGTTATTCAGCCTAGCACTGGAAGTCCTAGCTGGAGCAATTAGACTGAAAGGAATAAAGGGCATCGAAATTGGAAAGGAAGAAGCCAAATTATACTTGTTTGCAAGTGATATTATCTTATATTTAGAAAAATCTAAAGACTCTACCAAAAAAACTATTAGAACTGATTAATTCAGTAAGGTTGCAGGATAAAAGATCAACATAGAAAAATCAGTAGTATTTCTGTATGTCAACAGTGAACAATATGAAAAAGAAACCAAGAAAGTAATCCCATTTACAACACCTACAAAGAATATACAATACCTAGGAAATAACTTAACCAAGGAAATGAAAGCTGTCTACAATGAAACTATAAAACATTGATGAGGCCCGGTGTGGTGGCTCATGCTTGTAATCCCAGCACTTTGGAAGGCTGAGGCAGGTGGATCACCTAAGGTCAGGAGTTCGAGACCAGCCTGGTCAACACGGTGAAGCCCCATCTCTACTAAAAATACAAAAAATTAGTGGTGGCGGGTGCATGTATTCCCAGCTACTTGGGAGTCTGAGGCAGGAGAATTGCTTGCACCTGGGAGGTGGAGGTTGCAGTGAGCTGAGATCATGCCATTGCACTCCAGCCTGGGTAACAGAGCGAGACTCTGTCTCAAAACAAAACAAAAAAACCCCACAAAAACAAAAGAAAACAAAATGATGAAATACAGAGGACTCAAAAAAATGAAAAGATATCCATGTTCATGGATCGGAAGAATTAATATTGTTAAAATATCCATACTACCCAAAGAAATCTAGACATTCAATGCAATCCCTATGAAAATATTAATGACATTCTTCACAGAAATAGAAAAAATAATCCTAAAACTCATATGGAACCATAAAAGACTCAGAATGGTCAAAGCAATCCTGAGCAAAATGAACAGAACTGGAGACATCACATTACCTGACTTCAGATTATACTACAAAGCTATAGTAACCAAAACAGCATAGTACTGGCATCAAAACAGACACATAGATCAATGGGACAGAATAGAGAACCCTGAAATAAATTCGTGCATTTACAGTGAACTCATTTCTGACAAAGATACCAAGAACATGCATCGGAGAAGGGACAGTCTCTTTAATAAATGGTTCTGGGAAAACTGGATATCCACAAGCAGAAAAATGAAACTAGACCCTGATCTCTTGCCATATACAAAAGCAAATCAAAGTGGATTCAAAACTTAAATGTAAGATCTGAAACTATGAAGCTACTAGAAGAAAATATTGGGTAAACACTTCAGGATATTGGTCTGGGCAAAGATTTTTTGAGTAAGACCTCAAAGACCAAAATACCTCAAAGACCACAGGCAACCAAAGCAAAAATGGACAGATGAGATCACATCAAGCTAAAAAGCTTCTGTACAGCAAAGAAAACAATCAACAAAATGAAGAGACAACCCATGGAATTGAAAAAATATTTGCAAATTACCCATTTGACAAGAGATTAATAATCAGAATATCTAAGGAGCTCAAATAACTCGACAGTAAATAATCAAATAATCTGATTGGAAAATGGGCAAAAGATCTGAACAGACATTTCTCTAAAGAAGACATATGAATGGCCAACAGGTATATGGGTGTATGAAAAATGCTCAATGTCATCGATCATCAGAGAAATGCAAATTTAAAACCACAATGTGATATCACCTCACCCAGTTAAGATGGCTTTTATCCAAAAGACAGGCAATAATGAATGCTGGCAAAGATGTGGAGAAAGGGGAACACTTAAACACTATTGGTGGGAATGTAGTACAGGCACTGTGGAGAACAGCAGGAGGTTCCTCAAAAAACAAAAATGGAGCTACCATATGATCCAGCAATCTCACTGCTGTGTGTGTATCTAAAAGAAAGGAAATCAGTATATCAAAGAGATATCTACACTTCTGTGTTTATTTGCAACACTATTCAAAATAACCAAGATATGGAATCAACTTAAGTGTCCATCAGTAGATGAACAGATAAAGAAAATGTGGTATATATACGCAAGTTGGGCAGACCCTAGAATCACAGCAGATTCAGAGAGACTCCAGGGATGCCTCGTGGTCAGAAAAAATTTATAGATTAAAAAAAGGGAAGTGACATACAGAAATCAGAAGTGAGGCACAGAAACAGCTGAATTGGTTATAGGTTGGCGTTTGCCTTATTTGAACACAGTTTGAACACTTAGGAGTCTATGAGTGGTTGAAGTATGGCCACTGGGATTGGCCAAGACTCAGCTATTGTTACAGGTGCATACTCCTAAATTAGATTTTCGATCTTGTCTGCCTATTAAACTAGGTTACAGTTTGTCCATAAGGACTCAAATATAGAAATACAGAGTCCTTCTCAGGCCATATTTAGTTTGCTTTAACACTATGTAAAACATAGAAATATATGGAAATTGTACATAGGTAGTGAACAATTAGATTCAAGGTTAACTTGAATAACTGAACTCAGTAAGGTTGGCCCCAGTACATGACAAACTGCTATTTATGAAGATACTAATTCTTTTTAGAACAGGAGAGTTGGAAGTCTTTCCATGATGAAATAAATCAAAATTATGTTTTGTGGTGCCACAAACTGGGAGAGAATACCAATGATATCAAGTATTAAGTCACATATGACCCTGGGCGTATCATTTAATCTTTCTTGCCTTCAGTTTTCTCATCCGGAAAATGAGTTGTGTGAGGTTTAGAAAGAATGTATGTAATGAAGTTAGAAATAGCACTTACTAGGTGCTCAATAAATATTAGCAATTACTTCCTGTTAATTAAAAAGAAGCGTTGGAAGAATGAATTAAAAATAGAATTTTGGGAGTACTGATTGTAAATAAAGCATGTCCTAGAAACTCAATGTTTTAATAAGACAGACAAACTTACCAGTACACCAAATTGCTGAGTGACTATAAAAACCCAGGCCAAATTCAGTCCACTCCCAAGGGAAAACTAGCACTTAATCCTACCCTGCCACCTGCTGGCCCATGATAGACCAAAAATAACTATCTGGAAGTTCCAATTTCTCACTAAGTGAAAATAGTGGCAGAAATTAAGTTTATCTCAGACAAGTGATTAGGGCATGAGTCTTCAAGTATTTTTACTAGTGAACCACAGTATGAGAATCCTTATGTGTGATAGCCACAGTAATTTTTATTGATAACATTGATGAGTTGAGATGGTTTTGTTAAGCGTCTTATTAATATCTATGGTTCAAATATGAATCAAGGGCAGGCAGGGTGCAGTGGCTCACACCTGTAATCCCAGAACTTTGGGAGGCTGAGGCAGGCAGATCGCCTGAGTCCAGGAGTTCGAGATCAGCCTGGGCAACATGGCAAAACTCTGTCTCAACTAAAAATATAAAAAAGTAGCCAGGCGTGGTGGCATGTGCCTGTGGTCCCAGCTACTCAGGGGACTGAGGCAGGAGGATGGCTTGAGCCCAGGAGTTCAAGGCTGCAGTGAGCCCTGATTGTTTCACTGCACTCCAGCCTGGGCGAGGCCCTATCTCAAACAACAACAACAACAACAAAAAAATCAACAGCATATGGAAACTTTATTTATTACTATTTTCCCTTTGTATGTTAATTTTCATAGTTTTATTATGGTTTAATTTTGGTGGTATTCAACTTGAACTGATTATAATCAGCTTCAATTATTATGATTAATTGTAATTTACTAGACCAGAGGTCCCTATGAAACAGAATTGCCTGGTTTCTGTTTCATACTTATAGAATAGGAATATTTTTGGCTAAAGCTCAGGAAGCACTATTTTTTAAAAGCTTTCTATGTGATTCTCGTGCAACTAACTTTGGAGGCCATCATGCTTGATTATAAATTTCTTGAGGCAAGGACAGTTTTTTTCTTCATTTTTGTATTCTTGAGGCTTAAGAATGTCTAGTACAAGACAATTAGATAAATAAAGGAAAAAAGTTATACATAAATGAATGAACAAACACATGCATAGACAAACTAATTGATTCATGACTCCTGGGTAGTTAGCAACACAACAGTTGTGGCAAGCTTAAACCTCGTGGCCTTTTAATTTATGTGTACTAGCCAATTAGGTAAATATATTTTTGTTGTTTAAAGGTTTGACAGGATGCATTCTGGAATCAAGGTGGCTGCATGCTGGCCCCGCCAAGTTTTAGAGGATATGAGTAAAAGGAGATGGAACCAACCAAAGCTGCAACTTCAAAAATTGTATAGAGGTGTTGTATCCTAACAATGACTTCAGACTGATTATATTAATAAGGTATAAGGAAACAAAGGTAATTTCACTATTTGAATAAACATATATCTTGTTGTATTAATTTCTTTTCCAACTTAAAAAAAGTCAAATATACAGTTGAATTGATTTACAAATAGTTATTTGCCATTTTTACGTAACAAGAGGACATGGATGGGTTCACCTTTTAGCATCTTTAGGCCAAGTTATTCTGATCTTGTGGACTCTCTTAAAATTAAACAGTATTTAACTTTATTGGCAATGTAGAAAGGCAGTTACAATGCAGAGAGCAGACAAACTTAAACAAAGAACTGGCTGGGTGCGGTGGCTCACACCTGTAATCCCAACACTTTGGGAGGCTGAGGTGGGCAGATCATGTGAGGTCAGTAGATCCAGGCCAGCTTGGCCAACATGGTGAAATCTGTCTCTACTAAAAATAGAAAAATTAGCTGGGCCTGGTGGTGGGTGCCTGTAGTCCCAGCTACTTGGGAGGCTGAGACGGGAGAATTGCTTGAACCTGGGAAGCGGAGGTTGCAGTGAGCTGAGATCGCACCACTTCACTCCAGCCTGGGCGACAGAGCAAGACTCAATCTCAAAAACAAAAAAACAAAAGCAAAAAACTATTACTGAAGAGGTCCACTGTGTGCCTGGGAGAATTGACCCATAAACAATTAACTCTAAAACATAATTTAGTAAAATGATTTGATTTACTAAAAAAGGGAGAAAAAATAATCTGATTTTTCATTCAAAACAATTAAGGTCATTATGAAAGAAAGAAAATTAGATTGGCATCAGACAGCTTGGCAACAACACACTAAACAAGACAACAGTGGAACAACCCTTTAAAAGAAACTCAAGGGAAAAAAGTGAAAACTAAAAACTTTACAACTTGAGGCTATTGAAAAACAATTTAAAGCATGCAGGACCTCAGCGAATATTGCACCTGTAAGTTCCTTGGAACCAAGAGGTGATGTGGAAAACTTTGGCAGTTGAAGAATGAGCATTAAATGTAATTTTAGATCTAAGTCTAAACAAAGTGGAGTAAGCATGGAAGAATAAAGCATAAATGCAATATGCTCTGACAATGCAAATGAAAGAGAAAATAAACTCATGGATTTCCATAGTGATAATAAATGGAAATCAAGGGGTATCACTGACTCAAGGAAAAAGGAGTATAAGAGCATCATATAAAGGACTTATTATATAGGCAACTACTACACACAGTGTTCTAAAAACAAAAATAAAAAATATCAAGATGACCAAAGAAAACAGATAATATAGGAAAATAACACATCATATATATTTTACAAAATTTTATACAAATTACTATGACAGAACTGAGACCAAATGTATCACCCATAACAATTAATTTAAGTGGACTCAAATTATCTACAAATTTAAAGAAATGTTTTCAGATTGGCTCACAGTGAAGCAGTGAAAAATCACTGTTAAAATTTAACAGCTTTTTTTCATTTATATTGCTTTAAATCTGTATAAATTCTGAGATAAAATACTAAGCTATTATATAACTTCTTACTAGACATCAGAAAAAAATTTAAAAATTAACAGAATCAGAAAACAGAAAAAGAAAGCCATTATAGAGGAACAAAATAATATTCTTGATATAATTGAATATATTTTTTAACACAAATGTAGAAAATATTGAGAAAAAAGAGAAAGATACTAGTTTCATTAGAACATAGAATTGAGAGCAGGATGGGAATTTACTTTTTACCTTCATGTCAATCATAAGAGATGAATTTAAATAAAAATTAGAAGGGAAATAAATTGGATATACGTTTGTACAACATTTTCTCAGTTCAGGTACATGGCCAGGTAACTTGAATATTAAAACATGGGTCATTCTTGTTGGAAACTATCACAAGCCAAAAAGAAAAGAAACGAAAAAAGAAAATCTTTAAAAAAAAGGGCACAGGTGGAAGTTTCTGTGAGCTTGTTTTTTTTTTAAACACAAAGTTTTTCAAACAGTAAAAAGTTACTAGATTCTGGTTACTTCATTGTACCTTGAAGGAGTCTGCCTTTATTAAAAACTGTCTGGAGATGAAAAAAATCAACGATATTATGCAAATGGATGAAAAGGCTGGCATATATTACCTCTTCTTAGAAACCATAAAGAAAATGAAAAAGCACATCAGCAAAATGTTAAGTATTCAAAGATCAAACCTGATTTGAAAAGTATAATATGTGTAGTTATTGGTGCTATGAAATAGTTTATATTTAGAGGATAAAATATAAAACCAAATAGTTAACACTATCATATTGAATAAAATCATTTGATTATTCGAATAAGGCAAGAATTCAAAATATTGTCCAATTGCTTTAGTTACAACATGTATAGATCCCAGATAGAACAAATAACAATTTTGTTAGATTTATAGATTTCTAAAATCCTGTATTTCTATATGTGAATATAGATTTTGCTAGCAGATGACATAACTGTGGAATCATCTGATCTACATATTTAATAGACTACTTATAAACACAGACTAGAAACCAAAATAATGTGAGGGGAAGGAGATCTTTTGATCTGAGACCATGTAGTTCTGTTCTTGTAACGTCTTGAAAGCATGTCACCACCATCTTGGTTCAGTTACTTCTCCACAAAAGTAAGAGCAGTAAGAGATTAACTGAAGTCTGAATTCAGAGTAAATGCCAAAAAAGTTTCTTACAGCAGTGTAAAAATTGTGACAGTGAAAAGAAATAACCTGACTGAAGTTTGAAATGCTACAGTTTTGAGGTAAAGGATGTTATGGCAAACTGAAAATAATCTTCCCTTAAAAAAATAAAGTCCCTTCTTGTTCATCGTTATCTGGGAAACTGAAATCTGGTTCTGGTAATAATGATAATATAATTACTATTAAAAATGTGAAGGTCAGAGATATGACAGTAACACAATTTATGTACATAAAGAACACAATTGATTTCGACAGGAAGATTTCCAACAAGTATTACAGAGCACTCCATAGTTGTTGTGCATTCTTTAAACTTGATGGTAAAAAAAAAAAAGGTTAAATTCTTTTTTTAAACTTTTTTTTTGAAATAGCGTCTCCCTCTGTCACCCAGGCTGGAGTGCAGTACTGCTGTCATAGCTCACTATAACCTTGAACTTCTCAGCTCAAGTGATCCTTCCACCTTAGCCTCCTGAGTAGCTAAGACTGCAGGTGCGCAACACTACACTTGGCAATTTTTTTTTTTTTTTTTTTTTTGAGATGGAGTTTAGCTCCTGTTGCCCAGCCTGGAGTACAATGGTGCAATCTCGGTTCACCGCAACCTCCACCTCCTGAGTTCAAGCTATTCTCCTGCCTCAGCCTCACAAGTAGCTGGGATTACAGACATGCGCCACCATGCCCAGCTAATTTTGTATTTTTAGTAGAGATGGTGTTTCTCCATGTTGGTCAGGCTGGTCTCGAGCTCCCAACCTCAGGTGAGCCACCCGCCTCGACCTCCCAAAGTGCTGGGATTACAGGCGTTAGCCACCATGCCTGGCCTAATTTTTAAATTTTTTTGTAGAGATGGGGTCTTGCTATGTTGCTCAGGGAGCTCTTGAACTCCTGGCCTGAAGCAATCTTTCTGCCTTAGCCTCCCAAAGTGTTGGGATTACAGGTGTGAGCCATCACCTGACAGTTTTTAAACTATTGAAAATATTGTATAATCCAAGAATGATACAATTACCTTTTAGCTGTTGGAACATTGTTGAAGCACTGAAACTAACATTTACTGAGGTTAATTTTGAAACCCTTGTAAAATACATGACGTAGAAGTCCAGTTGAGGCTATCCTGCTACTAATACTCAATTAGAGGCAGTAAACAATGTTCTTTCATAAATTATTGATATTTTAACAGATAAATTGTCTAGATAACATGTAAAATGCTAGTCAAAGTTATATTTTTGAAAACATCTATATTTAAATGTATTTGCTCAGTACCAATTTGGCATGACTTTTTGTTGTGAACATTTTATATTTTAAATCATTTTTATTAAAAAACATAATACACCTAATGACTTTGGAATGTGATATTGAGTTCTTATGACTAAAATTTGAATTTTCCACTATTTTATGTTAAGGATTTGATTTATATCACAAACAAAAATGACTTCTATGAAGGATTTTGTTTTGTTCTCTGAGTATTCCCTGTTCTTATTTCTTGGATATGAGGCCTTATTTTCCTATTGTTGGCGGGGGAGGGAAATATAATTTTTCCTCTAACCTCATAAAATTGTAGTTAGAACAGAGCCCAGTGACAAAAGACAGATTAACAAGAGTAAAATGAAGGAGTTTAGTAATGTGTGCAGTGTACATCACATGAGAGTAACTTCAGTGGAAAGTAACTCAAAGCAGTGGCTGAGAATTCTGGCTTGTATAGCATCTTCAACAAAGGACAATACACTTGTAGAGAAATGACAGGAAAAAGGAAAACAGTTTTGGGCTTCCAAATATGGGAAACCGTGGAAGGTAAATGTATGTGAAGAAACTAATGGAGTAAGATTAGTTTGCAGATTCCTCTGGTGCTGTCTCTGGGCTGCTATGACAACTAGAATTGTTTCCAGTAAAGGGCAATTTATATCCTCTGTTTAAGCAAAAAAGTGGGAGGATAGGAAGAGCTCTTCCTGTGTTTGCTGCTTCTTAATTGTCTTTAGCTAAAAAATAATTTTTTATCAAAGAGGCATATTTTGGGGTTACATATTCTGTTTTTTTTCCACTATAGAAAGCTATGTAGAACAAGTGTAGAGTCTATTGAACTATTATTAGGCAAATATCCTCATACCTATCACCTAGGTCAAGAAATAGAACTGTGCTTTTCATTCCCATAATTCTTTGAGCACTTCTTATTTTCTGGCACTTCAAGATATTCCAGCTTTCTTGTACTTTCTTTGTGTCAGCCCTGGAATTAGCTATTTCTTCAAAGAGCTCTGGATCATTTGATTGGAAAAAATGGTTTTACAAACTGACATCCGGGCAATGGTTGTGCTCATCACTACCATTATTATCTTGCTCAACCAGATAATCTTTTAAAAAAGTTTTAAAGCACTGAAAGAATATAATGATCTTTTCAGAGTTTTTGAGACATGCAATTTGAATAATTATGATGATAAACTGTTGAAAACTTACAAATAGAAACTAAGCGATGGATAATATTAGATGGGGTATCAATGTATGATGAACTACAAGTATTACTTTTTTTTTTTTTTTTTTTGAGACAGAGTCTCTCTCTTGTCACCCAGGCTGGAGTGCAATGGTGCGATCTTGGCTCACTGCAACCTCCGCCTCCCAGGTTCAAGTGATTCTCCTGGCTCAGCCTCCTGAGTAGTTGGGATTACAGGCACACGCCAGCACGCCTGGCTAATTTTTGTATTTTTAGTAGAGACAGGGTTTCACCATGTTGGCCAGGCTGGTCTCGAACTCCTAACCTCAGGTGATCCACTTGCCTCCGCCTCCCAAAGTGCTGGGATTACAGGTATGACCCACCATGCCCAGCCAAATATTACATTTTCTCCTTAAATTTTAGTATGGACGCTCCCTCCCCTGTGGAGTATTGCCTCTATTTGTATCAATAGCCATAGTTACCAGGCGCATTTCCAAATTTTTTTTTTTTTTTTTTTTTTTTTAGTTCTTTAGGATCTTTGTGAATATTGGTTGGCAGTGGAGAATATAGTCTTAAAATGTGTTAAAACATATTTAATGTCCTCAATATCACAATTGGAAGCCTATCTAGGGGTCATTTCTACAGAAAAGAAGGTATTGGAGCAACTAAGCATAGAAACCATCATAAAGCTGTCACTTTAAGTGATCAATATATGAACTATTTTCATCACAAATTATTAAATCCTAATGACTTTGGAATGTGATATTGAGTTCTTGTGACTAAAATTTGAATTTTCCACTATCGTATGTTAACAATTTGGTTTATTTAACAAACAAAATGACTTCTATGAAGAGTTTTGTTTTGTTCTCTGAGTATTCCCTGTTTTTATTTCTTGGATATGAGGCCTTATTTTCCTAAGAATATTGATAGTGATTTTTTTTTGAAGGCCTATTTTGCTCTCTGCATTAGTTTACTAATTTTGGCTTACAACTTTTAAGTTAAAGGATTTCCTAAAATATTTGTTGGTCTTTGGTTATTCGCCCATATTTAAGAATAAGGCTGAGTAGAAATGA
Organism: Homo sapiens; assembly: GCF_000001405.40. NCBI lineage: Eukaryota > Metazoa > Chordata > Mammalia > Primates > Hominidae > Homo > Homo sapiens. The sequence continues at coordinate 108,662,627 of NC_000011.10, forward strand.
GTGAATGGAGGGCTTATTAACTGATAAGTTTCACTAAAGAGCAATGGGGTGGTTAGTGAGTTGTCATTTATTTGGCTGCTGCCAAAATGTCTTTTTTCTTTCTCTCTCTTTTTGTTTTTGTTTTTGTTTTTTTTTTTTTGAGACAGAGTCTGGCTCTGTCACCCAGCCTGGAGTGCAGTGGCAGTATCAGGGCTTACTGCAGCCTTGACTTCTGTAGGCTCAAGTGAACTTCCTGCCTTGGCCCCCTAGTTTCTGGGACTACAGGTGTGTGCAACCAAGCTCGGCTAATTTTTTTGAATTTTGGTACAGGCAAGGTCTCACTATGTTGCCCAGGCTGGTCTCGAACTTCCGGGTTCAAGCAATCCTCCCACCTTGGCCTCAGAAAGTGCTGGGATTATAGCTATGAGCCACCGTGCCTGGCCCCTAGATGTTATTGAGGTCTTTCTCTTGGACATTCAGTTTTCCTAGAGTTGAACCTTCCAGTTTCTTGCCTGGGGCGCATATATGCCTGACTCCTACAGTTTTAGGAAAAAAGTGAGTTATAGCTGAGGGCCTTATCGTTCTGTAGGTATGCATATGTGGTATACATATGTAGTAAAATACACATCACATAAAATTTACCATTTTAGCCATTTGTAAGTATACAATTCAGTTGCATTAATTACATTCTCATTGTTGTGCAACCAATCTGCAGAACTCTTTTCATCTTACCAAACTGGAACTCTGCACTGATTAAACAGTAACCCCCTGGTTGCCTGAGTCCCTGGCAACCACAAGTCTACTTTCTCTATTATTTTGACAACTCTAAGTTTCTCATATAAATAGAACCATATATAGTATTTGTCCTTTTGTGACTGGCTTATTTCACTTAGCTTAATATTCTTAAAGTTTATCCACGTTGTGGCATGTGTCAGAAATTCCTTCTTTATGAAGGCTGAATAATATTCCATTTTAGGTACATATTATGTTTTGTTTACTCATTCATCAGTTGATAGACACCTGGGTTGCTTCCACATTTTAGCTATAGTGCTGTGGTGAACACGGTATGCAAATATCTGAGACCCTGCTTTCGATTATTTTGGCTATGCATACCCAGAAGTGAAATTGCTGGCTCACGTGGAGTTCTATTTTTAATTTTTTGAGGATGTATATACACTTTCATGTAATCACTCCTTATTGAGCTTTACTGTCTACCACATCTAGTGTTCCTGAGTGTGGAAATTCTCTTGTTCACCTCCTGTCCTCACTCCCTTCCAATAAGCCATGTCTTGTTTGGAGGATGGGCATAGAGTTGAGAGTAGTGATCTGGATATGTGGGGTTGGAAAGGAAATTTGAGAGCCCAAAATTCTGCCTGTGAACTTTGAACTCAATTTTCCAATCTCCTTTGCTACAGCTAAGCTCTCCCACCCACATCCGGTGTTTTCCTGGAGGCTGTAGGTAAATGTGTCAAAAAATTCAATTCATTGAAAGCCAGTTCACTTAAATGTCCAACTTGCAATAACTTTTCTATTACCTCCTTTTTTTTTTTTTTTTGACGGAGTTTCACTCTTTCACCCAGGCTGTGGTGAAGTGGGGCGATCTTGGCTCACTATAACCTCCGCCCCCGGGGTTCAAGCGATTCTCCTGCCTCAGCCTCCCAAGTAGCTAGGATTATAGGTGTGCACCACCACGCCTGGCTAATTTTTGTATTTTTAGCAGAGACAGGGCATCACCATATTGGCCAGGCTGGTCTCGACCTCCTGACCTCAGGTGATCCACCCACCTCGACCTCCCAAATTGCTGGAATTACAGGCGTGAGCCACCGTGCCCGGCCTCTATTACCTACCTCCTTACGTTTAGTTATCATTTTGTCTCCATAAAAGCATTTTAAGGCAAATTCAATTTGATTCCGTTCCAGTTTCCTTGCTGTTGCAGCTAGAGTCTGAGGGGCCCAGAGGAAAAGGAAAACCCAGAGGGGCATAAGAAGAATATAGAATATTCATTTTTATTCCTGAGGAAGTACAACCACCATGGATGGAAATCAGAAGTCACTAACTAGCTGTTTACTTCTGGGCAAATCTTTTGGCTCGTTGGCCCGAAAAGTGCAAAACGAGGGTCACAATTTTCATTCACAGATTGTATGTGTTTACACACATACTCACGAACGCTTAGCAAAGTTGAACCTGGAGCAAATGTGTTAATAGCCCTTAAAGGGTCAGTGTATGACGTCACCATAGTAACAACAACAGTGCGCATGCGTTTTTTTTTAAAGAGCCGGCGTGCTCCCGGCTCGGCTCAGCTCGCCCCCTTCCGTGGAGTGCTGCGCCCCCGTTTCCCCAGGCTGCCCCTCCCAGCAGGAGCCAATTCGCCAATCACAGCCCTCCTTTTCCTGACGTCATTGGCGCGTGCCCCGGTTTCAAAAGCTCGGGGGCGGGCTTCTGAGTTCGCGCATGCGCCTCTGTGCGTTTGTCCCATGCTGGTTCCGTGAGTCTGGCCTTAGGTGTCTCGTGTCTGGGGTTGATCCGAGCTGTCGCCGCCGCCGCCGCAATGGGCAAAACGGCCAACTCTCCGGGTTCGGGAGCCCGACCCGACCCGGTGCGGAGCTTCAATCGCTGGAAGAAAAAACACAGCCATAGGCAGAACAAAAAGAAGCAGTTGAGGAAGCAACTGAAGAAACCCGAATGGCAGGTCGAGCGCGAGAGTATCAGCCGCCTCATGCAGAACTATGAAAAGGTGAGGCCGGCGCTGGGGAGGGGGCTCGGGCCGGCCAGCAGCGGGGCAGCGTCTCACTGCGGCGAGGAGTTGCAGAGTGGAGGCGGCGGATCTGTCACCGGGACCCGGCCGGGAATGAGAGGTCACGCCGGGTGCCACAGCTCAAACCTCTGCACCGTTCTGGCCACTCTTCTGCTTGCCACACTGTTCCTAAAAAAATAATAGAAATGCGGCCGTACCTAAGGGTAGGGAGACTAATGCTGTAATAGCTACAGTCATATTCATATTAATAATACTGATGACAATAGTGGTAATAATGACACCTACATTTTTAAGCACTCACCATGTGCTTACAGTAATTGTTTGACTTGATCTGAGGTATGGATATTAATAATCCTATTTAACAGATGAGATAATTGAGGTTCTAAGAGGAATGAAACTTGTCCGAATCTTTCACGCTTAGTAGGTGGTGTGGAATTGGAAGCTAGATCCATGTCTTTCTAATCCCAAAGCCTTTGCTTTTAACCATGAAGCCAGACTGCATCCCTCAACATCATCTATGCTCCTTCCTGTGGCCACCTCATTTTCTCCACAGGCTTCATGTCCCCATCCAAGAATTGGCCTAGAAAAGCTGGACCGCTGGTCTGTTTCTGTCACCTATCATCCCCACATTGTAGCTGGTGTTCCCAGATGAGTATACCTGTAATGATCACTTTGACCTCCTGACTTCTTCCCCCAACCTCCAGACTCCACAGGTCTGTCAATTCCTCTTTTCCCTTTCCCTAAATCCCATGTTTGTTGGTCTTCACCCACATCTTTCAGCTTCTCAGCCCCCTTCTAGTGCAGTACAATCAGGGATTTAACAGATGGAACATTCTTGTAACTAAGGTTGCCATTGTAACAAATTACCACAAACTTGGCGGCTTAAAACAACAGAGATCTTGAGGTCAGGAGTTCGAGACCAGCCTGACCAACATGGTGAAACCCCGCCTCTACTAAAAATACAAAAAAATTAGCTGGGCCTAGTGGTGGGTGCCTGTAATCCCAGCTACTCGGGAGGCTGAGGCAAGAGAATCGCTTGAACCCGGGAGGCAGAGGTTGCAGTGAGCCCAGATCGCACCATTGCACTCCAGACTGGGTGACATGAGTGAGACTCTGTCTTAAACAAACAAACAAAAAAGCCCAGCAACAACAGAGATTTACCTTGTCACAGTTCTGGAGGCCATACGTCTGAAATCAGTTTCACTGGGCCAAAATCAAGGTGTCAGCAGGGACTTGCTCCCTCCAGAGGTTCTAGGGGAGAATCTGTTTCCTGCCTCTTGTAGCTTCTGGTGGCTGCTGGCATTCCTTGGCCTGTGGCTGCATAACTCCAGTCTCTGCCTTCTCCTGTGTCAGTCTATCTCTGTTCCTCTGTTATAAGGGCGCTTACGATTGCGTTTAGGGCCTACACAGATAATCCAGGATAATCACCCCATCCCAAGATCTTTAATTTAATCACATCTGAAAAGTCACTTTTGCCATGTAAGGTAACATTCATCCCTTCCAGAAGTTAATACATGGACATGAGTTGGGATCATTTTCAGCACCACATCCTAGCTCCACCATCTCAGCAGACCGTAGAGCTAGAAACCTAGGAGCAGTCTTAGCTACTTCTCTCTTACCTACTCTTATATCCAGTCGGTCACACTGCTGATCTGTTCTGCTTACATTTTTCAAATGCTTCTTCATCCCTACTGCATTGTCTTCAGTCCCCATCATCTCTTGCCTGGATTACTATAGTAAATATTGCTTTCAACAGGGATCAGCAAACTTTCTCTGTAAATGATAGTGAATGTTTTCAGCTTTGTAGTCCTAAGGGTGGAACTACTCAATTGTTCCCTTGTAATACAAAAGCTGCCATAGAAATACTTAAATGAATGGGTGTTGTTTTTCAGTAAAACTTTAATTAGTGAAACAGGTGGCTGATGGGCTTTGTCCCCTAGGCCTTAAACCTTTTAATTTGTCCTCTGTACTTCTGCTAGAATGATTCTTTCCAAGATGAAGATCTAATCATTTTACTGCCGATTAGAACCCTTCCTTGGCTCACAGTTACTTTTAGAAAAATTGTCAAATACAGCGTGTCAACATGTTCTAGTCTGCTGCAGAGTAAGTTATTTGTGGTCAGGCTGACCTGGTTTAAATCTCACTCTTCAGGTATTGGCTAGCCAGGTTTCTTCATCCCTCTAAGTCTCAGTTTCTTCTTTCAAAAAACCGAAGTTATTAGCCACCCAGAGTGTTGTAAGGCCCAAATGAGATAATGTGTATACACCAAGTGGTACATGATAGGCATATATGAAGGAACAGCTTGCAGTTTTGTGAATTGTACATGCTTCTTGTGCTTCTCATCCTGGTACTTGATGTTTCCACTGTGTGCAGTGAGCATACCCATCTGCCCACTCTAAGGAAAGGTACTCTTCCTTCAAGATTTAGTGCAAACTTCTCTTCATCACCTCCCCTGACCGAGTTAGGGCTACTGTGCATCTGTAGCATTTTGTAGATACCTTTATGACAACATTTATCAACTGTCTGCGATGATTGGCTTCTTTAACTTTTTTAAAAAAACTCTCCTACTAGACCATGAACATTCAAGGTCAGCAACCAGTGATACACTCGTCTTTGCACTCCCCAGAGTCTGGTAGCACAGTGCTTGTCCTTGAATAGGTGCTCAGTCAGTGTTTAGATGTTGTTTGCTGTAAGACTAGACCTTTCCCAGGTGGCTTTGCTCTGGTTGGCAGCATTGGATTATTCTTTTTTGTTTCTTGTAATTGTGAACATTTATCAAACTTTTATTCATGCTGGCTTTCCGTATACTCACCACAAATAACCCTGTGAAATTGTTCCCATTATACAGGTGAGACAACTTTAAGGCACAGCAAGGTTAAATAATTTGTGTAAGGTTAAACAGCTAAGAAGTGAAAAAGGAGTTCTAAGCCAGGTAGTCTGATACCAGTGCACCAAACCAGTAGGCTTTACTGCATTGCATTTATTTAAATCCCATTTGTTTCATTGTTGAAGGAGCAGCTTTTTCCCCCGCTAAGCATTGTTCTGTTTTACTTCTTTAATTTTAGAAATATTTTCTTAAGATTTGGTTGAGAAATAAATGCAGTGTGAAATCAGTTGTCAAGGTTAGCAATACTAGGATATAATTATTTGAATAGCAGGATTATCATTCTCTAGGTAAACAAGGTGCAGGCCCTCACTATGTGGCTCCTCAGGTGGTAGCATTGTACATAAAACTTACTACATAGCCATGGTACACAGGTGGTGCTCAGTAGCCTCACTGGTGAACTACTGAACAATTTGATTCCGAAACCTTTTAAAACAATTTGACAGGCACTTGTCTAGGCGGGTGTGAGTATATATGGAAAAAAAATACGTGCCCAAGTCCCTAGGGAACCTGGGCATGTAGGGGTTGATACAGTTTGACACGTTATATTAGTATGCATAAAATGTTATAATAGTAAGTTTGTAACATGTACCTCAGTGCTGTGGAGTTAGAGGATGGTGTAATTAGGGGAAGTTGAGTTATCCTATACTGAGCTCCTTCTGGTCAGATGCATTACAAAAAACATGCTTCTTCTGGGTATGCTTCCCTTCCTCCTGGTGGTTGCAGCCTCACGTCTGGCTTGGGGAGCTGATGTGGGCTGGATTTCATCCCCTGCATCTCAGTCTTAGCAGATTTCATTGTGGTGCATACAAACTGTCCAGTGGTTTGCAGTTGCCAAGAGTGGAGCTAAGCTTTTTTTTTTTTTTTAAGATGGAGTCTCACTCTATCACCCAGGCTAGAGTACAGTGGCACCATCATGGCTCACTGTAGCCTTGACCTCCTGGGCTCAAGTGACCCACCCAACTCAGCCTCCTGAGTAGCTAGGACTACAGGTGCATGCCACCAGGCCTGGCTAATTTTTTTGGTAATTTTTGTAGAGATGGAGTCTTACTGTATTTCCCAGGCTGGTCTTGAACTCCTGTGCTCAAGCGAACTGCCCACCTGTAATTCCAAAGTGCTGGGATTACAGGTGTGAGCCACTGTGCCTGGTGGAGCTAGTTCTTGAATGATGAGTTCATCAGATAGAAAAGATTGGCAAGGATGTTCTAGGTGGAGGGAACATGGGGAAATACAGAGAGGTGAAAATGCATGGCATTCTTTGAGGGAGGAAATGCTCCTTGGAGTGTTGGATGCATTCCTGAGTTGGCTTCAGATGGGTTCGAGAAGAAGGTTGGACTGTGATGACATTGGAGGCTGCAGCATGCAGTATAATGGCTTCTTAAAGTGTCCACATCCTAATACCTGGAACCTGTGAATATGTTAGATGGTAAGGGGTAATTAAGGTTGCTAATCAGCTGACCTTAAAGTAGGGCGATTATCCTGGATTAGGTGGGCCCAATGTAATCACAGGTGTCCTTAGATGTGGAAGAGGGAGGCGGAAGAGTCAGTGTCAGAATGACGTGATGTGAGAAAGACTTGGAGTCTGTTGCTGACTTTAAAGACAGAAGAGGGTCACCACCTAGGAATGTGGGCAGCCTCTAGAAGCTGGAAAAGGCGGGGAAATGGACTCTGCCGTAGAGTCATCAGAAAATAACGCAGCCCTGCTGCCACCTAGATTTTAGCCAAGCGAAACCTATTGTGGACTTTTGACCTCCAGAGCTCTAAGGTAATATATTTGTGTTGGTTTAAGCCACTATTTGTGGTAATTTATTACAGTAACAGTAGGAAATTTATACAGAGGCCATGCTCAAAGACTTTATCTGGAAGCCATGGGAAGTATGTGGCGGGACTCTGTATAGAGAGAATATATCTGAGCTGTAAAGGTTGGAGGGTAAGAGATCAGGTAGGAGACTGGAGACTATTGGTAGAGTCTAGGTCTTGGGTCCTTTGAGAGGCAGATGACAAAATGGGATTGGGTGAACTGGAGCTTTAGGGGTTACAGGCACAGGAGGGGGAATGTCCGTGAAGGCTGAAGGAGAGGGAACAGGAGTAGGGAGGGAAAGGAGAGAAGGATGGAAGGAGCAGCAGGTAGGAAGGTAGGAAGAGTCTCAGACTGCAGCACAGTTCCAAGAAAGATTCAGCCAGGCTGATGGGGAGTCACTGATCCAAAATTGTCCATCAGAGGAATCCCCGGGCCTGCAGTAGCACTGCTGAGCCCCGCCATTGACTAGGAGCAGCCCGGGGGAAGCATGGCTTTTCCATGGTGGGTCTAGAGGAGGCACAGCTGGCATTGTCAGTCAACTATGCTTCTCACAGCAGGAGGGTGGTGTATTTCTAAGGGGTGGTGTGTGTTGGAGGGGCTGCTGGAAAACTGGGGATTGAGGCTCACTGAGAAATGTTGAGCTAGCTGTGTTAGTTCAGCAGCTGTTTTTACTATTGCTGAATGACTCTTTGCATCTGGGATTCATTTAGACTGTAATCAGCTGTACTGCATAGAAACTGCATTCAAATCCTGATTTTTTTTTTTTAAATCAAAATTTGGTCTGGTGTAGTTGAGGCGGTTTGCTGTTCTTCTCTTGACGGCAACAGGTGGAGCATTCTAGGGCGTTTCAATGCTTTTTTCATCAGGCATTATTCACTTTAGCGAGAAATAGGCATTACCAGAGAGTTGTGAGAAGTATAAGAGGATGGTCAAATGTCACCCTTTTCTCCTCCGCTTTTCAACTTTTCCAACAGCCGTGGGAAGCCTTTAATAAGGACCATCCCTGAAATATCTCTTCCCTGAATTCAGAAGAATAGTGAGACAGATTTGTAGACTGAGTATGAGTATTATGGAGATGTAAGTGATTTTTCCCCCCTAAGAAAGGGATAAAGGGAAGGAGAAAGAGTTATTTTTTTGAGGTAGAGTCTCGCTCTGTTGCCCAGGCTGGAGTGCAGTGGCTCTATCTCTGCTCACCACAACCTCTGCCTCCTGGGTTCAAACGATTCTCCTGCCTCAGCCTCCCAAGTAGCTGGGATTACAGGCGCACGCCACTGCATCTGGCTAATTTTTATAATTTTAGTAGAGACAGGGTTTCGCCATGTTGGCCAGGCTGGTCTTGAACTCCTGACCCCAGGTGATCCGCCTGCCTTGGCCTCCCAAAGTGTTGGGATTACAGGCGTGAGCCATCGTGCCTGGCTGGGTTATTTTCTTTGTAGGAACCGTAGCCATCTCCTGCTGTGGCTGCTATGTAATCCTTGGAATATAACAGAATATCTAGAGCAGGGTCAGCAAACTCTTTTTCTGTAAAGGGCTGGATAGTCTGTGTTAGGCTTTATGGTCCATACAGTCTCCGCAACAACTACATAGACAATAAATAAATGAATTATTGTAGTTGTGCTCGAATAAAACTTTACTTACTAAAATAGGCAGCAAATTGGATTTGGCCCGTAGGCTGTAGTTTGCTGGGCCCTATTTTAGAACATCAACAGAATCAAAAGTTCCTTTTCTTCGTCTTCTTTTAAAGAATATGGCGCCTGTAATCCCAGCACTTTGGGAAGCCGAGGCGGGTGGATCACGAGGTCAGGAGATCAAGACCATCCTGGCTAACACGATGAAACCCCGTCTCTACTAAAAATACAGAAAAAATTAGCTGGGCGTGGTGGTGGGCGCCTGTAGCCCCAGCTACTTGGGAGGCTGAGGCAGGAGAATGGCGTGAACCCGGGAGGTGGAGCTTGCAGTGAGCCAAGTTCGCGCCACTGCACTCCAGCCTGGGCGACACAGCGAGACTCCATCTCGGAAAAAAAAAAAAAAAAAAAAAAAAGGAATATGGTATATAGTTTTCTGTTGTAATGCTTGATTGAAGAGTGTTGGAGCAGTTTCATTCTTCTAAACTTTCCCTCCAGGAGGTTAACTGACTTTAGGAAGATAGATGTGCTGTGCAATGTTTTGTTTGAGGAGCTCGCTTTGCCTGTACTGTGTCTCTTGCTGGGGATTGAAGAGTGTGTTGGCAGCCTGCCTCCTTCTGTAGGCATTCCATTCCCTTTGAAAACAGCTTTTTAGCTGATAATACCACGAGTGCTAGAGTGAGCTACACCTAATTTTAATGCCTTGTTTGGAAGATTATCTTCTAATTGAGGTTCCTTGCTGGGACAGTATGTTATTTGAATAAACCGTTCTTCTAATGCTGGTACACTGATTCTGCCTCCTTTCCAGTGATATCTGAAATGATTTGTAGGGATTAAGACAATGTTTTAATATTTGTATTTTCAGCATTGGAGGGCACAGAGTAAACACTGCCTGGGCAATGTTAAGAATCATAGGAAAGATGTGTAGATTGTAAAATGAAGTACAACTGTCATCCTTTTACTGCCTAGAGTGTAATTTAAATAAATGAACCATACAAATGCAGCTTTTTCCTTTTGCGAATCATGTATAATTTGGCAGCATATTTCCAGAACTGAGCAGTAGTTCCTGCCTTCAGCATCTGTAATAAAATAATTCTCCTGAGCAGCTGAAATGAAATTCAGAAAATTGGGTTTGTGCTAATAAAGAACATCAGTAATGAATATTTGAATAATGTAAAGTTAGCAAAATGTTACTTATTGTGGCTTCAAAGCATGACAGACATTTCCCCTGTGTTGAAATAATACTCCTCCTTCAGTAACCCCAAAATGAATAGTTATCAGGTTGGATTTCATAGGCCACTGATTTATGGTTAAAACTTTGAAAGGATTGTGCTAACAAGAAATATTTCTCCAACTAATTTCACTCTTTTTTCCAAATTGTGTGTATAGAACTATTTTCATTGTGATCTGTGGTTTGTGGTAATTTTGTCCTTGTTTCTTAAATTGAGATCCCTTGAAGGATGATAGGAAGTAAATTTTCTTCCTAAAATTGATGTGGTTGGTGATGCTTTACTGTGTTCAACATTTTGGAGGTCAGATAGTAGTATGTGTGGTGTGTGTGTATTGGGTGACTTTTTTTTCCTTACCAATTGAAATGCTTACAAATGTATATTCGATTCAGGGACAGCCTCTTCAGGGCATATTTCGTTACAGAAGGAATGATGGCTTTTAATTAGAAGCGATGATTGAATTCAACCCTGAATTACCAAGGATGAGCTGGGCAATACAATGTAGAGAAGAAATGGCTGTGTCGTGAAACAAATGAGTTACCCTGATTCCTTTTTCTTTTTTTCCAGATAAATGTAAATGAAATCACAAGATTTTCAGATTTTCCCTTGTCCAAAAAAACATTGAAAGGTAAGTATATGGTGATCTTGGGATGTGTTATTGGATTTCTTGGCATTTTTGATAAATGGGAGAAGATTTAGAGGGTTTAGCCTGAAAAATCTTATTTTGGCAAATTTTGATATCATGAAAACCAATGAAAATAAGCAATATTCAAGTTTTAACAGTACGTTATTCTCATTCTTTCTGGACTAATTAAAAGAAAAACAAGTTTCCAGCATCCTCTGAATAAAATGAAATCTAATTTTGTTAGTTAAAATAAGCAAGGGAACAAACCAAGATGCAACACCCTTTGTATCTGTTTGCTAGGGCTGAGATGACAAAATATCAGACTGAGTGGCTTAAACAACAGAGACTGATTTTCTCACAGTTCTGGAAGTTGGAAGTCTGGGATCAAGATGTTGGTGGCATTGGTTTCCTCTTAAGGCAAAATAAGGGAAGGATTTGTTCCAGGCCTCCTTGGCTTGTGGATGGCTGCCCTCTTGCTGCCTTTTTATTTTTGGATACATAAAAATTGTATATATTTGGCCAGGTGTGGTGGCTCATGCCTGTAATCCCAGTACTTTGGGAGGCCGAGGTGGGTGGATCACAGGGTCAGGAGTTTGAGACCAGCCTGGCCAACATGGTGAAACCCCGTCTCTACTAAAAATACAAAAATTAGCTGGGTGTGGTGGCGGGCACCTGTAATCCCAGCTACAGGCTGAGGCAGGGGAATCACTTGAACCTGGGAGGCGGGTTCATGCCACTCTACTCCAGCCTGGGCAACAGAGTGAGACACCGTCTCAAAAAAAAAAATTGTATATATTTACAGTGTATACATGATGCTTTGAAATATGTATATGCTGTGGAATGGCTAAATCAAACTAATTGTATATGTGCTAATATTACCTCATCCTTTTGTGTTTAGAACTCTTAAAATCTACTTAGTATTTTTTCTTTTTTCAGTATATTTTAATTAACTATAGCAGTATATATTAAGAGAGATATATAATAGATCTCTCTTTTTTTTTTTTAAGATAGGGTCTTGCTCCGTCACCCAGGGTGCAGTGCAGTTGTGTGATCTTAGCTCACTGCATCCTCAGCCTTCTGGGCTCAAGTGATCCTCCCATCTCAGCCTCCTGAGTAGTTGGAACTGCAGGTGCATGCCACTGTGCCTGGCTAATTTTTAAAAATTTTTGGTAGAGATAGAGTTTTGCCATGTTGCCCAGGCTAGTCTTGAGCTCCTGAACTTTAAGGAATCTGCCTGCCTTGGCCTCCCAAAGTGCTGGGATTATAGGCGTGAGCCACCACGCCTGGCCTACAATAGATCTCTTGAAGTTCTTCCTTCTAACTGAAATTTTGTATGTTTGATGAACATCTTCCCACTCTCCTTACTTCCCCCAGCTTCTGGTAACTACCATTCTACCCTCTGCTCCTTTGAATTTGGCTTTTTTAGATTCTACATATAAGTGAGATTATGTGGCATCTTTATTGCTGTGCCTGGTTTATTTCAGTTAACATAAGGTCCTCCAGGTTCATCCATGTTGTTGTAAATAACAGGATTTCCTTTTTAAAGGCTGAGTCATATTCCATTTGTGTGTGTGTGTGTGTGTGTGTGTGTGTGTGTGTGTATGTGTATGTATATAACATATATTTTCTTTACTCATTCATGGACACTTAGGTTGATTTCATATCTTGGCTTCTGTGAATAATGCTGCAATGAACATGTGAGCACAAATACTTTTCAAAGTAGTGGTTTTATTAATAAACCCTTTGGATTATACCCAGGAGTGGAGTAGGTGGATCACAGAATAACTTGTCTCTCTTCACATGGTTTTCCCTCTGTGCATGTGGACCCTTGGTGTCTCTTTGTTCAAGTTTCTTCTCATAAAGACACCGTTTGTGTTGGATCAGAGTCCACCCCTATGGGGCTCTAACTTAATCAACCTCTTTAAAGGCCCTGTCTCCAAGTATAGTTATGTTCTGAGGTACGAGGCATTAGGGCTTCAACATAGGAATTTTGGGGGACACAACTCACTTAGCCTATAATACCATCCTACAGGGATCTTCTAAAGTATAATTCTTCCCTCCATGTTGCCAGGTTTGCAAGAAGCTCAGTACCGTTTGGTGACTGAGATACAGAAGCAGACCATTGGATTGGCTTTGCAAGGTAAAGATGTACTTGGAGCGGCCAAAACTGGATCTGGCAAGACTCTGGCTTTTCTTGTTCCAGTAAGTACATTGTCATTGGGTCAGACTGTCTGTTATACAATTTTATAACATTCTGTGCCCAGATGCAGATTATATAAAGAGATGTTTTCATGTTAGATTTCATGATAGATTGGCTAGAATGCGAGCTTCATCAAACAGGAGCCACATGTGTGTCTTGTTCTCACCATTTTCCCCAGGTTCTAGCACAGTGCCTTGCATGTGGCAGGCACTCAATAACTTACTGAATGAATGAACTATTGTGCCTTGACAAGTCATTACATTCTTGATGGAAGTGGAGTGCTCCAGTATGGCAGGTTAAAGTGGTTCTGTGCTGCAGTAGGACTGGTGGGAGACAGTTTCTGCTCTCACCCTTGTGAGCCTGCCAGTGGCATTTATACTTGCCACCTTGTTTAGGATAAAGCTGAAATATGCTCAGTTTAAGGAGCTTTAGGCATTTGTTGAGAATTTTCTGGGACATTGCTATCGGTCTTTTATGGCAGCAAAACAGTAGAGCTTCTTAGGCTTTCACTTCCATCTCTGTTACGTTGGTCTCCTAATTTTTCATTCCTATAAAATGACCCAGAAAAATCTCATTTTAGTTTTTGTTCCAAATATTGCAAAAACCACTTTTCTCTTAAATCCTAGTGTGTTTTTGCCCCCTTAAAAAAAAAGGCTCCCTATAGCTAGATAATTCAGTTACTATATAACTACAGCAGCTACATGGGTGAAAGTTTATTTACTTATTTTTATTTTTTTTTGAGATGAAGTCATGCTGTGTTGCCCAGGCTGGAGTGCAGTGGTGCAATCTTGGCTCACTGCAACCTCTGCCTCCCAGGTTCAAGCGATTCTTTCTGCCTCAGCCTCCCAAGTAGCTGAGATTACAGATGTGGGCTACCACGCCAAGCTGATTTTTGTATTTTTGGTAAATACGGGGTTTCATCATATTGGTCAGGCTGGTCTTGAACTCCTGACCTCAAGTGATGCACCCGCCTCCTCCTCCAAAGTTCTGGGATCAGGCGTGAGCCACTGCGCCCAGCCAAAAGTTTTAGTGTGGTTATTTAGAAAATGATAAATATTATTCTTAAGTGTGTTGTAAAGGTCTTTGGGTTGTACATACCTTTCACTGATAGCCAGTTTCCTGATGGCATGGCTCTGGCAGCAGCTGAACTACCGTGGGGTTTCTTTTCCCTTTCCTCTGAGTTGGGGGTGGATGGTTCTGATGGAAGATAAACAAAATCATTTACTTTGGACTGGATAAAACTTGAGTGGTATGCCTTCTGCTTGGAAGATCCCTTTGATTTGGAGGGGCAAGGTTGAGATGCAGGTCAAAAAGCTGACTTCTGATGACTTACTGAACATGAATTTGCTGTCTTTTTGAGGTGCTGGAAGCCTTATATCGTCTGCAATGGACTTCAACAGATGGGCTGGGGGTTCTCATAATATCACCTACGAGAGAACTGGCCTATCAGACCTTTGAGGTTCTCCGAAAAGTAGGAAAGAATCATGACTTCTCAGCTGGTCTCATCATTGGTGGAAAGGTTTGTCCTTTTGTCTATGTCCTTCCTTTCCTTCTGTAACCTATACTGGAGTACTGTGGCCGATGACAGGGAGGCAGCAGAGACTTCATCTAAACAGACTGACCTAGACCAGGGCCTCATGGGATAGTAGCACTTGGTGTGGTCGCTGCTATCTACGATCTGGTTGCCAATTTTGCAGGCCCAGAAAGTCCATTTTTTTTTGTCGGGGAATCTGAATTGATTAGCCTCTCTAAGACATATTTACTCTAATCCTGTAAAGTTATTTGTTGATATTCATTGGGAAAGATATTTCCATATATGAACTAGTACCTTTTAATAAGGTATCTATCTAAGAGGCTGAATAATTCAGAGGATTGCTACATCAGCAGCGTAAGAAAGGAAGGTAGACTCTTTAGAGGAATGTT
This sequence comes from Homo sapiens, assembly GCF_000001405.40. Lineage (NCBI taxonomy): Eukaryota > Metazoa > Chordata > Mammalia > Primates > Hominidae > Homo > Homo sapiens. Next base: position 108,677,648 of record NC_000011.10, read on the forward strand.
TATAGTAGGTCAAGATAAGACCTGCTGCTCACTTTTGTTCTATCTTATAGCACATCTAGAATGCCTCTATCTGCTAGAATCTCCACTAGACTGTGAGGATAAATACTTCAATTTTTATGCAAACATGCACAAAAGAAGAAAGAATAGCATCACAAACCCTTACGTACCTGTTGCCTAACTTTAACAATTAACAACATTCTGTTTTTTCCCACCGCCTCCAGGACTGTGAGAAGTGGTTCTTGTATCAAGGAGAGAACCTCGGCTTTTTTCAGTTCACAAAGTACAGTCCTTGAGCGGTGTCAGAGTCTGTTCAATGTCCCTGGGTCCTGAATTAAAGAATGAGAGTGATTCCAGTTTATGTCAGTTCTGATCCAAATAGGAAATCCTGACTTGGAGTATTCATTTGATTATTTTTTTTTCTTAGCCTCAAAATCCTGGGTATGAATAAGAATTTAGAACTCTGAGCTCCTTATGTCTTCCTGTAAAGACTTTTATTTAGCCCAGAAATGTGGATATGGTTCAGAAATACAAGGGAAAAGTTATGTTTATTTCCAAGAGTATCTAAAATGTTGTGATGAAATGCCCATGCAGATGGCTTTTATAGCTTTGGTACACAGGCTGCTGAGAGTGATGTGTCTGTGTAATCAAAATAAATAACTGTTTTCAGGATCTAAAACACGAAGCTGAGAGGATCAACAACATAAATATACTCGTGTGCACACCAGGTCGGCTTCTTCAACACATGGATGAAACAGTATCTTTTCATGCTACCGACCTCCAAATGTTAGGTGAGTCAAATCAATTTCTAATTTAAAAAAAAAAAAAGCTCAGACTTAGGAGAGAGCCCTTATACATTTTTATGATAGAAATTTTATGTTAGATAAATGTTATGATTCAAAACAAACTTAAAAATTACTGAAACATTTTGGCATTTGGGCTCTAAACCCAGAAAGTAAAAGTAGACTTAAAAAAATCAGAAGAATGTATGTACGCTTATATGTGAAATTAGGCACGTTAGTATTAGACCATGCCAAGGTTTTTAACACCTGCTTCTAATAACTTGAAAGGTCAAATTGGCATTTTTTTAAATGAACTTTTTCTTTTTTGCTTGGGAATACTACCTGATGTGTATTTTTAAATCAACTTTATCTTTGAACATTTTTGATTTGTAGGAAAGTTGCAGTGGAGAGTTCCTGCATTATCCTTCAGCTGGTTTCCCCTAATTTTTTTTTTTTTTTTTTTTTTTTTTATACAGAGTTTCGCTCTGTTGCTAGGCTGGAGTACGGTGGCATGATCTCGGCTCATGGGTTCAAGTGATTCTCCTGCCTCAGCCTCCCGATAGCTGGGACTACAGGTGTGCACCACCACGCCCAGCTAATTTTTGTATTTTTAGTAGAGGCGGGGTTTCACAATGTTGGCCAGGATGGTCTTGACCTCTTGACCTTGTGATCTGCCCACCTTGGCCTCCCAAAGTGCTGGGATTACAGGCCTGAGCCACTGTGCCCAGCCTTCCCCTGGTGTTAATGTCTTACATGACATGGTACTTTTATCAAAACTAAGGTTAACATTGCTACATCATATAAATTCCAGACTTTATTCAGGTTTTACCAGTTTTTCCGCTAATGTTCTTTTTCTGTTTTAGGATCCAATCCAGGATACCCATTGCATTTAGCCTAATGTATATTTTACATATGATAGTTCAACTTGCATTTTCCTTTTTCAGTTCTTGATGAAGCAGATAGAATCTTGGATATGGGCTTTGCTGATACCATGAATGCTGTTATTGAAAATCTCCCCAAGAAACGTCAGACTTTACTTTTCTCAGCAACACAAACTAAATCTGTAAAGGACCTTGCACGCTTGAGTTTGAAAAACCCTGAGTATGTCTGGGTTCATGAAAAAGCAAAATATAGGTATGTACTCTTTGAGTCAATCAAGATAAATGTTTTTTACTTTTTTAGTTTAGGGATTTGGTATTTTAAATATCTGTTTTCTGGGAATTAAGACATTCTATGAGTTATTGGTTATGCAAAGCATAGTAAATATACCAGTTAAAATTACCCAAATTCTGCATATATCTTTAAATGTCAGGGTACTTGAATGTAGCATTTCCCAAAATGTGGTCTGGGAGGGGAACAAATGTTTTTCCATAGATGTTAAGAGGTATTTTACCATTTGCCAACACTACCTCTTAATAAACGAAGGGAGAAGGGATGAAATAGCAAATGGTGAGTCAAAGTGAAACAGTTTTATTTCTATTTCTCACAACCTTTAATATTTTCAGGGACATTGTGATTGTTGAAAGCAGTGGGAGGGAGGTGGATGTAGCTTGCTACATTTACCAAATTTTTTGGGTACGGAATCATCCTTTTTAGCAGGATTATGCAGTACTAATGTGTTATGGAACACATTTTATGAAGTGCATTAATATTTAGCAAAATACCTTTCAGTCTAAAATTCTAGCAACTATTGTTTTGTCTTGGTCTCATTAAAAACTAGAGCTTAAAGTATATGTGTTACAGTAAAAGTATGTATGTTTGTGATATGCAAGTAGTTGGGGAAATTTTTATTTATCTCTTTTTTTCGAGACAGGGTCTTGCTCTGTCACCCAGGCTGGAGTGCAGTTGTGTGAATATAGCTCACTACAGCCTTCAACTTCTGGGCTCAAACAATCCTCCTGCTTCAGCTTCCTGAGTAGCTGGGACAACCAGGGCATACCACCATGCGTGGCTAATTTTAAAATTTTTTGTAGAGTTGAAGACTTACTACATTGCCCAGGCTGGTTTCAAATTCCTGAGATCAAGCAATCCTCCCACTTTGGCCTCCCAAAGTGTTGAGATTACACTCAGGCATGAGCCACTGTGCCCAGCTGGGATATGTTTTAAGTTGTATTTTCATATGACAATTAGAAGCATATATATTTGGTATGAATCACTGCAGACTTCCAGGAGAAATGTTTTCCAGTAAATATAAAGTTGGATTTTTTGTTGAAGATAGCAATGTAAATTCAACTCTTCTATTATTTATATCTTAAAATTTTTATTTCTTCTTGCTCTGAAATGTTAGCCTAAAAAGAAATAGATTTGGAAAATGAATTGTGTTATCTGGAAATTCCTTAAATAGAGAAAATATGAGTATTCAGGCCCATCTTGACCTTGTATAATGTATGTCTAGGATTTAAAAAGCCTGAGACGAAGAGGCCAGATTCTTTGCTTCTGGGTGATCTTGGGGAATCTGAGTACTGGTATCTTTGACTTTCAAGAACTTGGGAATGGAATAGTAAGATATGTGAGGTATAGTTTTTTTCCCTTGGCTTACTTTCGAGTGGACATTGATCTCTTAAAGAGTTGAGATAGCTATGAAAATTTTTGTGACAATTAACAATTAACTTGAAAATGTAAAGACTGCTTGTCTAGGATTTTTCACTTTTCTCTTTTTTCTGTTTGCCTCCAGCCTATTTTTAATATTCATCAGACAGATTTTTTTAATCATTAGATGTCTCTAAGACCTTTCATAATTTATGCAAGTTAATTTGTACGTATTATTTCCTATCCCCAATTTCTGTAGGTAAGAGTTGGTTATTTTCTGTAAATTACAAAGTTTTAGAAAAAAACTACAAAGACTTTGATATTATTTCACAAATGATTTTTGAAACCCGGTCCCATCACTTATAAAAGTGTGGTGGACAAAATTTTCAGAAAAAAATTTTGGAAGGTAGACATGTATTGACATAATTTACAAAACCTCAGGTTATATGATAATGGCTGCAGTATTCTAATATTCCAAATTTATAGGAAACATAAAAAAGCAGATGCTCTTAGGAATTTCATCTAATGTCAATGTTAGCTTTTCCACTTTAGTAGCTTATCAATGTGGTTCATACACCAGGAGAGATAATAATCAAGAATATTTTAAGGTGTTAGAGAGTATCTACTCTCAAATTGTGAAGGACACAACAACTAAAGAAAAATTAGATCTTTCTGAAGTTGTAAGTCAGAGCATACTTAGAAAAAGTATACTAGTGTTTTCATTATGTGGTTATATATAGACAACTGGTATTTCTAATGATTTTATTTTTGAGAGAATATGCCTTTGGGCCATAGCAATTTGCTGTTTTTCAGTGACAAGTTGAATTCTATGGTGGATTATGAAAAATTTCAAATTTGAGATATGTCATGAGCTTATGTTATTAGGTATATACAAATTTAGAATTGCATTGTCAATTTGAAACATTAATCATTATGAAATGCTTCTTTTTTGCATGTATGTGCTTATTTTCTGTGGACAGTCTGTCTTTTTTGGTTTGGTTTTTTTGCCTTTTTCTTATTGGCTCGGAGGAGCCCTTTAGATAAATTAATTATTTATTTGTAATACGAGTAGCAAAACACTTCCCTACTCCCGGTGTTTTTTCATTTTATAAAATGTTTCTTTTCATCTTTACTAATTCTTTTTTGCCTTAAAGTCTAGTGTTTTTTGAGATGGAGTCTTGCTCTGTCGCCCAGGCTGGAGTGCAGTGGCATGATCTCGGGTCACTGCAGCCTCTGCCTCCCGGGTTCAAGCAATTTTACTGCCTCAGCTTCCCGAGCAGCTGGGATTACAGGTGCCCACCACCATGCCCACCTAATTTTTGTATTTTGAGTAAAGACGGGGTTTCACCATGTTGGCCAGGCTAGTCTCGAACTCCTAACCTCAGGTGATCCACCCGCCTCGGCCTCCCACAGTGCTGGGATTACAGGCCTGAGCCATTGTGCCTGGCCAACTTTAAGTCTAGTTTGATATTAGTCTACCTATAGCAACTTTCTTTGAGTTAGCATTTGCATGGTGAATCCTTTCCCATCCTTGTACTTTCTACATTGTTTACACCCTATGTTTTTAGATTTGTCTTTGTGAGTAGCATATTTTTAATCTGGTATGATAATTGCTTTTGACAGTTAATTTAATTATTATTTGGGTCCCTTTACTTCTTCCTACCTTTGTGTCTTCATTGTTAAGTATTTTAATTCCACGTGTATCTTAAGCCCCATAAGCCACTGTTATCACTGTTTGCAACATCAGTATTTATTTAGACTTACCCAGTTCTTCTTCTTGTATTGTCACCCTTCCACCTGAGAATTTTTCTTTTGCTCAGATAATTTCCTTTTTAGTGCAGACTTGTTAGTGAAACAGCGTTTTGACCTTTCTGAAAACCTCTTTATTTCATCTTCATTTTTTTTTGAAGCCTATCTTGGCAGTTTTTTTTTCCTCTTCAAAGACATCTTTGTTGTACTCTAAGTTCCATTATTTCTGTCAAAGTCATCTGACAGTTCTCTTGTTCCTTTGAAGGTAATTTTTTCTTTATTTCTGGCCAGCAAATGCCTTAAGGTCAGGTTGTCTTGATCTGGTCTAGCCTGGCAATTAGACTCTGGGGTTATCCTATTTCTGGTTTGTCCTGAGACTTGGGGTATAATCTTCACAGATGGGGCATAGCCTTTCTCAGGGTCTCAACCAAAAGACTGAGGTATCTACCAGGGCCCCTCTGTCTTGGCAAGTTGTGAACCTCGTAGCATTGTGACCCTGCCAGAATCTCTGCTCAGTTCTGTAGCTTCCCAGTTGGTTGGTTTTTGCTTGTTTTTCCTCATTTTGACTTATGTGTGCTCTGTTTAGGGGTTGGCATGTTCCTCAAGGGTAAATTGTATGAAAAATTTTAGATTCAGTTTTCCTTCTCTCTGGGACTTGCGACTGATGTGTTTAGGCTTAAGGCTGCTACCTTGTTTCTCCCCTGTCTTGCAATCAGCAAATGCTTTTGGGGAGAAAAGTGAGGTTGTTAACAGAGGGCTTGGCTCAGGGCATTTCTGTTTTTTCCTTTAGCACCTCAAGTCCTACCTGCCTTGGTAGCTCTCAGATGCTGCCAGTCTTTTTGTTTTGTTTTGTATTTATTCCTGCTTTTGTAGTTGCTATTCTAGGCCAGAGGGTTAATCTGATACAAGCAGCTTCTTAGCCCTGCAATTTTAGCAGCTGATAGAAATTATTGCCTAGCTCCATTATTTCATCAGGGTTTGCAAAATTGTGATATTTTAATTCTATTATTTCTTCATTAGTTTAAATACTTTCATATCAAAGAGCTTTCACATGAACTATGTGATTCTGAGGTACAGTTCTTACAGGAAAGCCAGAATATTAGAATGTATGCTGTAACACCAATGAGTTGGTTCCCTAGTATTTTCTGAAGGTTAGCAGTATTTGTTTTTGGTGGGGGGTGGAGGTTGTGTGTACTAAAAATGAACTCAGATTTAATGATAATTAATGATGAATTAATGATACTTAACTCATAGATTAAACATCTTTTTATGTCCTTGAATCAATAGAAATTTTTATATTTAATATTCATCTTGTGTCATCCCAAACTTCGCTAGTAGATGCTTCAAGTTATTATCTTGATTCTTCAGATGCATTTTAGTAATCTTTGGACTCCTTGCTTTCTGGTGTTCTAAGTTTATCTTATCTATTTCCAGTTCTTTTTTTTTTTTTTTTTTTAAGGTTATAGATTTTCTTTTTTTTTTTTTTAATTTTTTTTTTTATTATACTCTTAAGTTTTAGGGTACATGTGCACATTGTGCAGGTTAGTTACATATGTATACATGTGCCATGCTGGTGCGCTGCACCCACTAACTTGTCATCTTGTCATCTAGCATTAGGTATATCTCCCAATGCTATCCCTCCCCCCTCCCCCGACCCCACCACAGTCCCCAGAGTATGATATTCCCCTTCCTGTGTCCATGTGATCTCATTGTTCAATTCCCACCTATGAGTGAGAATATGCAGTGTTTGGTTTTTTGTTCTTGCGATAGTTTACTGAGAATGATGGTTTCCAATTTCATCCATGTCCCTACAAAGGACATGAACTCATCAGTTTTTATGGCTGCATAGTATTCCATGGTGTATATGTGCCACATTTTCTTAATCCAGTCTATCATTGTTGGACATTTGGGTTGGTTCCAAGTCTTTGCTATTGTGAATAATGCCGCAATAAACATACGTGTGCATGTGTCTTTATAGCAGCATGATTTATAGTCCTTTGGGTATATACCCAGTAATGGGATGGCTGGGTCAAATGGTATTTCTAGTTCTAGATCCCCGAGGAATCGCCACACTGACTTCCACAATGGTTGAACTAGTTTACAGTCCCACCAACAGTGTAAAAGTGTCCCTATTTCTCCACATCCTCTCCAGCACCTGTTGTTTCCTGACTTTTTAATGATTGCCATTCTAACTGGTGTGAGATGATATCTCATAGTGGTTTTGATTTGCATTTCTCTGATGGCCAGTGATGATGAGCATTTCTTCATGTGTTTTTTGGCTGCATAAATGTCTTCTTTTGAGAAGTGTCTGTTCATGTCCTTCGCCCACTTTTTGATGGGGTTGTTTGTTTTTTTCTTGTAAATTTGTTTGAGTTCATTGTAGATTCTGGATATTAGCCCTTTGTCAGATGAGTAGGTTGCGAAAATTTTCTCCCATGTTGTAGGTTGCCTGTTCACTCTGATGGTAGCAATCAGCGCGATTCCGTGGGCGTAGGACCCTCTGAGCCAGGTGTGGGATATAGTCTCGTGGTGCGCCGTTTCTTAAGCCGGTCTGAAAAGCGCAATATTCGGGTGGGAGTGACCCGATTTTCCAGGTGCGTCCGTCACCCCTTTCTTTGACTCGGAAAGGGAACTCCCTGACCCCTTGCGCTTCCCAGGTGAGGCAATGCCTCGCCCTGCTTCGGCTCGCGCACGGTGCGCACACACACTGGCCTGCGCCCACTGTCTGGCACTCCCTAGTGAGATGAACCCGGTACCTCAGATGGAAATGCAGAAATCACCCGTCTTCTGCGTTGCTCACGCTGGGAGCTGTAGACCGGAGCTGTTCCTATTCGGCCATCTTGGCTCCTCCCAAGGTTATCTCCAGTTCTTATAAAATCCTTCTAGCAGGATCTGGTATATAAAGACCATAGTCTAAGTGCTAACAGGCATGGTCATTGTGTTAAGCTTTACAGTGGACAGGCCTTTTTAAAAGAGTTCATGCTGATAATTACAAATGGTATTTAGAATTACAAGGTTTTTATTAAGCCTCATTTAAAAAATATGTATCTCTTTTCTCTTCTGCCAAACATTCATTCCTAAAGACTTCTGTTTCATCTGTCAGTGTATCTAAAATAGTTTCAGGATAATACCAATATTATTACTGATAATATGATTACTTATAAAAGTTTAAGATTCCTTTGCATTTCTCTTTTTCTCCTTAGACATCCCAGTAAAGATGTAGGAATCAAATTCCTTCAAAGGCATTTCCTTTGAAATAATTCCTTTGTCATTTAGTCATCAACTTGATATATATTTGGGCTTATTGTTTTCATTTTGCTCTTTTGTAAAACTTCATTCTGTTTCCCATAATTCCCTATAGATATGGCCTATTTCTTCTTTAAAGACTGTTTTTTTAGAGCAGTTTTAGGTTAATCTCAAAATTGAAAGGAAGGTACAGAGATTTGCCACATACCTGCTGTCCCCATGCAGCCTCTGCCATTATCAACACTCTTGCTAGAATGGTGGTGCATTTGCTACAATGGATGGACCTATGTTTTTGCATCCTTATCACCCAAAGTCTGTTACTTTAGGGTTCACTCTTGGTGTGGTACAGCCCATTGATTTGGACAAATTTATGATAACATATGTCTACTGTTATAGTATTTCACAGTATATTCACTGCCCTGAAAGTCCTCTGTGCTCTGCCTATTCATTTATTCATCTCCCCTGGCAGCCGCTGATCTTTTTACTGTCTCCATAGTGTCATCTTTTCAGAATGTTGTATAGTTGGAACCATACAGTATGGTAGCCTTTTCGTATTGGTTGCTTTCACTTAATATTACGCATTTAAGATTGCTCCATGTCTTTTCATGGAGTGATATGATAGCTCATTTCATTTTAGCACTGAATAATATTCCATTGTCTGGATGTACCACAGTTTATTTATCCATTCACTTACTGAAGGACATCTTGATTGCCTTCAAGTTTTGGCAATTATGAATAAAGCTGCAATAAACATCCTTTTGCAGATCTTTGTGTGGACGTATGTTTTCAACTCTTTTTGGTAAATACCAAGGAACGTGATAGTTGGGTCAGGTACTAAAAGTATGTTTTTTTGAGACAGAGTCTTGCTCTGTCGCCCAGGCTGGAGTGCAGTGGCATAATCTCCCTTCACTGCAAGCTCTGCCCCTCGGGTTCATGCCATTCTCCTGCCTCAGCCTCCCAAGTAGCTGGGACTACAGGTGCCCGCCACCACGCCCGGCTACTTTTTTTGTACTTTTAGTAGAGATGGGGTCTCACTGTGTTTGCCAGGATGGTCTCGATCTCCTGACCTCGTGATCTGCCTGCCTCAGCCTCCCAAAGTGCTGGGATTACAGGCATGAGTCACTGCGCCCGGCCTCAAGTATGTTTGGTTTTAAGAGACTGCTATACTGTCTTCCAAAATGGCAGTATCATTTTGCATTTCTGCCAGCAGTGAAGGATAGTTCCTGTGGCTCCACATCCTTGCCAGCGTTTGGTGTCGTCACTGTTCTGGATTTTGGCCATCTAATAAGTGTGAAGTGACATATCGTTATTTTAATTAACTTTTGCCTGTTGACATATGATATGGATCATCTTTAAATTGTTTTTTATTTTTTTGAGACAAGGTCTTACTCTGTCACCCAGGCTAGAGTGCAGTGTAGCATGATCATGGCTCACTGCAGCCTCGAACTCCCTAGCCTGAATTGATGCTCCTGCTTCAGCCTCCCAGGTAGCTGGGACTATAGGCACATGCCACCATGCCCAGCTAACTTTTGTATTTTTTTGTAGAGATGGGGTTTCACCATGTTGCCCAGGCTGGTGTAGCATCTTTTCATATGGTTATTTTTTTTATCTACATATCCTCTTTGG